>NC_000010.11:128170746-128482226 GCF_000001405.40 Homo sapiens | reverse complement strand
AGCTCCTCTGCTCCTGCCCGCAGCAGTCTCCCTGCTAGGGAAGTCACTGACCACAGTGTTTGATTCCCTGCCCCACTGGGCACGAGGGAAGAAAGTGCTTTTGATGTGAAGTGATGGGGCAAGCCCCCACCCGCAAGCCCCCTTCATCTGTGTCTCTCTCCATTACCTTGCAGACGTTTCCCTAAACAGAGACCAGCTTCTCCTGGGAAGCAACTGGCTGCCAGCCTGTTCTCTCCAGGCCCTGAGGGCCCAGTGGAGGGTCCGTGCTGGGCTGCAGCTGAATTTCAGGGCGTGGGGCTGGGTTCCCACCGTGCATATGTTCTGCACTCTCGGCTGAGGCCAGATGAAGCTGTACACTGTTTAAGGGCCAACCTGGGTAAGCAGGAGAGCACAAAAACATGATACCTCTGGAAGGCTGGAGGCAAGATTCATTTAAACGGCTTCCACTGTCATCGGTGTCACCAAGCTGAAGCTTGTCTTGTTTACCGGATGAAGGTTTCACACTGTGTCAACGTTCTGCCAGAATCCAGCATTAAAATGAGCAGTTAGTACAAGTCAGCCATAAACATGGCAGATCCGCGAGACGGGCAGAAGCCACTCTGAGATCCCCGGTGCAGCTTTTAAGCACTTGGCATGCTGCTCGCTCAAACTGGAGAGGGGGCTGTGTGCATCATTTGGGCCCGAGTGCAATGCACTTGAAATAATTACTTTAATCAGCAAAAGTTAATTACTTTAAATCATAAATTAATGGCAGAGCATTTGGCAGAGCCAAATGTGTGTGGCGAGGCTGTCAACGGAAAACCCAGGTGAACCTGCGACCCTGCCTCGGCACCGCCAGCGGAAGCCGGGGCCCACCTACTGTGCGTGCCACTTCTGTGCCGTCAGGAAGAACTCTTTGTAACCGGAGAAGAGCCACCTTAAACTGTCACCTATAAAAAAAGGAGCCATAAACAAGCAGACTGCTGCTAAGCAGGTGCTGCTGGAGAAGCCGGCCCTTGACAATAATAAGATCTTAAAATGGCATCTGCCTTTATTTTATAGCACAATTGGAAAGATGGTTAAAAGTAATAAACCCAGCTGATATGTTTTATGAGTTGGTAGTTAGCAGTGTTTACTGTGGATGAAGATTTCGGAGAAGATACTGTCACCCCAAATGCAGCCCCTCCTCAGCATTCAGAGATCTGAGCCTCTCAGAGCGGAAGCAGCAGCCGCTGCACTGATGTTTTCTTCCATCCCTGTTCTGGCATTTCAAAGAAGCAGCCAGAGTGATTTGGAGAGGAAAGGAGAGGTTCTTCCGAAGAAAGGGGGAAGCCTTTATGAACACATGCTTAGCCTGGATCAGCCTGGAGTGCCTGCGTGCTGGGGGCTTGGAGCACTGCAGACGATGCAAATGGCTGATCAGGGGCGCTGGGCCGGGTTGCCCACAACCTCTTTCAGGTGTCAAGCAATGTGGATACAACTCGCAGGCACAGGGAGAGGAGGAGCTGGCTAGGGAATGGGGTCTGCAGGGAGAGCGTGGAGCACTGGAACTTTCGGGATGTGAGAGTATGGTCATGGTGCAGTCTTCCCCCATGGGGCCAAGCACATGATGGCATTCATTCCCGGCCATTCATTCATTCAGCAGAGACCAAGGAGCTGCCTGTGTACAGAGCTCATTCCAGGCACTGAAAATAGAACCAGGAGCAAATCGGACTCAGTTTCTGTCCTCTCGACCCTTACAGTTCAGTTGCAGGGAGCAAACAATTAAATATTGCAAATAAAGTGTCATTGGGCTGTGATATGAGAAGGGCAAGATGTGGGTCACACTGGCACATGTGTGAGAAAATGTACTGACTTGGAAGGGGCCCCAGATAAAATCTCTAGCTGACTTATTGGGAGACCGTGCACATCATCTTAGCTTTATAACTGCAGCTTCTATAGATTGTCAGCAATGGATTGATTAAATATTTCCCAATCACCAGGACTGGATTAAGAACTTCAAAGGCCTAAGCAGACCATGATGATCCTCCTGTCCACACATAACACAGCTAAAAGCAAAGCACACACCGTGCGCCCTGTGCTGCAGCAAAAGCATCTTTGTTTCTGGGTTCTCCCAATGCTAACAGCAAAGCCCTGAGTGCAGAGCCTGCTGCTGGGAGATCCAGGCCTTCCAAGCACTCCAAAATCTCACCCAATTCTGGAGGGTTGCATGCCAAACTTCACACACACACACACACACACACACACACACACACACACACGTGCGTGCCTCGCCCATGCAGATAGAATCCTACCAAGTCCCTGGCGATCCAGATGGAAGCAGGTACTCAGACCTCCCAGTCTGTAGTGAAAAGTCCACCTGCAGGAGCCACTGTGCCCATGCTGGCAGGTGTGGCTCCCAAGAGAGTCTGGCAGGCCCTGAAGTGCTTGCTGGCAACAAGGACAAACCCGACATCTTGGTCTTTGGGCTGAAACTCCAGTGGGCTCTTATGTGGAATAACAGCAGGAGACCTGGGTTTCACCTCTGGCTCTGCGTGGCTTTAACCAGCTCTGCCAATCCTGGCCTCAGGCAACTTCTCCAAAAATGAAAGTGGACAGGAGGACCAAGAAGGTGCTCTCAGGGCCCACTGGTTCTCCAGTCCCAGGGAGGAGCAGCCCCTGTTCATGCACTGAGATGGGCCTGGGGTGGCTGGCTCCGTTTTCCGAGAACACACAGTGCAATCCCACAACTAGCAGGTGACCCGGGCTCATGTCCTGGATGGCTTCCCTCACTCATCCCAAGTCTCGGGAAATCTGTGCCAGACTCTGACTCCTCCTTGGGGAGTTTCCTCTATCAACCAAACCCATTAGCACCCCACCATGTAGTACTCAACTTCGGCCTTAAGGACAATGGAACTCAGGTCTGAGTTTAGCAGATCTTGAGCTGTGTGACTTAGGACTAGTTATGTAAGCTATTAGCGTCACCTACTCATTTGCATGTTGGAAATGACAGTACTAACATCAGGGCATCCTGCAATAATTAAAAGCAACAAACTTAAGGAGGTGCCTAGCACACTTCCGGGAATATGGCAGGTGCTTGGTAACTACTGACTAACAAAAACTGATCATCCAGGCATCGTTGCTCTCTTGGGTCTACCCTGACCATTTCCACCCCCTCTAATTGACATCTTCAGAACCCTGCCATACTTGCCCGTACCGTGGACTATGTGATGGCACATTCCACACAATGGTGCCCACACCCACTGTCCGTTGTTGGTGATGTGGCTTAGCTGGGCTAGATATGCTCTGACAGCAGGAAAGTCCCTGGCCTGACCTCTGTGTAACCAGCTCAAGGCAGGTGAACAGAGAACAGAGGTCCTTAGGGGCTTGAGCCACTGGGAGAGCCACCCTGGCCGGGTACATTTAGACACGGAACTGGGCTTATAAGGGGCCCTCCATCCAATTTGCTGGCCTTTAGGATGAGCAGAGAGGTGCTCTGTGTTGTCTTCAGTGTATAAAAAAGAATATCTCTGCACAGAGTCCATATCTCAAAAAAGTGTAGAATGCTAGAAATAAAGTGTTATCCCAGCCGAGCACAAGAATGAGATGAGGTTGGGATGCACTCTGGAGGATCCATCACCCAGCCCCGGAACGAGGGGGCTCAGAACTGGCAGAGGGGTGCTTTCCTAGGTGCAAGATGCAATCATATGTAGCAAGAAACATCTAAGAGTTACCAAATAAAAAATAACGTCGCAGAAAATGAGAAACATTTTTCCTGTGCCATTAACATCAGGGACTTGAGTTCTTGAGTACTTGGGATATTGCACCTGTTCAGAATTCCATTCTGTTCTGATCAGTCACAAGTATTTTGGCAGAACCATCGTTAGCCAACCTCATCTTCAAAATACTCTGGGTCAGATTTAGTCTCGGGTCCCACATGGGAAATTTCCACTTTCATCAAAGTTTATCAACAGCTCACAGGTCCACTCTCACATTGCAGGGTTCCAATTAAATTTGGCCTGGAATGAGACCTCATCTTCTTCATGATTTTCTTAGGATTATGATAAAACTTGAACCCAGCAATGTCTAATAGATCTTTCTGCAATGATGGAAATGGTCTATCGCTGAGCTTTCCAATATGGTAGTCACTGACCATCTGTTGAGCACATGAAATGTGGCTTGTGTGACTGAAGAACTGTATTTCAAATTTTGTTTAATTTTCATTAATTTAAATGTATAGAACCCTGTGCGGCTGTGTTAACATCACAGTGCTCACCAATGCCACCATACTTTACATTAGGAATGGCAACCAGAGAGTCTTACATTTGTAAACAGTACTTGGGAGGAGTGATTTTAAATGCAGTGAGTCTCCATCTAACTGGGTCATCACCATCATGGGGGAATTTCTGCATTAAGGATAGACGTTACTGCTACTGTCCACATTTCACATTGGTTGGCCCAAGAGGAGGCAACTGATATCTGGGGAAAGATGCCTTTAATTCCAACACATAAGCATACCTCGTCCATCAGGTTAAAAAATGGGATTTGTCTTGGAGGTATTCAACAGGTACATGGTGTTCCACACCCTTAGACACTAGAAACCAAAACACAGGCTGTTAAGTTATCCCCAGCTAGAAAACAATAAACACAACACAGTTTCATACCAAGTTAAATGCATGAAGACTATTTTTGTGATTTTTGAAGATCAGAGAAAATTAAATGTGAATTTTGCATAAAAAAGGCCAACATTTGCAATCTCACAAAAACATTTCAAAATGAATGCATGTCTCCCAGTGGTGCCCAATCTCCCAAGGTATCATTTTTTTCCTTACTGAAAATCCTATAATAGCTCTGGATGAATAAATGATGGGGGAGGCAGTGTGAGACCTACCACCTTTCTTTTCCTCCCAGCTGGGAGAACTCTGGCACAGAAATGGAAGCAAAATAGCTCATCCACCTTCTCTAGTAAATCCCAGAGAAGTTGAATAGAAAACACACCTGTGGCCTATAAGCCCCATAATTAGAGTGGGGTGCAAGGGGGTCTCTGTTGGGAGTGTGCTGGAAGGATCAACCAATTAGCTTCCCTCTTCTTGGTGGCACTCTGAGCTCCTTAACCTAGAGTGCCCTCTTGAGAATGAGCCCTGGAGGGCCTGAGGAGCAGAAGAGAGGTGGCGAGCTGCAGGTGGCTCAAGGCAAATCTCACTCCCGTGCTGGGAACGACTTACCAAGGCCATGTCAGAGCACATGGCTGACCAAGAGGAAGGCATCCCTAGGGAGCCCGGGTTCCTGGCTATTACTGCAGTTGCAGGCACAGAATCTAAGCAGAAAAGCTCAGAAATAAATGCAACCAGAACAATCCCACACAAACTACAAGTTCTGCCTTGCACCAAACTTTAATCTTTTCCCTCAGGCATCTACTCAAGGAGCATTATTTAATTTAATTTTTTTTTTTTTTACTTTTAATATTCTGCCCTCAATGTGCCACAAAGCAACTTCATGCAAAGAACGAATGGACTTACCAGGAGGACTCATTTGTCTTCAGCCCCTACCTGGGCTGTTTTAAATTAGAGAGCACCCAGCATGGGGAGCCAGTGCTATTTTAATCATTCCAATGTGTCCAGTGCGGGAGATGAACTCAAAGGTGAATATTAAAAGTAGTTGTGGAATTCAGTCATT
This sequence comes from Homo sapiens, assembly GCF_000001405.40. Classification (NCBI taxonomy): domain Eukaryota; kingdom Metazoa; phylum Chordata; class Mammalia; order Primates; family Hominidae; genus Homo; species Homo sapiens. The sequence continues at coordinate 128,476,592 of NC_000010.11, read as the reverse complement.
TCACGAACGAGAACGTAATAGCCAAAGGCAAAACCGGAAGGCAACTTCACTTCCAATCAGTGTTCCCATTTTATTGAAACCAGATTGGAATTCCTGGAAGGAAGCCTACAGATCACATCTTTAATACTCATTTTCATATACTCCAGTAAAACTGTCAGGGTGAATCAGTTGTTGAAGAAGGCTTCCTGTATAATTTACAGACGTGCCTCCCCGTAGCCCATTATTTAGACCTGAAACAGAAATATGTTTTTGATCAAGCTCAGAGACTTCCTCTCACCTGCCCAGGTTTTCCTTGGCTTTAATCTGTCGATTAATACTGGCCTCTGCACACTGCACTGACCTGCCACGCCGGGACATTAATCCCCACACACGCAGCGGAGGGGCCGGACGGCTCGCCACTGCCCGGGCTCCTCAGGGGACGCGGTGCATAGCGTCTGTACCTGAGAAAACCCAAACCTCCTCGGCTGGCTTTTCTTTCTCAGGGGAATGGGGTGGCAGGCTGAGGCGTGGTGGGTCTCTCAGGGAGTTCTGGGTGCCTGGCCTCTGTACAGGCAGGGAGAAGAAATGTGTGTGTTGAGGTGGGGTCAGACGACACCGCAGGGGGTTGGAGCCCAGCTAGCTTCTCCTTCCTTCCTTAGAAACAGGTCTGAGCAAGTCACTGTTTATACCAACCACTCCTGTCTCGCCCCCATGTTGGATTCCCAGGAAGTCCTGTCTGCGGCGCGGGCCAGGGTGGCTGGACAGCCTGCCAACACCGCCCTGTGGAAAGGCTTAGGGGAGTCCGGAGCAGTAGTTTCGAGCTCCCTATGCTGCCTTCTTTTCCACCTTACATTCTGTCATCTTAAGAAACCAGGGTGTCAGGAGTGGTGGCCAGGAAGGCAGATTTCCAGGACACCCCCGGGGCTTGCGGGCTGGTGCTGCAGGCGACAGGGCACCAACCGAGGTGCTGCCACAGCTCCAGCCACCACCCTGCTGCCCTTTTTCTTGGGAGGTCTGATCTGTGTACGAGGCAATTTGCTAAGCTCAAGGATTTTGGCTTTCAAAGAGCAGAGGATCCTTTGCTGTTCCCAAACGATGGCTTTTGGGCCATTTTTTTAAAGGAGAGAAGACCCCAAATTCAATGAAAATGCATCTAAAAAAATGAAGCCTGGGAGATCATCCCAGAGACCCAGGGGCTCTCTCCTTCTGAGACATCCCTAGCAGAATGGTGACCATAGGCTCTAAGGCCAGGCTGCCAGGGTTTAAGGCCCAGCTCTATGATAGCACAGCCACTCATCCCCAAGCCTGCGCCTTCTCTTCATGCACCTCCGTTTATTGATCTGTAGAGTGGGAGTGACAGTGGGAGTGACACCACGCATGACTGTGGCGGGATCCCATGGGACAGTGTGGCCAAGTGCTCACACTCAGTAGAGAAAGGGCTGTCATCCCACCTTCAATGGCATCTTACTTGGAGAACTGTTTCTGGGCCTTCCACAAGGCCATGGCTGGCCTGCGGGTCAGAGCCCTGGCTGGAAGCAGAAGGGGGACGGGCCAACCAGGCCAGGCCGGGACCCTGCGGCTCATCACCAGGGTGAGCTCCTGCCTGGGTGGTAGCCAGTGAGAAACTGCTGTGGCCATTGTCTCTGGGAGAAAAGAAAGGTGATCAAAGCAAGGAGACCACCATATTTTCCCTGCAAAACTTGCTGGAGACTCTCCGCATGAGGACAGAGACCTGGGGCTGGGTCTTGACCCTGCCTGTAAGGTTCAGGTTTGTCGTCTACAAGAAGGAATTTTCCACGACTCCTCCCTCACCTAGATTACATAATTACCACAGGAACGTGGACAAACGTGCAGAGAAGAGCACCATGGGGCTCCAGGTGCAAGGCAGAGAGGAAGGGAGGCCCAGTGTGAGCCAGGAGGGCAGCTGCTCCACTGCATCACCTTCGCCAAGGCTGGCTTTTCTACTACCATGTTGACTTGTCACTCACTAAACACACACACACTACAATAAAATAGTAAGATGTTACAACAAGAAAACAGCTAATGTCAGAGTGAACACTAAAAAAAACTCTGTGTGTAAACAAAAATTCAGTGTCGGCCTTTATCTTATACGCAAAAAGCAGGGTGGAGTTTGAATTATCACATACTTACCGATATGACCAAGAAGGTAAGTGGCCTTTTCCTATAAGGGTGACCTGGGAAAGCTCAGAACACCCATGCCCCCAGGTGGGCCCTGCTGAGTGGTCTGAAGGAATGACACCCACAATAGATATGCTTAGGTTTGGGCTGGAAATGCAAAGACTTGGCAGGTTCCATTCATTCGAGTGATACATCCACCTTGACTGTCCCCTGAAAGCCAACCACCCACTTCGTGAGAGGCACAGTCTCCCCCAGTTGTTTCGGGAGAAGGCAGGGTATAAATTAAAATGTGCTAAGGAGATGCAAAGGCAAAGCGTGGGTTGCACATTCAGCTCCTCCCGGGACATGGCGAGGAATTGAGCTCTTCCTTGCCAAGTCAAGACTTCCAAGAACAGGCCACATGGATTTCACATCTAGTGGTTTGTGGTGTAATCAAAGTTGGCTGGCTACTTACCTACCTTGTCTCCACAGTGAGCTGGGGGCTACAGGCGAGCCTGCATTTCATGGAAAAATCCACGGATATTGCTCTATTTACCCAAGGCCAAGAGTCCCTGTGCATCATTGTTGCCTCCAACCCAAGTACCCAATACTCAATACAGTACATTCCAGCGGAGTGACCCCTGACTACAGCCTGCCAGGTGCATACAGTGAGGTAAACCAGCAAAAAGAACAATGGAAGGGATGTTCACTTTCTTTAAATACTTGCAAAACTCCTGAAAGGTCAAAGAAAGGTTTGGGTCATTGGTGGCAAAGTATCGTCTAGCTCTTCATATCTCTTTATCTATCATGTGCATGCATACACACTCATGCACACCTGCATAGACACACATGCACACACGCCCGGCAGGGGCACACCCACTCGCAGCACTGGGCAGTCAGTGAGAGTGCTCCGGCTGTCTCCATCCAAACACGCGCGGCTGGGTTTCAAACGCTTGCAGGGAGTTTTACTCTTAGAGTGAACCAGCAAATGGGCAATGGATTCTGGAGCTCACTGGGCCGATGACAATAGAAACAGATGGGAGGAATAACATGGGGAGCTGTCCATAAGGCACTCAGAAGAACCCTAGAGCCACTGGACGATTAGGAAGGTTGCAGGAACCTGCTGTGTACAAGGCTACTCGCCTCAGAGGCCCCTTCCTGCCATGCCGTCCACCAACTTCCCCAGACTTCACGTTTTTCTGTAAGCATTGGGCATTCTCTTGAAATCCATTCAAACCTGAGCCCCAGGGGCAGACTGTGACCTCTGGAAAGCCCTGTGCCCAGTAACCTTCTCCCCTTTACCCTGGAAACTGATACCTACAAGGCCACAGAGAGAACAGTCTCATATTACTCAGCTAAAACAATCCCAAAATTCAAATTTCCACTAAGTATATAATATCTCTGCTTAAATTTACACAACAGTAGAAATGACCGAGACCACATTCTTTCCTAAGAACACGCCTGGTGGACCAAGGCAGATCACCTTTACAGGAATCAAGGAACAAAGCTGCTGTGTATTGAGCATCCACAATACCCTTTGTTCCATGAACTTGTTAAATCTTCACAATGCTCTTATGAGGGAAATATCTGCATTGCCATTTACAGGTGAAGAAACCAAAGCCTAGAAGAGTGAAGTCCCTCCCCAGGGGGGACACAGCCAGGAGAATACAATTGAAGCTGCCAGTTGGCCAAGGTCTACCAACTCCCTAACCTTGGCCCGTTGCTCTGCTTAATCCCAAATATGCATCTGTGGTCCCCAAGGTCCTGAGTGCAGCCACCATCCTGATGCCATGGAGGAGTCAGGGAAGCCCAAACTGTAAGATATGGTGGGATCTCCAGGTGGGTGCAATGTGTTTCAGGAGTAAGGTAGGGATCGAACAGAATTGCCCAACAGGGAAGACCACAGCCCTGGACGGGTGGGTTTCTGCCACCGTGGGGCAGCCGCTCTTCCTCTGCCTGCTGAAGACAGCTGAGACAGGGTTTGTGGCTTTCCTAGGGCCAACAGGAGGCAGGTGGAGCGGCTACCAGGCAGTCAGGGCCCACAGCAGTTATCGCAAAGGGAGGACCGCTCCACTTGAACGACCTGAACAGGTGCTTTCTGGGTCCCAAAAGTCTTGTCGCCCAGAAAGGATGAGACTTCAGTCGGCTGGCTTTCTGGAGAAACCAAGGGACAGTTTCCAGAACCCTCAGAGACGGCCTCAATCCCAGATCCCAGGGGAGGGCCACGGTGGGCTGTGGCAGCTGGTGGAAATGCAGGTAGGCAATGGTGCAGCTCTGGGTGTCTCCAGGTTTCAGGCTCCCACGCAGATTCAACTAGAAAAAATAGGTGTGTATATGCATTTGCACGAGTGTGTATGTGTGAGACTGTGTGGGAATGTATGTGGGTGTGTGTGGGGGGGTGTGTTTGCCTGTGTTTGTGTGTATCTGTTTGGGAGTAAGTGTATGTATTTCTGTGTGTGAGTGTGGGTTTGTGTGTGTGAGCATGTGTTTGTGGGTATGTGTGTGAGTGCGTGTGGATTTGCGTTTATGAATGTGTGGGTATGTGTTGTGTGTATGTGTGTGAGTGTGTATGGATATGTGTTTGTGTGTGTTTGGGTATGTTTTTGTGTGTGACTGTGTGTATGTATGTGTTTGTATGTATTTGTGTGTATAAGTATGTGTGTTTGTGGGTCAGTGTGTATTTGTGTGTATGTTTGTGTGTATGTATGTGTGTGTTTGTATGTGAGTGTATCTGTGTGTGCCTGTGTGTGTTTATGCATGTTTGTGTATGTGTCTGTGTCAGTGTGTGTGTGTGTCCATGTGTATGTGTGTGTCTGTGTGCCAGTGTGTATGTGTGGGTATGAATCTGTGTGTGTCAATGTGTGTTTGTATGTCTTGTGTATGTCAGTGTGTTTGTGTGTGTATGTATCTGTTTGTGTATGTAAGTGTGTCTGTGTGTGCCTGTGTGTGAATTTATGTGTGAATGTGTGTGTCTGTGTGTATGTGTTTGCATGTGTGTCCGTGTGTGTGTCTGTGTATGCCAGTGTATAAGCGCATGAGTGCGTGTGTGTGTGTGGGGGGGATGGCTTTGAATTTCCCTCACAGACCAATGGAAACAGGCTGAGGCGGCCCAGTGGGCTCCCCAGCCGTGGCACTGAAGGTTTGTGGAGCCGCCGGCGTGGCAGGGCTGAGCTGAGGCACGTCCCTTCTGGGTCTCAGGATGCTGGCTTTGTCTAGAAAAGTTCAGCCTCTTCTAAGATACAGGGACATCGTTTGTGCCCAGAATGATCCCTGGCTGCCCACAGCCGTGAAAGGGCCCATTCCTTGGAAATCCTGAGAAAACACATCCGCATTGTGTAATGAGGATGAATGCCATCCGTGGACAATTAATATTTCACCACTCCGCCTTCATTGCCAAAAAAAGTTTATTTTCAAGGTGAGGATTTTTTTCATGCTTATTTTTAAACTCTTGGCATAATGACGGAATGGCTGATACATGATGGATACATTTTTAAAAGGCTTCTTTGAAAAGCCATTCAAAGCTGAGCTTGAACAGGGGAACCGGGGGCTGGAGGGGGCGTGCAGGGCTGGCCAGGGCCCCTCCCGCCCGTGCCAGCTCCGCGCTCTGACAGAACAAGTGTTGCATGAGATGTGAAGGATGACTGTGGCGGCCTGGAAGCCCTGGAGCAGGTGTTCCTCGTCCGCATTTGCAGAGGAGCGTGGTCCCCGGCTCAGCCAGCCGCAGCCAGCGCCTGGCAGCCCCTCCTGTACCTGCGTGCAGAGAGGCGCTAATGATAATGGATGCGGCCCGATTAGCCAGCCCATTTGGAACGGGATACCGTGGCCTGGCTGGACGTGCCAGTCAGAGGCTCGCACAGGGGAAGCAGGCCTGCTCGGGTCCCAAGGGCTCTGGGCTGTCCCTGGGGTGCCTGCGCTCAGCACTGGGACGGGCATGGCTCTGAGAGAGAGAGCAGGGCGCTGGACTGGGAGTCTCCTCTGGACTCTGCTGTGCCGGGAGTGGCCTGAATCCCTATTTAATAACACCGGGGGACCCGTGGCAGGCTGCCTGCTCTTGCTCCCAGGGAAGCTGCTGGGCAGGGCAGCCTTGCCGGGTCCCAGGGCTGCCGGGGCCCAGATTACGTCCCCACTGATGCTTCCTTGCCAGGCCGGGCCCGCCTGGCAGCACACTCTATCCGTCTTTCTTGTGCTCAGCTGACCTGTACTCTGCCCCAGTGGGTGCTGATTTATGGCAGAGGGTCAAGCTGCCTGGGTTCCCATTCCGGCTGCATCCTTCACTCGCTCTGCCGCCTGCGTCCAGTCCCTGAGCTCCCTGAGCTCCCTGAGCCTCTGCGGCCTCCTCTGTAAGGTGAAGGATGGCGATGAGCCATCTGTCTTGGTCGGCTTGGGTCGCTACAAGGAGCCGCTGAGGCCGCGTAATTTATAAAGAAAAGGGGTTTATCTGGTCACGGTTCTGCAGGCTGTACAGGAAGCATGGTGCCGGCATCTGCGTCCCGTGAGGTCTCAGGCTGCTGCCACTTGTGGCAGAAAAGAAAGGGGAGCAGGCATCGCATGGTGAGAGAGGAGGAAAGGGAGAGAGTGGAGAAAGGGGCCAGGTTCTTTTCCACAATCAGCCCTTGCACAGATGAACAGAGAGGGCACTCACTCATTACGGCGGCTCCTCAGCCTTTCCTGAGGGATCCACCTCCATGACGCAAGCACTTCCCACCAAGCCCCGCCTCCAACACTGAGGATTACATTCAACATGAGACCTGGGGGGAGCAAACATCTGAACTCTATCACCTCCCAGCACGGAAGTTACCGTGGGGGATGGGGCTGAGTGACGTTGTCAGAGGCAACGTTCTTGGCATGCCGTCTAGCACTTACCACTGGCCTAGTGAGTGCCAGGCTGTGAGGATACAAGGGGGAAAGAGAGAAGCCCCCTTTCCAGGGACAGAGGTGGTCATGAAGACTAGGCACTCAGGGCTCCCTAGAGGCCAGGTGAGTGGCAGGAGGGACAGAGGACAGAGCCTTGAGGGACCAGGAGGCTCCACCAGGGAGTAGCCTTTGAACAGTGTCCCTAGGGACTGGTCAGTGCTTACTGGGAGAGGAAAGAAGGAGCTGGTGTTTGGGCAAGGACGGAGCCTTGCTGAGGCCCAGCCACAAGAGTTCAGTTCCCATGCACCAAGGGAGGACAGGTGGGGGACACCAAACAGGTGAGCCAGGCAGCGGGGCCTTTTGCTGTCACCAGCAACCACAGAAACAAGCTTGTTCCACTCCCAGGGCCCAAGGTCTACACAGGGGGATCCGATGCACCCATGGTGGGTAGCTGCCTGGTTCCTCTGGGTTGCTTCCAGTGAGCTCCCGCGGCCACATGCACTCACCACAGTCTCATTCCTGTGTTTAGGAGCACATTGCTTTACAGACACTGGAGTCTGGAACCAAAGAATGGTGAAGAAATGATTCCAACTGCTCAGGGCAATGCATGGAAGCCCAGCCGAGAGGATGGACAGCCAGGTTAGAGGCCTGGGTTTCAGTCCTGGTCCCAGCACCCTCCACTGTATGACCCAGGGCCTCTGGGAGCTCAGCTTCCTCATCAGTAGGGTGGGAAGTCTGGAGGGACAATCACTAAGGGCCCTTTTATAACTTAAAATCATGGCCAATAATAGTCCATCGTGTTTGAGAGAGTTGATCAACAAAGTAAATGGTGAGGGCATTTGCCAAGAGATGGCAAATTATCTCTTCCGTGCCTGTGAGCTCAGCTGATGGGACTGCACAACTTGACCAACAGACGGGGGCCAGTGGCCAACTGTGAGCAAACACCAGGTTCCTGTAAACGTGGTCTCAGGCCCTTATAAGCTCTTGCCACCAGCTTGTATTAACAAGCAAATTGGTCAATCTGCTCTTGCCTTTTGTTTGTTTAGTGGTGTGATTCTGGCATGGTTTACCGACTTTGTTTTTGCTTGCACGAATTGGTCTGGGCAAAGGAGCTTTCTTTACGAACATTCCACCTGCTAATAATAAAGGGATGCCTTCCATGGGTTTCTTAGAGATGACTTTACAGCTTTCAAAATGCTCTCCAATTCCACATGGAGCCGCCATGAGAAGGAGGCAGGGAAGCTACCCTCACCCCATTCTGGGGCATGTGGTTGTGGCTCCTGCAAAGTTTGGTGAATTCTGTGAATAACCTGCCTCTGAATGGGTGCAGGGGAACTGGACCCGACGTCGAGTCCACCCTCCTGCGTTGGGCCTCACTTGGCAGCTGGCTGGTTACTCACCCTTGGAAAGAATAAATCATTTCCCAGAAGGACCCACCCTCCAGATGGCTTAAGAAGGTGGCTTCCTGCCTACCTAAGAGTTATTACCTCTAAACCAGAACAACTTAATGGAGAGGTAGGAAGCTCAGGGAAAAAGGGGGTCTAAAACGTGTCAAAGGTCACCCCAAAAAGCAACTGAGCATCTCAGAAGTAGACTAAGGACTGGAAATGGGGGTGGGGTTCAGAGCCACACTGGCCCTGCTCCTCCCTGAGGCAAAGCCTGTGAGCTGAGCTGGGTGCGCCACTGCACCCCAGCTGGAGAAACACCACTAAGCCAGGGCATCCACAAAGTGCCAAGAGCCCTGTGACCGGAATTCTGGCCTCCACAAGGATGTCACTCACCTGGTAGTCCCTTTCTTACCCTTTTCCTGTCTTCTCCAAGCTCTGAGGCCAAGGCTGTCCTTGGCCCTGGCTGTCTCCACTATGGTCCACAGGCATGGTGCCCCACCGTCTGCAGTGTGCAATGTGTTTCAGAGAAATGTCTTCACCACACAGAGTCTATCAATACCCAATATGGGAGTAATTCAACTTATTAATTTATAGCTGCAGCAAGAACATTTTCAAACTAGTCATAAAATATTCCCCCCTCCTATAAACTGCGCTCTTTGCGTTCTATACTGGGAATTCTATGACTGTCTCAGAAGCGAGGAGGTGGTTTATGGCATGTCTCTAAGGGACAGTATTATTACAGTCAAAGTTAGGTGACAGGGGGAATAAAGATGGCGGCTTTAAACTGCAAGACTCCAGATGGGAAAATAGACCTGTTCTTCTTCATTTGCCAAACAAGCAGTTATTATTTCTATTGTTGTTTTATGGCCTTTATCTTAGAAAAATTATAGCATATGGTTACCAAAAGCAAGAGTGTATTTATATACGGCTGGCCACAGACTCAATTCCCACACCTCACCTGGCTGCCATCCTTCCAGAGCTGACTGTCAGATACACGGGCAGCGTGGCCCCACAGCTGATGTCACTACTAACTATCTGTTGATTGGGGTCCTCCAGCCCAAGTCCGAGCGGGTGGTGGAGGCCCCACCTGGTCTGGGTTTGCCTCTGCCGCGGCCCTTCCAGCTCTGGGCTTGGACTGGAGCCAGGCTTATCCCTGGAGTGCAGGTTAGGGAGTCCCCAGGTCTCGGCTTGGGCACAGCTGTCCTTACCTTCAGGTGTCACTCCCTGCAAAGACAGCAGAAGTGACCTCAGGAGGCATGCAGAGGGAAAGATGCCGGGGTCCATGCTGGTGCCTGTCTTCCACCCCGCGGGGGACAGCGGCCAGCCTGGAGGGGGCCTCTCTGGAAGTTCATGTGCCTCCCACAGCATCCTTTTGGCACACCCCACTCAGTGCATAGCCGTGACCCTCACCGGGAGCCTATGGACCCCTGGGTGCTGTCCACTTATCTTCACCACCACCCTGTGGGTCGACACGGTCGCCTCACTTTATGGATGAGGACACTGAGCTCAAAGAGCCCACATGATTGTCCTGAAGCCTCGGAGCTATGAGGAGGAGAGCAGGGACATTCATTCACACTGGCCTGGTGCCCAGACCCAGAGCCAGCTCAGCTTCTCCCCCATGGACACCCATTCAAACTGGTCTAGTGTTCGAGCCTCAAGTCAGGTCAGGGTCTCACCTATGGATGGGCCTTCAGTGGCAAAAAGAACATCCAAACTTTCTACTCCAGTCCTTGCATCCTCCCCTAACAGAGGAACGTCCTTGACACCAACCCAGCCAATGGGCCTGCCCGCCTATGACGGGGAAGTGACATTGCCCAGGCTGTTGGATTTGGTGATAGACACCAGGTTCACTGGCAAATGTAGCTCCGTGCACTGAGAGAAATGAAGACAGCAACCCCTCCAGAATGACTGTCCGTCCCATAAAGAGACGAACATGACCAGATATGGCCCTCACCTTGAGAAGCTCAGAGTCCTACACCAGGGATAGACAGGATGAGTAATTGTCAGCTAAAAGTCAGTGGTTTTTGTTTGTTTGTTTGTTTGTTTGTTTGTTTGTTTTGCTGAACAGACAGGAAGGCATTTTCTCTAGTTTGCTTGCTCTCTCTAAAGAAGCTGGGAAGAAAAGTAAATTAGGGCCCAAAGCTCCAATCATCCGTGAGGATGACTAAATAATAAATATTGTAAAGAACAAAGAGATTTCTTATCAAATGTAGTTTGCAGGATAGGACGGAGATGGAGACTTCCACTGAACTGAAATCAGCGGTACTAGCTCAGCAGGCCGGGGCTGTCAGGGATGTCTTCCCCTTTGGGGATCAAAGCTGAGGCAGGTCTGGGTGATAAATGCCAGGGAGACATTCCGCAGGATGGCCAGTGAGGACTGGTGGCTCCCGGGCCGTCGGGGGAGCAGCGTGTGTCCGTCCTGACTGCAGATGCCTCCCTCGGATATGGCAGGGAAACCGACTTCAGCCACTTCCCAGAGGCAGAGAGGGCCATGGAGAAAGTCATCCTTCCTGTGAGTGACCTGAGTTGTGGGTCACTTATCTGTCCATTCATGGGGACTGTAGAAGACCCTCTGAAAGAGGGCAGAAAGGCAGCAAGGAAATAACTGGCATCTTCAGTTCAGTGTCCCTCTGGGCAGCAAGCACAGAGGCTTGTGGAGAACTGGAGTTCAAGCGAATGTCTGGCATTTGGAGGACCAGCCCTGGCACATCTTAGCTCTGTGGCCTGGTCAGGCGACTTAACCTCTTGGAAACAACTGTCTTCTTCTGCAAAGCAGGTATGATGCCATGAATCGCCTCTCAGGGTTACTGTGAAAGTCACAGCAGGTGATAGGCGTGGGCTTGCCGTAGAAATGCGAGTGTTAGCATTTCCTGTGCTGGACGTACAGTGGAGAAGAAGAACAGCGCCTGTCCTCACATCCTTGCATTCAACCATGATGGAGATTCACCACATTGGATGCACGCACCTCACCCTCTCTTGGTTGTGCAGATAGATCATCACTAATGTTTTTTCACCCTACTCTGTGTGTTGACAAAGTGGGTTTTATCAGGATGACACAGAATCTGCGCTCTGAATCAAGAGATAGAAGCCGGGTCCCCGCTGAACCCGGTGTGGCTTCCACTGCCGGCCCTGCTGCAGTCAAGAGCAACCTCGGCAGCTTCACTACCTACAAACCCAGGTTTGTGCTTGGACGTCAGATAAAACCTCCACAGAAATCTGGGACCTGATCCTCAAAGGAACCTTGCTGTCCAAATACAGTTGCAAGCATGATGACAATGGAGTGTAGCTAACCTAATGGTAAGTACCCCTGGAGAAGGAGGGAGATGCATTCCCAGCTAATAAGATTTACAGCACAGACGGCCAAAGCCCTCCCCAGAGGCATGCTGTGGCCGCAGAAGCCTCCACAGTCATCCCTAATCTCTGCCAACGCCTACACTTCCACCCCTTTCCTCCATGCCCACATCACTATGCATTCTTTGTTAATTACTAAAGAAGAGCCCTTTTTAAGTCACAAATGTATCACTGCAGAAGTTTTACTTTCATCCAGGTCTGCCTGGAGTCTTCTGTCAGGTACCAATTAGAGGAGGTGAAGTCAGGGTACGTGGGTCCTAATGAGGAGGGGAAGGCAGGAGGATGGGGAGGAGGAGGAGAAGTCTAGAGGGGAGGATGGGGAGGAGGAGGAGAAGTCTAGAGGGGAGGATGGTGGAGGAGGAGGAGAAGTCTAGAGGGGAGGATGGTGGAGGAGGAGGAGAAGTCTAGAGGGGAGGATGGTGGAGGAGGAGGGAGGAGGAGGAGAAGTCTAGAGGGAAGGATGGGGAGGAGGAGGAGAAGTCTAGAGGGGAGGATGGTGGAGGAGGAGGAGAAGTCTAGAGGGGAGGATGGTGGAGGAGGAAGGTGAGGAGCCCACACGAAGAAGGGGGCATGTTCCGATCATTATTAAAATCACCTCCCTTCTCTCCACCAAACCCTCCTGCAGCAGCAGACAAGCTCTGTCCCTGTTCTGAGAGAGCTGGATGGATTCCCTGGGGCCATGGCTCAGTATTTCAGTCATGGCCTCAGGGAATAAGCTAGAAATTACACTGTAGGCAACAGCTCCCTCTGACAGGGGAAGGGACCAGGTGACAGAACAGGCCTTTGTCACCTTCAGATTCTCTTGTTTGCATTTAGAGACCTTGAGTTCCCTGGATGGTGGCTTCATGAGTGCGGGGAGATGAGCTAGGACTCAGTGCCACAGTCCTGTGTGGCTGAGCTGGCTGAGAGCACAAGGATGTGCTGCTTCGGAGCTCACAAGCCCCTGTCCTGAGAGGGTTGTACAAACAGGGACAGGAGTGTCCCCTGAGGTGCAGCCCATCCTCAGCCGGATGCCCGATGACCATAGAACCATCTACTGTGGCCACCGGGGAGAATGAGGCTGGTTTCATCACAAAACCCACCCATGCCCAGGCCCTCTTTGTAGAGCACCCTATAGTCCGCTGACGTCTTCCCTCCCTTCCTGCCGCCCCCAGCCTCCCTCCTGCCTGGCTTTGTGCCTCCTGGTCCCCAGACTCCCCCCAACTCCCCAGTAGCCACGCTCATACAATCGGCCTAATTATTATTTTGTGCGGCTTTTCACAGCAGAAGGAGAGAAGATTAGGGGAAGAGAAAAGAAAGCTGAAACCTCTATAATGAAATTTTAAAATCACAGAGCTCCTGCTGTTAATATTTTCCCAGCCTCCAAAAGCATCAAATATTGTTTTATCCCACAACTAATCTCAACCGTGTATCTATCTCACAATATTTGGACACGTTAACTGGGAGCTGAGTCCTAAGATAACAGCCATGGCAGCCAAGTGTGGTGGCCTCATCACCAGACCCTACATAGTTAATTGGTCACTTTGTCCAGCTGAGCAATGGGGTTCCAGTCCATCCCCATCATTAAAAGCTGCCAAAGTCTGTACCACTTTGAATCAGCTGCCTTCCTCCTGTTCCGTGTGGCTTTTAAGCACCTGCACACCCAGCATTCTTGCCTCCGACGGAAAGCTTCTGGTTCTTTGATGAGGGCTTTGGATAATTTAATCAACTTTCCTTCGTCCTCTCCATAAGAAAGAAGTGCTCAGCTCACTTTGGGGGAAGAGCCACAGAGCAGCACACACTCCTTCCTGTTCTTAATAAGCCTCCCAAATGCGTCAGCTAGACAGGGTGTTTATCTCAATTAATGCATTAATAGCTTCACCAAATTGCCAGGAAAATCTGACACAGACTCGCGTGAGCAGGATTCCAGTTAAGAAAGAAGCTGGCAGAGCAGCCGCTGATGTGAAATCTGAACCATCTTTTGAACAGCGGACTATTAGTTTTGTTTTATTTGGTTCATTTGAGTTTTTTTGTTGATTACACACACTCACAGGCCCATGCATACAGCCATTGTGGCAAAAAAGACTTGAAAGATTGTTGGAACTGAGGGAAGGTAAGAGCAGCGGAAAAATAAGACAGAGAGACCAAGGTCAGGCTCCACTGGCAGGGGAGGCTGGCCACCTGGTCCAGCCCTGTCCCACCCCTCAGTGACAGCAGCACCTGGCAGGGGCAGCTGCGGGCGTCCGACCATGTACCACGGAGGGGTAAAGACAGCGCTCTGGCCAGAGGGGCTGCCGCACTTCTCACGGCCATCAGTCCACTCAGAACCATGCCAGCAGCGTTTCTGTTTTTGCTACGTAATCAAGACACATGCTTTCTGTGCTCTGTGAGACTTTGTGTCTTGGGGCCTCGCACTGCAACTCCGCCCTCAGGGATCACCTGGGCTGGTGGCTGCAGGATCAGAGGGGACATTTCCATTTCTGAGCCCTCAGTCCCATGCCCTCGTCATTGCCGTGAATGTCTTTGTGTATCAGAGATACAAACAAGCCCTGAAATCACAGACTTTGTAGCAAAGAAAAACAACAAGTGTTTAGGCCCAGAGTGGACCCCTAAACCCTCTAGGGACTGGTGTTGAGGATGGGAGCCTCCAAAAGGAGTGCTTCCAGCCTGTGGCTAAGAAAACTACCTCTAGGGCCCATGCCGCCCTGCAGGAGCTCAGCTTATGCTCACGTTTGCATCTGACAGGCGGCCTCTGCAGAGCCCCATCTCCTTCCTGCCATTTGCTGTCCCCTGGAGATGAGTTGATGTCATACCTGGTTCAGAGTGTTAGCTTGAAGCCAGTGGTGCGGAGACTAATTATGCACTTTCCACTGCCCCATCTTCTTTGCTTGCTGGGGTGTGGACACTGGGCAGTGGACGCTGAGCAGTGGACGCTGAGCAGAGCTCTCCGGACGAAGCCAAGGCATGTGCAATCTGTGGCCTGGCCTGCAGCAGCTGCGATACCCAAGAGGAGTCTCCTGGACACCCAGTCTCAATGACGACATCTGGCCCCTGGTGCCCCCGGATACAGTGTGGCCTGAGATGCCATGCAGCTGGATAAGGGAGGCAGAGTGGGGAGTGAGGGGCTCCCCAGAGGAAGGGACATAGGAGAAGTGAAAGGCAACTGGACTTGGAGGCAGGAGAGGACAAGTGTTCCCAGAGGGAGGAGCACAGAGCAAGAGACTGCGGGAAGGAAACCAGCCCATCAGTGGTCCAATAGCCTGTGCCCAGCAGACTCAGGGCCAGGAGCCCAGACCAGGAGTTCCGGCAGCAGCCGGGACCAAAGGCAAGAACTGAATCCAAACTCCACCACTGAAGTGAGGCTGGAGAGCTGTCATTCAGAATCAAAAGATTCACTTCCCTTAGGAGCCGCCCCGCCTGAGAGCGTCACGGTGATGCAGACAGTGAGGATAACGGGCGTGGATCCATGGATACCCTGTGCTAAACCCTGTCCTCAGCGCTCACAGCCCTCTGTGTGCAATCTTCTCAACAAGCAACGTGTCGGTTGCCGTCTAGTTATCAGCGTGTTTGTTACGCTTAATGCAGGGCCTGAGAAGTTGAGTAGCTGGGGTCCTGCCCTGCCAGCCTGACTCCAGAGCCGAGGCATTCCCACTCTCCACTCCCTTCTGCTCCATCAAATCTGTCTTTCAGAAAGGTCTGGTTTTCATGTCTTAAGCCATTCAAGTGCCAATATCAGTACCCTCTGAGCTAAAAGGTACTCCAGGTCCACCCGGAAGGCTGTTGTTCAGAGGCCATTTCACAGGGGCCTTCTGCTGGTCCACAGCATGGAGCTCCCACATCTTGTTTTATTTCCCAGCCACTGATGAGGAAGGGGCTCTGGTGAAATCGCTGAGGGCTGTCTTCCCCACAGCCCCAGGCCCGAGAGGAACAAGGTCAAAGTCATGCTTCCACCACGCAGGCCCTAATCCTCCTCTTCCAAGGCCCCTCCCTGCCTTTCCGAGAGCAGGCCAGGCAGAGCAGAGGTTGGGAGGTGCCTCTAGGAGCTCTGCTCCTTGCTCAGGGGGTGAGGTGGCAGCAGGGTCTCTGCAGAAATCAAGCTGAGGCCCAGTGGCCCCATGACCAACTACAGAGCCCAGGGACAGGGTGCCCAAAGCACTCACTTTTGTTTGGAAGGAGGTTCACTGTGCATGGGCTTTGCAGAAAACTAAAGGTGGAAGAATAGCAGGAAGAAACTGAGGATTCTGTTGGGGTGGAGCCCTCACTGACTTTGGAAAGGGTGAAGCCAGGAAGGCAGTCAGCATGGATCGCCGTCTACGCCAGGACTCCCTTCTGCCAAGCCCCTTGCATGCATGGCTGTTCCAGACTGAGTCAAGCTCTGAAGAAGGGATGTTGGTCCACCCAGGGACCCGATGCCCTGATTTGGTCCCTCCCCCAGGAGACTGGAGGTCTGAGACACTCCCTCAACGAGCATTCCCACCAGTGCCTGGAGCCAGGGAGAACAGGACAGCTGTGCCCTCTGGACAGTGCCTGGGCTGCCGTCTGGGTTTTCTACCTCCTCTGTACTTGCAGAAGGTAGGCCCAGGTGAGCCTGAGCCTCCCTCCAACCTGAGATCCTGCTCACCCATCAAAGCTGGGATCATGACCTCCCCAGCACCCCCACACACATCTCCATGGCCCAAAGCAGTGAATGGATGCCCAGAAGATCCAGCCTCAGCCACCCGCAGATGAGCAGACTCTGGGGGCTCATGGCACATGCCACAAACATCCTTCAGCAACAGCATCACAGAGACATCAGGAGGCCCAGGCTGGAGCCCTCAGCTGCTGGAGGTGCTGGCTTGTCCTCGTGGTCCTGAGGTGGGAGGTTCGTCTGAGCAGGCACTCATCAGACCTGCACCGAGAGCTCCCTCTGTGCAGGAAGACACATGACACCAGGTTCATAAATGAGGATGCTGCCTGTGACAACCACGACAATGATAGTGACAGCCACAGCCTCTCCAGCTCTGTGCCCCTCCTAGGAATCTCATCCACCTCCACCACAGTCCTTTGGTGCCAGG
This sequence comes from Homo sapiens, assembly GCF_000001405.40. Taxonomy (NCBI): domain Eukaryota; kingdom Metazoa; phylum Chordata; class Mammalia; order Primates; family Hominidae; genus Homo; species Homo sapiens. The sequence continues at coordinate 128,459,869 of NC_000010.11, read as the reverse complement.
CATTTCTCTCCCTATTTGGAGATGTGCAGGCTGAAGCCCAGAAAAGGATGCCCGGCGAGCAGGTGAGTGCCCAGAATGGAAGCTGCCCAGGCTGGGAGGATGGTGGTGCCACCTGTGATGGAGAGGACTGGAAGGGGAGGCTGCGTCCATGGCACCTGGATAGAGAGGCCTGAGGCTTGGCAGGGAGGGCTAGCTGGGGATGTGCACAGGGACTCAAGCCCCGGCTCCACTTCACCGGGCCAGCTCCTCCCAGTCTTGTGACCTCGGTTTAAATGTTACTTCCTTCAGAAAGTCTTCCCAAGGCAGGGCTGGGTGTCCCTCTTATCAGGCACAGAGCCCTCACTCTTCCCTTCTGGAGGCACATGCCCGGCTGGGCTGTCGCTTCACAGCCTGAGACCCCCTGCTGGATGGTCCCCATCAGGTTGTGTCTGCCTCTCTCTCCTGTGTCTCCGTGTATCTCGAAGCTCTGTAGATGGGTTAATGAGTAAATAGTCTCACATCCGTTACCTAAGGCTTCTTTCACCACTGTCCTCTCCTAGAGGGGTCCTGATCACATGTTGGATTTCAAATCTGTACTCTTGAACACCACCTGCTCACAGCTACATCACCTTACTGAACTCTGGGTCACTAACAAGGAAATCCCCTGTTCCAAATGAGGGGCTCTTATCAAGTGATTCCTCTGGCCAGAGGAACAGACCCCATCTGCCACCGGGTTCCCTGGGCTAGTGTGAGGTCAGTGCCCGAGTCCCAGCCCTCCCTACCCCTGCACGTTGCCCAGGATGCCCGCTGATATATTTGAAGATGGCTCCAGGATATCAAGAGGAAGAGGACTAGGCCACCTGCCCATACTCGTCCTCCCCAAGCAGAGAGGGATTGTGTGTGTCACTGGATGGAGGATCATGGGAGCCTGAAAACCTGTGCTTTTCTTGTGTCTGAAGTCAGGTGAGTTGTGCCCACCCCTTTTTTATTCATCAAGAAATCATTTCTCCTGAGCGCTTGCTGGCTGTCTCCAGGGAAAGTTCCTGCAGAGCTGAGCCCTGGTGAATTAATGAGGCAGCTGGGGATAGAGGAGAGGGCACTGGGCTGAGAGCAGGGGAGTTGCGCTTTACTTATGAGCTCTGTGACCTTGAACTAAACACTTGAGCCCTCTCAGTTCCACTTTAACACAGTGGGTCGTGAGGTTTAACTGAGCTCACGTATGTGTGACTGCTTTGTATAAATGGGAAGGGGAAAAAATTATCCCATATTTCACATGGATGCAAATGCCAGGCTGCTGTTCTGTTGTCTGTACTCTCCTGGGGGTCTGGAGATACATGGTGGCTGCTCCCAAGTCCTGAACACAAGTGTTGAGTCCCCCCAAGTCCTGGACATGTGTGCTCAGGGAGTCCCTAACCCACCCAGAGAGAAAGTTCAGAAGCTGCTGGGATCTCTGTCCCTCCTTCCCAGCATCCCCTGCCCCTGTTGGTGATCATCCCAGCATCTCTCATCCCTGACAGCTCCTTCCCACCATCTCCCACCCCCACCTGTGCTGTCATCCAATCTCTGTATTTGTGTCACCACACTCTCTTGCCCAACTCCTGCTCTCATCTCTACTACTGCTGGGCGTACCTGCTGAGACCACCACAGCCCACCCTCTGCCTGAGCCTCCCCTCCCTGCCTACTTTCAGAAACAAAGAGAAGGTAGGAGAGGCCACAAACCCAGTGACTTGTATTAGTTCAGACTGAGTTCAGCCACAGTGAAAAGGGAATCCATAGTATTGGTGAGTGTAACACACCCACTTTTAGTCTCTCACTCAGGTTCAGAGGGGTCAGTCCTCTGCTTCGACCATGTCACAAAGCCATCAGGAGCCCAAGTCCCTTTTTATCATCTGCTGTCATCCTTAGCACCTGGATTCCATCTTCAAACTCATCTCATGGCCCAGTATGGCTGCCTGAGTACCAGCCTTTATGTCTGCATTCCAACCAACAGGAAGAAGAAAGGAGAAAGGGAAAACACAAGCACATCTCCCAGGTCGACTGTTTAACAGCCTTCCCATGAATCTCCCACAACACTTCTGCATGGATTTCATTAGTTGAACAAGCCTTCACCTAGCTGCAAAAGAATCTGGAAAAATTGCCTTTTACCTGGGCACATTGCCACCTCAAATCAAATCTGGGTTCCATTACTAAGGAAGAAGAGGCAATGGGTCTAGGGTGGCATTTAACAGTCTCTGTGACATTTGCCCAAGATCACAGCTAAGAAGTGGAGTCAGCCACATTCATCTGACTCCAAAGCCCACACTGGTGCCCTCGGTCACCCCATTGCCCACCTCCATGGGGGGAGATGACCCAGGTCTGCCCACCTGCCAAGTGCCCCACCACATCCCTGCAGCCAAGGACTCCAGCCACACCAGGAAGGGTGAAGAAAGCCCCTTGCCTTGCCGTGAGCCCAGCAAAGGCCTGGCAGCCATGGCAGTGCATGGTTTTGAATCCTCACACGGACCTGGCACACTGAGAGCGCAGAAGCACTGCCCGCATTTGCAGATGAGAAAGCCAGGGCTCCAGGGGGCCTGCAGATTCCACACCCTCCAGTGAGAAGAGGACCGGGCTCCCCTGCTCGCTGTCCCTGAAGCCATCTCTTCTCGCGTCTGCGTTCTGCTTTTGGGAAACTTGATTCCCCAGGAGGATGTGCATTCTAGTAAGGCCCTCAGGAGCCCAGGAGGCCGGGCTGTTCTGCAACCTGCAGAGATTTGGGGAGTTTGGTCTGCTGCCCTTCCCCATCCAGAGCAACGGCTTCTCTCAAACTGGCCTGTTGCCCTTTGGTGAATTATTCAAACATATATATGATGCATCTTAATGAACCAATGAATTTGTACTGAGCTCCAAAATTGTCTCATTTTCCTGTCTTCTTTGAGGAATGAGGCAGGGCCAGAAATTCTGGATAACTGAGGGTGCTGGATAACCATGGAAACTTAAAACATATATAACCATTTGTATGGAAAAGTTTATAAAATGTAGCATATGCGCCCCTACAAAGAACAACATAATTAAGCAGAGTCTGAACATCATTTAACTTCCCCTTAATGACAAGGCCATAATTAAGAGCATCAATTACGGTGCCGAGCCCTGGCTTGCAGGGCACCCTCAGGGGCTGCTGATGTGGGGACGGCCATTTGTCCCCACACACAATGGCCCCATTTGTTTTGTTTTCCAAATTCCTCTGACTTTTTTTTTTATTAGTTTGTCTGGTGCATCCCTCCTGAAAGGGCTTCGTCTCCTTCAAGCTGCAGCCACAGCATTGCTCTGAGTTTGTGGATTGGCCCCAATTGCTCCAAGTTTGTCACTTTGTGTCCTGAATGTTGTATGACCCAGGGCCAGAGCGTGCCTCCAGTGGAAAAGGCACAGGAGGACCCATGCCAGCCTCCTCCACGGAGGCCCGGCTTGGTTATTCCCACGGTCAAAGTTGGGTTGCAGATATGCGAGGCTGCTCCAGGCCTCAGGTTTGTGCAGAAGAGAAAGCCACCGGACCTTTGAGGCCCCACTTGGATCTGCTGCTGCTGCTGTCATGGGGCACATCACCCCTGGATAGGCTGGATCAACCCATAATGAAATCCAGAAATAAAGAGAAATACTAGCCATGTGGCTATTTGTTATGATCAGTGATTTGATTCTGTGAAAGTTGAGTGTCACAGTTCTGCTATGGATAGCGGCAGCTTTCCAATTTACACCAAAAAGAGCTTTGAACAGCATAGCCATATTCTACCTTACTCATTAACATGAATTCTTGTTGTCAATGAGGAAATAAAATCGAAGATAAACATGGAATCTCGGCTTCTTCGAATTCTGAGCTATTCATATATTCATAAAACAATGGCAATTTGCAAATGTACTATTTTCCCTTGAAGCAAATGAATATGCAACAATCTGTTAATGTGCTGAGTTAAATACAGCAAATGCAAATCACTTTAATGATCATATTTACAAAATAAGGTACCTTTACTTTAAATAATTATAATGTGTATTTAGCTCTCCAAATGAAATCAGGAAGGTCTGAGACTCAAATTTGATCTACCATCAAAAACAGATCATGGGAAATCGATTCGAATCTCCGTGTGCTCCTGGTTCGCCCTCCCCGTTTGGTTTTCAGATTTCTCTGCTGTTTGCATGAAAATGAGACCTTTGGTTTTTTAGACTCAGCTTGTGTTGTTCCCTCACCAAGAGGACTCTGCAGTATCGTGAAGTGTCACTTCTAGGCTGCAGAAGCTCTGGACTCCGGACCCATGTGATGCTGATGTGAAGGTATGAGGCACTGTCTTGAGAGTTGTCATTGACCACAAGTACTGCTGAAGCCACAGCAGAGGAGCGGAGTGCCTCTCCAGGGCTGCCCCTAGGCACTCTGCAGTACACCCCAAGGGGGTTTGAGCACGTTCCACATCACCCATGTCACCCCCTCATCTGCATGTCTTTCAGATCACATATGCCCATGCACACAGGTATGCGTGCACACATGCAAACACATCCCCCTCAGTTCTACCAGATGAAAGACTAAAGAGAGGCAAAGAGACCTAATCAGACTCTCTCCCTCACATTACCCTACTGGCCACCACTGGATTTTTCTCATCATTATCACTTAAATGAAACCAAGTCAGGATGCTTTATGTTTTGCTAAGGAACAAGACAGGTTCTAAACTGAGCTTGTCCAACCCACAGCCCATGGGCCACATGTGGCCCAGGACAACTTTGAATGCCACCCAACCCAAAATAGTAAAGTTTCTTAAAACATCATGAGATTTTTTTGCAATTTTGTTTAGCTCATCAGCTATCATTAGTGTTAGTGTATTGTATGTATGGCCCAAGACAATTCTTCTTCCAACGTGGCCAAGGGAGGCCAACAGATTGGACACCTGCATTCTAAACTATTTGAAGAGGGGATGTGCTACTGGTTTTGAAGGGTCCTGCTGCGTCTCCCCCAGGCTGCTCGGAAGGACCGGCTGAACGGGTTATCTCCTCCAAGCCGCGCTGACCAGAAGCAAGGGCTCCAGGAGACGACAGAAGGGATTCAGTCCCACAGGCTATTACAGAATTGGGTGACACCATCCATAAGTCACTTTCTGATCATCAGAAACTAAAAAGGATAGAAAAGTTGTGTTTGCTAACATCAGCTGAGATGTTGGTCATGGAAGAATTTAGGGTATTAGTGAATGTGATGAGGGTGAGGGATTATGGTTATGTCAAACATGGCCCAAAGAGCAGGACTCAAAGAACAAGAAGCCGAAAGATCAAGAAGCACATTTGTCTATATCCTGAAATGCAAGAGGAAAGACATACTTAAGCTTATTCAAGATTTAGCCATGAAAAATAAGAGATGAAATGTATTTACTGCAGTTAGGAAGGCAGAGCCATTACCACCAGGGCATCAGCTTTGTTGTGCTAAGTTGTCTGTTTCTCAGATAAGTCATCTTAAATTAAATATTAAAGATTAATAAATATAATACCCATAATAAATGACACACACTAATTTAATTAAAAATAGATGGTGAATTTTACAAATGGGACATTACCATAATGATATAGAATGGACTTGTTATGCTAAAAATGTGCAGTCTTGAAAATGTGCAATCTCCATACACATTTCACCCTTATTGTGGCTCATTAAAATTTTAAAAATAGCTATTTTAATTGTCAAGCATTTGACAGACTGCTATAAAAACTTGACACTTAAGTTTCAATTTTACAATATGCATTTTAATGACCCCTTTCTCTGTATGTTTTGTTATCCATAATCCAGGTTTTTTTTAAATTAAAATGTCATTTTCCAATAGTATTTTAGAGAACAGAGTTGAGCTTGCTGCAGGGCTGCAGGAAAACATGTTTAAATCTTTACAAATAAATATGAAAATTAGAAAGATATTTTATTTCCACTGCAGTCCGTGGTTTAGTTGTTGATTTCAAAGCCTTCAGGGGTATCAGGAAAGGAAAGGAAGATACTCGTGGGAGCTAAAGCTAAACTGAGGGGGGAGAGGGGCTGTCAGAGAATTTTAGCACTAGCTTTTTGAAAGGATTTCCCATTTCCTCCACTTGGGATGTAAGACAAGGTGACAGACGTGCCTCAAAGTAGCCACTGCATACGATTCTTCTATTAGAAAAAAGGACACTTAACAAGCGCGACCCTGAATGGCGCTATGGAAAAGCCTAATGCCGTCCAGAGAAGCTGTGTGAGTCCTTGAGGGATGGAAACCTCCTTGGCCTGGGGGGAAAACCACATCCGTCAGGACTCTCCAAATGCCCAATCAGTTAAGGAATTTGAGCTTCCTAAGATCTCACCTGATAATATCCTGGCACACAGTCAGTTGCCAGTCCAAGAGTGGCTTTGAATTAGGAAAAAAATAGTATTTAGATAAGTAAAGGAGAAAAATATTGCATTGATGCAGTCCCAATGGTGATTTAATTCACATCTACTGGATACCAGGCCAAGTACCAGGTGCTTTAGCTTCCTATCTTCACAGCAACCAAAAACAGTGGGTCTTCACATTCCATCTTTATAAATGGCAATGTCGAGGCTCGTAGAGATGGAGTAACTCATCCTCTGGTGTGCAACTGATAAGTGCAAGTCATAAGCAACAGAATCCGAATGCAACTCAGACCCTCTGACAGCAAGAGTCCTGGAAGCCCCCACCACAAAGATGATCTACAGGTCTCGTTGACACCATTGGCTGATGCTTGAAAACTCAAGTGAGCAGTTTCCAAGTGTCAAGTCTATGAACTCATTCCTCAAGGTTTTCAACCACTGTACCTAGTTAAGGTTGACAGGGAACTTCCTTTTTCCATCCATTCTTTTTCCATCACCACTGCCCCCACCACACCATTTGCCAAGCAAAACAATAATTCTCTGCTCAAAGTACAAGCACTGGCCAGGTTTGGTGGCTCAAGCCTGTAATCTCAGCACTTTGGGAGGCCTAGGCAGGGGGATCACTTGAGGTTCAGGAGTTTGAGATCAGCCTGGCTAATATGGCGAAACCTCATCTCTACTAAAAATGCAAAAATTAACCAGATGTGGTGGTATGCACCTGTAATCCCAGCTACTCAGGACGCTGAGGTGGGAGGATTGCTTGAATCCAGGAGGCGGAGGTTGCAGTGACCCAAGATGTTGCCAATGCATACCACCCTGGGCAATAGCGTGAGACTTCATCTCAAAAAAAAAAAAGTACCAGCACCGAAGCCCTGGGCTTCTTTTTGTATTTGGCATGAACTTGATGCTGAGAGTAGAGTCCTATCTCTGGATCCATTGCTTTGATTCTCTGGTCATAAGCTGGTTTCCATGCTTCCTGCTCTTGTATTCACAGCGACCAAAGGGTCTTCTTGTAGAGAAAGCATCATCCTAGGCTTATGGAGGATGGAATCATGTGCAGATGACAGTGGGTCCTTGTTAAGAACTCAAGTTAGCTCTCGGGAGCTTCTTACAAGCCACTCTTTGCAGAGCCTTATCTGAACCATGAGCAGATCAGGCTGCCCAGTGCTGTCCTAGAGACACTGGAGAGCACAGTACAGCAGCTGCTTCTAGAGTTCTTGTGTTGAGGGGGCTTCATTCTATGCCAAAACAGGCACAACAGAAGGCTCCAAACAGCAACTTGCTGGGCTCCTAGCAAAGAGTGCAAAGCAGACATTCTCCCCTGAAAGACCAGCCTTGCTGCTTTTCTTGCTGTGGCTATGAGAATGTAGCCTTCTGCAGAAAGCATAGTAAACTTGCAACTGAACCAACACTGCTCCTCAGGCGGGTGGTGCTGAGTGGTACCACTCCACCACACAGGTAATAAGGGCCCTTCCAACCATACATGGTGCCCTGGAGCCATGCAGAGCCCAGGAACTGGTCAGTGCACTGAGGATATCACACTTCCATGCTGATCCAGCCTTCCAGGGTCATGCAACCCGGGGATCATGGGAAGAAACCAGACATTATGAGAATCTCACTTTAAATGCTCAGGAATTAAGTCAAGGACCACCATGGGTTTCGCATCACCCAGTGGGTCACGATGTTTATCCATGCACCTGCTGTCCCTCTGCTGGAATGTTTCCTCCTCTCTCAGCTCTCTCTAGAGGTATCCCTACCCAAAGGGACCTTTCCTGACAGCCAGACCTGCCAACGTTCCCTCTGACATTCGCATGTGTAGGCCCCACTAGCTGCATAGCACTCTCTGTGCTTGGTTACAGATACCTAAACCGATAGATATACATATATTATTTCAAGTGCATTGTAATATGTTACAATATGTTATACCATAAACAACGTATTTCTGAAATATATGTGTATGCATGTGTGTGTGTGTACATGTATATGTATGTATATATATATATATATATATTTGGAAATCAGATCTTTAGAGAGGCAATCAAGTTTAGATGAAGTCATTAGAGTGGGCCCTAATCCAATAGGACTGATGTCCTTATACAAAGGGGAAACTTAGGCACAGACCTCCGTGCCAGTGACCCTGAAGACAGCTATCTACGAGCCAAGGAGAGAGGCCCAGAACAGACCCTCCCCCACACCCCACAGGGGGAACCAATCCTGCCAACACCTTGACTTTTGACTTCTGGCCTCTGGAACTATGAGACTATAAATGTCTCTTGGTTAAATCACAAAGTCTCTGGTACTTTGTCATAGCAGCCCCAGCAAACACATCCTGCTAGACACTCAGTCCTGCAAGGGCGGGAGACATTTCTTTTTGGTCATCACTGAATCTCAACACGTGGAATAGTGCTCGGCACATAAAAGATGAACTCAATTGTTGAACAAGTGAGTGAATTCCCAGAAAGCTGAAGCCTGAGGCAGGTATCCTAGTCAGAAAGGGACAGGGCAAGGTGGCCCAGGAAGCTGTTGTGTGCTCAGCAGGTCTCTTTGTTCCCAGAAATGCACTGGAAGAGTCAACTCAGCTGTCCTGGATCCTGCCCCTGCTCTTTCCCTGCAGTCCTATGCACAGGCTGAAGCTCTTACTACAGAGGCTGTGGTCAGGCGCTCCTCTGGTTTGGCTGGACACTGTGTTGTGGGCCTGTGGTGCAGCTGTCCCCCAGAGGATCAGGCACTGAAGCAGCACTTACACTTGACAACAGCAGTAGCATGGCCAGTGCAATTATTTTGTACTTACTACATACCAGGGACCTGCGTAAAGTACTTCACATGTATCCTTCCATTTACAATTTAACAATAAGCCCTGAGAGAGAGAGTCTACTGCCATTGCCTTTTTATAGGTAAGGAAATTGAAGCTTGCAGAGCTTCACTCCCTCATCTGATTCCCTCACTCATCTGATAGAGGATGAAGCAGACTTCAGCCTTAGGAGGTCGGATCTGAAGGCCAGAGCTGGGCATGGAAGCCCAGTGAGTCCGTGCTCCAGGTGCTAAAGCTGACCTTGCCCAAGCTGAGAGCCACACACATAGCCAAAAATCACCACTCCCAGCAGGCCGCTCCAAGAAAGCACATGTATTACAGTCAATTTTCTCTTGCCCCTGTTTATTCTCATTGTTTCTGGGAGATGACTTTGTGATTACATTGGTTTGTGATGGTAAATGTAAAACTTTCTCACCAGCTCTCCTTAGCTGGAGCTTGGATCAGCCAAAACCAGGGTTAGTGGATGATGGAGGTGTGTTTACAGACTCTGAGACTCAGAGCTCGCCTTTGAAGTGCCTTCTCAGCTGCAAGGCATTCTCAAGTCTCCTCCCATCGTAACTCAACAGCAACAGCAGCAACAGGTTCAACTCTTTCTCTAAGTGAACAAGAAAGTGCCGGCCATGTGCACAATTTCTACAGTGTTGGAGACAAGTATCGATTATTCTGATGACCTGGGGAGGAGACATCAACTTAAAAGAGTCATTTGACTTGTTGGGCCACACATCATTGCCATACTCTGGAAATCATTGTATGTGCTTTAACTCACTCGATATCAACACTTTTAATTATGAAATTTTAGTACTTTAAGCATACAACATTGTTAAATATGATATTTTGTCTTCCTGGTCCTGATGGATCACAAAATACAATAGATACACAGATCACAGATACAATAGAAAACCCCCAACAAACACACCCCTCCCCGCCATTTCCATTCTCCCCACTTGCTCTCCAGAGACAGCTATCACAAGCCTGGGGAGAACATTCATTGTTTTTCTCCTTTCCTGCATGTGCACAGATTCTTAAAACAAGTGGCACATTACTTGCATATTTTTAAACTTGAGATACATGCCAATATAGAGCATGTATCCTGATGCAAACTGTATGTTTTATTCAAAATATTTTTTCATACTTTTAGCTATGTCTATGTTGATATATGTCATATGTACCTTTTATAAAATGTGCTTTAACAGTTTTTTTTTCCATTTTTTTAATTATTATTTCCAAATGTGTACTTGTAGAGGCCCTGTGAATGGCTTCTCTGGATTCCTCCATAGAAGCGGGTCCACTGGACCATAGCCTATGCATCCTCAACGCTGCTACCTATTTGCCAAATTTTTCTTCCATGTGGTTGTAATAGTTTCCACAACACCAAACAATCTATGAAAGTTTCTTTACTCCATTCCTCACCAACACTTAGTATTCTGAGGCATTTAAAGTGTTTAAATGTTTAAGTGTTGTGTTTAAATGTTTAAGTGTTGACAGTCTGGTGGATGGGAGTGGTATCTCATTGTCTTTATTTCTAACTCCCTGATTTCTAGTCAAACATTTTTCACAGCTATATTTATGACTTACGTTTCCTTTCCTAGAAATGATCTTCTCAGGCGGCTGACCCACTTTACTACTGGATTGTTCATATTTTGCTCACTGATTCGTAAGTGTTCCTCTAAAATTCTGGTACAATCTATTGCAAGCATTCTCTCCTAGTCTTGGGCTTCACTTTTATGTTTTGTATTGTGCAACACCCACTTCCTCCCCCACCAAATGCATTGAAATGTATTCATGGTTTTCTTCACAGCTTGTAGTTTTCATTTAAGAAGCCTTTCCCTATTCCAAAACCATTAAGGATATGTTCCAATATTTTCTTCCAAAACTTACAAAATTTTGCATTTTATATGTTTGATTTTTACCCATATTTGCCGCGTGTATGTGCTTTTCACAAAAAGAAATTTACCTGGGATTTACTTTGTATGTAGGCTAAGGCAGAGAGCTAATTTCCTTTTCATCTTCCTTGGGAATGACCAATTGTCACAGCTCCATTTTTTTAACCATCCAGTCTCTTCCCACTAATGCACAGGGCCCTCCTTTAACGTGTGCAGTCCCCAGCTCTCCCTGGGCCCTCTGCACTGACCAAAAGCCCCCTGCCTCCATCTTCATTATCAGGCTTTATCCACAGTCTCAAAAGTTGGAGAGGAACTTGTCCTGCATTGTCTTCTCCAGAATCATCTCACCACCATTTCTCTTTAAAAATATTAGGATCAGCCAGGTATGGTAGCTCACACCTGTAATCCCAGCACTTTGGGAGGCCGAGGCGAGCAGATCATGAGGTCAGGAGATCAAGACCATCCTGGCTAACACGGTGAAACCCCGTCTCTACTAAAAATACAAAAAATTAGCCCAGGGTGGTGGCGGGTGCCTGTAGTCCCAGCTACTCGGGAGGCTGAGGCAGGAGAATGGCATGAACCCGGGAGGCAGAGCTTGCAGTGAGCCGAGATAGTGCCACTGCACTCCAGCCTGGGCGACAGAGCGAGACTCCATCTCAAAAAAAAAAAAAAAAAAATAGGATCAGCCAGGTGTGGTGGCTCATGCTTGTCATCCCAGCACTTTGGGAGACTGAGGCAGGAAACTAACTTGAGCCCAGGAGTTCCAGACCAGCCTGTGCAATATAGTAAGATGCTTTCTTGACAAAAAATTGAAAATATACATTAGCCAGGTGGTGGGCATGCCAGTAGTTCCAGCTACTCAGGAGGCTGAATCAGGAGGATCACTTGAGCCAAGGAGTTCAAGGCTGCAGTGAGTCACAATCATACCACTGCACTCCAGCCTTGGGGGACAGAACAAAACCCCATGTCTTTCAAAAAAAAAAGAGAGAAACATTTGAAATTTAAGTATATGGTGGGTAATAATGTAAATCTTAATAATCTTCAGTTTATTAAATTCATAGAAACTCTTCTGTGGCTGGAGAAAACCCCAAGGGTTGGCAGGTTAAGCAGTATACTTTTAAATCGGCATCATGTCAATGAAAAAAATCACAGTGGAAATCAGAAAATATTTCAAGCTAAATAGATCATTTAAAATCTACATATTAAAATGCATGGGATGCATCTAAGGTTATGACTACAGGAAAATTCATAGCTTTAACTTAATGCGTTAGAAAAAAAGTGAGCCTACATATTAACCATCTGAGTTTTTAACTAAAAAGTTTTTTGAAGACCCACAAGTTAAACTCATAGAAAATATAAGGAAGTAAATAATAAAGGTAAGGGCAGAAATTAAAGAAATAGGTCTGAGATTGTGCCACTGCACTCCAGCCTGGGTGACAGAGTGAGACAAAAAGAAAGAAGGAGGGAAGGAAGGAAGGAAGGAAGGAAGGAAGGAAGGAAGGAAGGAAAGAAGGAAGGAAGGAAGATTTAATAGAGAGGATAAACAAAGCCAAAAATTGGTTCTTTGAAAAATTTTATAAGATGCATTACTCACTGGCAAGACTAATCTAGGCAAAAAGAGAAGGTACAAAATACCATTATTAGAAATAAAGTTTGGGCTTGGCATGGTGGCTCACACCTGTAATCCCAGCACTTTGGGATGCTGAGGCAGGCGGATCACCTGAGGCCAGGAGTTTGAGATCAGCCTGGCCAACCTGGTGAAACCCTATCTCTACTAAAAATACAAAAATTAGCTGGGCATGGTCGTGGGCAACTGTAGCTAGCTGGGAGGCTGAGGCAGGAGAATTGTTTGAACCCGGGAGGTGGAGGTTGCAGTAAGTCAAGATTGCACCACTGCATCTCCAGCCTGCATGACAGAGACTCTGTCTCCAAAATAAATAAATAAATAAATAAATAAATAAATAAACTTTGATCTTTACCTTACACATATACAAAAATTACCTCAAAATGGAACATAGGCTTAAATGTAAAACATAAAGCTGGAAAACTTCTATAAGATCATATGGGAAAAAAAATCTTCCTAACTGTGGGTTAGGGGAAAGATTCCACAGATACACATTTCAATCGCAGCACTTTGGGAGGCCGAGGTGGGCAGATCACTTGAGGTCAGGAGTTTGAGACCAGCCTGGCCAACATGGTGAAACCCCGTCTCTACTAAAAATATAAAAATTAGCCAGGTGTGGTGGTGGTGCCAAGAAGCCCCGCAGCTTCTTGGGGGGCTGAGGCAGGGGAATTGCTTGAACCCAGTAGGCGGAGGTTGCAGTGAGCTGAGATCATGCCACTGCACTCCAGCCTGGGCGACAGAGTGAAACTCTGTCTCAAAAAATAAAATAAAATAAAGCCACAAAAAAATCTGACTGGATGATTTCACAGGCAAATTACACCAAACATTTAACATTAGTACACCAAGTCCAATAACAAAAAAAAAATGATAACTTGAGTTTATCACATAAATTTAAAAGTGCTTTGTTTTGTATTCTTTTAGTTTATATCATTAATTTGAAATAGTGACTTTGTTTTTAGTTATTTAATTATGGATGAGGCTGGGTGCAGTGGCTCGCGCCTATAATCCCAGCACTTTGGGAGGCCGAGGGGTTGGATCACCTGAGGTCAGGAGTTCAAGACCAGCCTGGCCAACATGGTGAAACCCCATCTCTACTAAAAATACAAAAATTAGCTGGGTGTAGTGGCACATGCCTGTAATCCCAGCTACTTGGGAGGCTGAGGCAGGAGAATCGCTTGAACCTGTGAGGCAGAGGTTGCAGTGAGCCGAGATCATGCCACTGACTCCAGCCTGGGCGGCAGAGTGAGGCTCTGTCAAAAAAAAAAAAAATATGGATGAACGTTCACATCTAATTTTGTTGCAGCTGGTTTAGTGATGGTCTTTTTAAATATCATTTTAATTGATTTTTTTGCAGTACAGTTTACACATAACACATACCCATTTTAAGTTATACAGTATGATGCTCTTTTGGCAAACATATACACCTAAAGAAACATCTCCACAATCAAAATCTAGACATAATAAAACATTTCCATCATCCCCTGAATTTACTTCTTGACCCGTGTAGTCTATTCCCCATCTACCAAACCCCAGCCCCAGGTATCCATTAATCTGCTTTTTGCCGCTGTAAATTAGATTTGTCTTTTCAATGCTTTCGTATACAGGCAGCATTTGCTTAACATGGTACTGATATGTGTGAATTTCAGTTACTATGGCTTAGTTAACACCAGTTCCCCAACAACATGCTTCAAACTCTGAGTCAATACCTAAAGTACAAATTTTGCTATTTTTTCAGCCCACACATCCCTATGAAAATAGCAAACACATGTCAGTCACCTCAGTTATCTCGAAGTTGGCTAGTGACTGGTCACTGTGCATCTGTTATTCATCTCATGCACAGACAGCAAAACGTGTAGTTGTATTGTCTCCCTCTCTCCCAGTGATCAACCTATGTGACATTTTACAAACAGGAATAATCAAAAGGGGAATGTGGCCAAATGCAGGTGAAAGTGCAGCAAAGAAATAAAAAGTGATCAAGCTGGAAGTAAGGTTTGAAGCAAATGTAAATTGAGTAACAGAAGAAATATATGACTATGGGAATGTTGGCAGTCTAAGAAACTACATATGCAGCCAGAAGAATTTAGTGAAGGTGAGCTTATTTACATAAATGAAGATAATGTTTATGATGAAAAGGATGAAGGTGTCCCAGAGGAAATAATCCTGGCAAAATCATCACATTAAAGAGAGTTTGGGCAGGGCACGGTGGCTCACACCTGTAATCCCGGCACTTTGGGAGGCCGAGGCAGGTGGATCACCTGAGGTCAGGAGTTCAAGACCAGCCTGGCCAACATGGTGAAAAGCCGTCTCTACTAAAAACACAAAAATTAGCTGGGTTTGGTGGCATGCACCTTTAATCCCAGCTACCTGGGAGGCTGAGGCAGGAGAATTGCCTGAACCCAGGAGGTGGAGGTTGCAGTGAACCAAGGTCACGCCACTTCACTCCAGCCTGATGACAGAGCAAGACTTGCCTCAAAAAAACAAAAAACAAAAAAAAAGAGTTTGGGAGAGATTTTATGACACTGAAAGCACAATGGATAAAATGTTAGACTGATCCAAACTTAGAGGTAGGGCAATTCATTCAGGCTTTGAAAAGATGCTCACTCATATTTTAAATTATAGCATGAGAAGAAAAATGCAAGCACTGTTGAAAAGGTGTTTTGAAACAAAGAAATAAAACACTTTAATTCTCAGTGTTTGTAATGGTTTACATTACCATGCACTAAATAAATACTAGTTTTTATAGTTTTTATTTTCTTATTTATAACCAACAGTGAGATAATTATTAATGTTTTGACAAAAATTGTTAAAGATCACAGAACAAGTATAACTCTTCCCATGGATTATTGACGCCACTTTGCATAGTTTCAGCTTGCGCTATCACTTTTTAGTCCTGCACTGTTGGGCAAAGTGCAAACTGTCTGTAAATATCATATGGTATGTATTCTTTTATGGCAGACTTTTTTGGCTCAGTGTAATTATTTTAAGATTCATGTTGCTTCATGTATTGGTTGTTCTTTTATGTCTTTTTTCTTTTCTAAACCATTATCTTGTAAGTAAAAATAAATAAAAAATAATAATAAATAATAATAAAATAATAAAAAAATAATAAAAATAAGTAAAAAATAAATAAAAGTAAATCTTTTACATTTACACATGTATTTTCCTTTCCGACTTTCATCACTTTTGTACATCCATATTTATATCTGGTTTAGTTCTTCAGCCTGTGGAATTTCCTTCCTCATTTCTTTCAGTGCAGGACTGTTAGTGCTTCTCCTAGATTCCACTGGCCTGTGAAATGTCTTTATTTTATCTTCATTTTTGAAAGACGTATTTTTGCTGTTTATGTATCTCTAGGTTTACATTTCTAAAGATTTTAGTTTATCGTCTTCTGGCTTACATGTGAGACAACTGAGGTTATGATTACCTTGTTCCTTTGTACATAATGTGCTTTTTTAAAATAACAAGGCATATTTACATATTTCTTTATATATCACTGGTGTTAATCAATAATTACAATGCCCTTAGTATTTTTTAATGTTGATTCTGCTCTGGGTTTATTGAGCTTCTTAAACCTATGAATTTATACTCTGTAAAATTTGAAAGTTTTAGTATTTTTCTGTCTCCCTTTGTTTTAACCTTCGCGATCACCTATTCTAAGCATGTTAGACCACTTGGTATCATATCACATATCACTGTACCTCTATTTACTTTTCTCCAAGTCATTTTTTACCTCTGTGCTAATATTGCAGTTTTTTATTGCTATGTATTCAAGGTTCATCTGCTGCCAATCCCATTCAGTATATTTTTAAATTCAGATACTGTAGTTTTCATCTCTAAAAGTGGCATTAGTATTTCTTTTCTTTCCTAATTTTGTGTATATTGAATATTTTTATAACAGGTTTTGTAAAATTTTTGTCTGCTTATTAGGTCTATTCTTATATTCTGATTTCTCTCACATTTTCTGTCTCTTCACGTATCTCATAATTTTTAACTTGAAGATGGACACTGTAAATTTCATGTTGTTGTATGTTGAATTTTATTGTCTTCTTTCAAAGACTATTGGGCATTTTTCTTGCAAGAAGTTAGGTTACTTAAGGATCCATTTGATTATTATAAGATTTGTTTTTAAACTTTATTAGAGTGGTTGTAGAGTCTGTTCTAGTTTATCTCTGCTGCCAAGTGTGGCCCTTCTGGGGTCTTCTTTGAGTACTCCGAACGTTCAGTGAGGACTCTCTCATGTGGATCCTTGGAACACTACAGTCACCCAGATATGTGTGAGTTCTGGACATAGCTCAGCTCATCGTTCCTCAGTCAATCTTTGTTGACATTATAGAATCTATCTGTCTATCTATCTATTTATCTATCTTTCTATCATCTATTTATCTGTTTATTATCTATCTATCTATCAATTTATCTATTTCTAACTGTCTTATAATTGAGCACCAAATGCAAGGGACTCCATGTCTATTTCTGGAGGATTGCAATGCCTGCTTTTTTTTTTTTTTTTTTTTTTTTGCTTTCCATATGCTTGGTACATTTTCTTCCAGCCCTTTACTTTGAGCCTATGTGTGTCTTTGCACGTGAGATGGGTCTCCTGAATACAACACACCAATATGTCTTGACTCTTTATCCAATTTGCCAGTCTGTGTCTTTTAATTGGGGCATGTAGCTCATTTACATTTAAGGTTAGTATTGTTATGTGTGAATTTGATACTGTCATCATGATGCTATCTGGTTATTTTGCACACTAGTTAATGCAGTTTCTTCATAGTGTCATTGGTCTTTATATTTTGGTGTGTTTTTGCAGTGGCTGGTACCGGTTGTTCCTTTCCATGTTTAGTGTTTCCTTCAGGAGCTCTTATAAGGCTGGCCCGGTGGTGACAAAGTACCTCAGCATTTGCTTGTCTGGAAAGGATTTTATTTCTCCTTCACTTATGAATCTTAGTTTGGCTGGATATGAAATTCTGAGTTGAAAATTCTTTTCTTTAAGAATGTTGAATATTGGCCCCCACTCTCTTCTGCCTTGTAGGGTTTCTGCTAAGAGGTCCACAGTTAGTCTGATGGGGTTCCCTTTGTAGGTGACCTGGCCTTTCTCTCTGGCTGCCCTTAACATTTTTCCCTTCATTTCAACCTTGGAGAATCTGATGATTATGTGTCTTGGGGTTGATCTTCTCGTAAAGTATCTTAGTGGTGTTCTCTGTATTTCCTGAATTTGAATGTTGGCCTGTCTTGCTAGGTTGGGGAAGTTCTCCTGGGTAGTAACCTGAAGCACATTTTCCACCTTGGTTCTATTCTGCCCGTCACTTTCGGGTACTCCAATCAGTCATAGGTTCGGTCTTTTTACATAGTCCCATATTTCTCAGAGGTTTCATTCATTCCTTTTCATTCTTTTTTCTCTAATCTTGTCTGCATGCCTTATTTCAGCAAGAAGGTCTTCAAACTCTGATATCCTTTCTTCTGCTTCATCTATTTGGCTATCAATACTTGTGTATGCATCACGAAGTTCTTGTGCTATGTTTTTCAGCTCCATCAGGTCTCTTATGTTCCTCTCTAAACTGATTATTCTTGTTAGCAGCTCCTCTAACCTTTTTTCAAGGTTCTTAGCTTCTTTGCATTGGGTTAGGACATGCTCTTTTAGCTCAGTGAAGTTTGTTATTATCCACCTTCTGAAGCCTACTTCTGTCAATTCTGTCCATGTCATACCCCATCCAGTTCTGCACTCTTGCTGGAGAGGCACTGCAATCATTTGGAGGAGAAGAGGCACTCTGGCCCTTTGGGTTTTCAGCATTTTTTTTGCTGATTCTTTCTTATCTTCTTGAGTTTGTCTAGTATCAATCTTTGAGCCGGCTGACTCTCAGATGGGGTTTTTGTGGGGACTTTTTTTTGTTGATACTGTTGTTGTTGCTTTCTGTTTGTTTGTTGTCTTGCAATGGTCAGGTCCCTCTTCTGTAGGGCTGCTGCAGTTTGCTGGGGGTTCACTTCAGGCCCTATTCATTGGGTTCACTCTCACACCTGGAGATGTCACTTGAGGAGGCTGGAGAACAGCAAAGAAGGGTGCCTGCTCCTTCCTCTGGGATCTCTGACCTCAAGGAGTGCCAGCCTGATGCCAGTAGGAACGCTCCCATATAGGGCGTCTGATAACCCCTGTTGGAGGGTCTCCCCCAATTGGGTGGCATGGGGAACAGGACCCATTTAATGAAGCACTTTGACTGTCCCATGGTGGAGGGGTTGTGCTTTGCTGGGGGGAAACCCACTCATCTGGACTTCCCGGATTCCTCAGAACTAGCAGGAGGAAAGACTAAGTCTGCTGGTCTATAGAGTCTGCGGCCACCCCTCCCCCTAGAGGCTGAGGCCCAGGGAGATCAAAGTCCTCTCCCTGAGCCCCTGGCTGGAGTTGTCGGAGTTCCTACATGGAGGCCCCACCCAGTAACGAAGGGTGGGTCAAGGTCAAGCCTGAAGAGGCACTCTGTCTGCAGTCTGCCACAGCCAGTGTGTTGGGCTGTGGGGGATACCTATTGGCACTAAGCCTTCCAGCCTCCCTCCCTCCAGCAGAGGAAAACACGGCCTGGAGCTATAGAGATGGCTCCCGCCCTTCCCCCGCCCTGGGAGCTTAGTGTGTTAGGTGGCTATCCGTCCTAGTGTTGGCTGTTGCCTTTCTCCCAAGGAGCTCAAACTGCTTAGACAGCAGGCAGCCGCAGCTGTGGTGCTGGTCACCCCTCCCTCCGGGAGCTCAACAGGCTTAAGCAGATTCTAGCTTAGTGGCTGTTGAGACTCTGCAAGGCTCCGTAGTTAGGACCCTAGGCTCTGGTGATGTGGGCTCACGAGTGGGATCTTCCAATCTGTGGGTTGCACAGTTCCGTAGAAAAAGCATGTTTTTCCAGGTAGGTAGCATGCTCACTCACTGCCTCCCTTAGCTGGGGGGTGGGGGCTCCCCTGCTTCATGTGGCTGTCAGGTGGGCTGCTGCACCACGCCACTCTTTCTTCCTCTCCGTGGGTCATGCCAGCCACCTAGTCAGTTCTGATGACAGAACTTGGATACCTTGGTTGCTGGTGCAGGATTGGCACGCTGTTATGGTTCTTTTCGATGGGGGCCTCCCATCACCGCTGCTTCTAGTCAGCCATCCTGGCCTCGCACCCTCAACAGATTCATTCTTAATTAAAAAGGGGGCAAAATGCCTTTACAGGGGAGGGATGTGGTGAACACCATTGTAAGCAACTAAGTGACCAAACTTAGTATCACCAATCATGGGACAACCTGACAGTTTGTGTCTTTTGCTACAAAGCAGTAGCCTGAGCCCAACCTCACCTACAGTATAGTAGGAAGTATTCTTGTCAACAAAGCATAGTCAAATGACAAGGAAACAATCAAATTATGGGACATTCTGCAACAGAACTGGCCTGGATCCTAGATGCCTGGAAATATTAGTGCCATGAATAATAAAAGAAAAAAAGTCATGAGAATGTTGCAGTTTAAAATGGGTTGATTGATATGTCAACCAAAACCCAATGAATAATCATTTATTGGATACAAGATGGAGGAAAACAGCTATTGAAGACATATTTTGAACAACAGAGAACTTTAATCCGATTCAATGTCTTGTTTATAATGACAATACTGTGGTTATGCAGAAGAGTGGTTTCTTTCCTTTCATTGGAAATGTAAATCATGTGGGGGTGAGGTGTCACGACTTCTGCAACTTACTCTCTAATTGTTCATAAAACATAAAAGTGATAAGATATTAATAATTTATAAATTTTGGTGGAGACTATGTGAAGACTCATTGTACCAATCTTTCAACTTTTCTGTAGTTTAGAAAAACTCAAGGTGAAAAAGCTTAGAGAAAATGAGACAAAACTGGCAGACAAAGAAAAATGAACCTTGATAAAGAAAACAATAAAATTTATTAGAAGACATAAAAATAGCACAAAATATACCATGCTCCTAGTAAAATTCTAGTATAATGTTCTGTGGAATCTGATAAACTGATTCTAATGTTTTGTTTGGCTTGGTTTTGTTTTGAGACACGGTCTTGCCTCTGTCACTCAGGCTAGAGTACAGTGGCGCAATCATGGCTCACTGCAGCATGGAACCAGAGACAGAGGGGTTATGTTGGCTGTTTCTCTGCCTTATGGCTTGCGCATGTCTTCTCTGCCTGGAATGCACTTCCCTGACTACATACACGTAGACACACACACACACACGCACACGTGCACCACTCTACACGTACCTACACGCAGACATAGACGCACATGTGCACACACACCATGCACACACACACGTGTGCACACAAGACACATACTTACACCATAAGCACACACACCACACACATGCACACACACTACATGTGCACACACACACTACACATACCTACAGACACGTGCACATGCATGTGCACACACACCACACATGTGAACATAAACTACACATACCTACACTGCATGTACACACACACCACACACACATGCACATGCCCCTGATACACACAGGCACACACTACAGATATCTATACCACATGCACACACACGTGCACACACACCCCACACACACGCTACACATACCTACATCGTGCACACACACTACACATACCTACACCACATGCACACACACACACCACACACCCCACACACATGCACACGCAGCACACATACCAACACCGCACGCACACACACACACACCACACACACAACCTTGCTGCCCATGGCTGGCTCCCTCTGGTCACACAAGATTCACCTCAGTTGTCACATCTTACATGACGCCCTCTCCACCCACCAGTCTAAAGTCAGTCCCCGCACTTTTATTCTCTCTCCCTCAGTGCCCTGATTTGTCTCCTTCAAGGTACTTATCAAAACTTACATTCATTTCTTTTTGTAACTGTCAGTCTCTCTCCACCTCAGTGCAGTATACGTGCTGTTGGGACAGGGACTACCTGTCTGACCTGCTGCCTGTCCCCAGTGCCTGAGTCCGTGTCCATGCCCAGCAGGCTCCGCTTGGGCGTCTGTTGGGTGTAGCAGAGACTTGTCACTTCCCCGGTGTCCCACTGCCCTCCTCCTTTTAGTAACTGCCACCTTCCCCCTGCATTGTCACCAGGGGCGTGGCCACCCAGCGGTGGGTTAACTTCGCTCCTCGGCTTGCACCGAGGAAGGGTGACGTGACTGTGGACAAGTAAACAGAACCCCTATGGGCAGCTTCCTGGTGGATTTCAGTGATAACATTGCTTCCCCACCTTGTTCTTTGCTTCCTCTCCAAGGCCCACATGGGCCAGGTTACACCCTCAGTCAGGAGCAACACCTTGGGAGCAAGTCACAAGACGGAGACTTCCAGTCTCTGCACAGCTCAGGAGTGGCCCTGTCTGCCCACTTTGGGCCACCGAACAATGCTGGACTGTTGTCTGAAAAAATAACACCCTCCCACCTGTCTGAGCCCTTTGAACATAGGCCTCCTAGTCATAGCCTACCCGATTCCACATTTAGTGATGAATAAAGCAAGACAGAGCTTTCTTGCTCTCCCTTTGGCTGTAGAGTAGTTATTGCCAAGTAGAAATCATGGCGCCTCTGATGGTATATTTGGCAATGACTGCAGACAGTTTTGGTTGTCACAACTTGAGGTTGAGTGGTGCCCCTGGCATATCATGTGTAGAGGCCAGGGATGTGGTGAAACTATAACACACAGGACAGCTCGCCACAGGGAAGGACTCTCCAGCCCAACTGTCAATAACGCCGAGGCTGAGAAATCCTGCTGGAGAGAAATGGCCATCGCAGACCTGTTTCTGGAGATGCAGGTTTTACTCGGGTACTGACAGTGATCTGTGATTCACAGATCAGTCAAGGTCATTTCTTCCAATAGCCTCCTTGAAGGAGGTTAGTCTTTTCTTTCCAAATCCCCAAACTGAGTTCCAGGACACAGCACAGAGTAGGTGCATAATGAATGCTCAATTCTCATACCTTTACATATGGGGGGCCCAGCCATGATCATTCTTCCCTGCCCATCTGCACCTCGCCAACTCCCGGCCTCCCTTGGGTAGCCTGCCCACATCTGGCTCTCAGCCCTATTCTGAGTTAGGTGCCAGACCACTGTGCTTGCAAAGCTTCCTGTAAGATCTGTCATTGCAGCCCTTGTCCTGTAGTTTTCAAATTGTGTGTGTGTGTCCTCAGTGAGCTCAGGACCAAGACCTAGTTCATTATTCTGTCACATCAATTCAGATATTAATATGTATGATTTAAAAGGAATATATCAAGAAAGGGATCACAGTTCCAGTTTAGGTCGTGGATATCAATGACTTTATTTCTAGCTCAAGAAAGGGTCCAGCTCCACTGTATCTCTGGCACTGCCAGGAGACGCTGGCTCTTGAGCACCAATTTTCAAGGTAGCCTGCCATGTAAAGGAGACCTGGAGAGATTGGAATTGAGATGCAATTAGGACTCCAGGACTCTGCGTGGCTAGGAGAGCAAGAAGGGACCCAGGAGATGACAGCAGATTGTGACTTGTCTTTATAGAAGAACTTGCTCTATTTATCCTGGGAAGCTGGGGGTATAGAGAGCCCACATTTACCATTCAAGAGTCACTTACTTTGGGGCCTCACTTGAAAACTGGGGAGACATCCAGCAAGCCCTGCAGTTATGAAAACTAACTCACACCCCAAAGGGACAGGTCCGTTCTTTAAACAGACACAGTGCGGCTCTCAGTAGCTCTCTTTTCCTTAAACATTGAGAGTAATTACGTTAAGTCAGGAACATCCAGCTTCCTACCAAATATGCAAGACTAAAACCACCGAGCCAAGTGAGATGCAGAATTGAGAGGATCCAGTGCCTTCCGTGTGGGGTAGCCACTCTACAGGTGTATAACACAATGAAACTGGTTCTTTTGAAGTTTTTAATCACTTTTTTGTAAGCGGGAGTGACGCTGACAAGCAATGCTATCAGAATGCTGGCTCCATCCCTCAGTGGCACAGGGGACCTGCTTTGGCCCAGGCAGGCATTGTTAATTGTTTTAGAACTTGTCTAAAACACCCGACGTCCTGGGAGGGGCTTATTACAAAGATTCCTCTGGAATTGATGATGAGACTGGAATTTCCCATCTTCCACAAATCATTTGTCAGGGAGCGTGTTATCAGAATATGAGCCGGCCCCTTCAAATGTATTTTAAACACTGTTAATGTATTTCCACATGTCACCGGCTGACAGCCCCACCATCCTCTCTTCTGCCACCAGGGAAATTTACATGCATTTGAATTCACTGGGCCGAGCCCAGGCTCCCCACACTGACAACCCATTTAACTCAGTGATAGGTTAATCTGTGTGCTGTTTGGTAGATTTCTGTCTTTAACCCAAAACAGAGTTTGTGAAAATGATTCAGAGATAAATTTGCAGAACAGCAGCGCTGTGACCCCTAGTCTGTACGGAGGCTGCAACACTTGGAATATTCTATCCTATGGGGTCAGCTGGGTCCTGGGGGTCACCTCCCTCTGTGTGTCCTCTAACCTGCACTGCAGGCTCCTGTCACCTCCATTTTTAAAAACAAAATAGTTTTCATGTATTTATTCAATTAGTGGATAGTAAAATGGATCAGCCAATGTGTCAAAATGCAATCAAATTTAAAGAATTAGATTTTCTGCCTATTTATTTTATGCCAATGAGATCCATGTTACCAAATCCCCTGATGTTTTTTGATTGTTGTATCCATTTCCTGGGGCTGCAGTAACAACTTCTCACAATGCAGGGGGCTCCAAGCAGTAGAAGTGTGTTCTCCTGCAGCTCTGGAGACCAGGAGTCCAGGTGTTGGTAAGGTGGGCTCCTCTGAAGCTCTGAAGGAGGAGCCATCCCTGGCTTTGTCCCAGCTTCTGGTGACACTTTGGTACACCTCAGCTGCAGCAGTGAGGTGCCAACTCCGCCTCCATCTTCACAAGGCACTCCTCCCTCTCTCCTTTCCTTTCAATTCTCCCTCCTCCCATTCTTCAACGGTAAACTGACAATTCATGAAAGGGATGTCCACCCGCCCCAAGTTCCGGCTGGAAGTGCTCAGGCAGCTTTGGAGCGGGGCTGCCAGCCAGGAGAGAGTGTGGTCCTCAGGGCAGCGGCATACGGTCAGGACAAAGCCACTGGGGCTGGCTTCAGGCTCCTGCGCAGAGGAGCAAGGGGCTCATGAGCAAGTCTTCTAACTTTCAGCCAACATTCTCATATCAAAAAACACACCACTCAAATCTGACACTCTCACGGTGCCAGGTCTACAGAGACGCAGGGGAAGCCTCTAATGGGAGGGACAGTTGGCGTCGGTGGCCAGGGGAACAGGTGCGCTGAGGAAGTGAGTCTTTAGCTAAAATATAAAGCCTGATTGGGATCCACTAGGAGAGGAGCAAGGCAAGGCTGTTTTGCTGCAGGACACAAAAGCCTGGGATTGGGGAGATTTTTATCACAGCAGGGGAGCCAGGGGAGCTAGAGGCAGCCACCTGGCCAGCGCGCCAGCAGAAAAAATAGACATCACTCTTCAATCAAGGGACATTGGGGACCAACACATGAACACACACCTCACCCAGCAGGGGCCTTGGTTGGCCCGGAAAAGAAGCGTAGTCATCGCTGGATAGAGATGAGGGGCCCCAGAGGACAGTCTCCTTAAGACATCTTCATGCATGCTACAGGCCATTATCCAATGGGGATGATTAGCGATGCCAGAGACAGGGGCACAATTGCAGATGCAAAGTCCCGGGAAGGCAAAAGAAGTTCCCCCCACCCAGGAGGAGGAGCTCCCTCTGATGGGAGCAAGGCTCTTCCTCCTCCAGGACATGAAAGTAGAGACAGATGCAGGTGACGGGCTGAGGTGGTGGTGGGAAGATGCTCGGTCCCCATCTAATGGTTTTGCTCAGTGACATAAGAATAAGGTCCTGGCTGGGAGTTTGGTAGGGGGATGCCAAATGAAGAGTTTGAGAAGATAGAGGGGGAGAAGATGGTGTGGAAGAATCACGTTGGAGAGTGGGAGAGGAAATACACAAAAGCAGGGCAGGTGAGTTGGCTGCATGGTTGATTGTCCTTTGAGGTCCTGATTTCAGGTTGAGGCCAGTCAGTGGGGCTGCAGATTTTTGCCAGCAGGTGTCCAGGCTAGGGCAGGCTGGGAGCTTAGCCTTGCTAGTAGGTGGAGAAAAAGGAGGCAGAGGAATGGTGTGCAGTGGGCCCACTGAAGAGTGTTCATGAGAGGAAGCACTCAAGAAAATGCCTTCGTGAGAGAGGAGACGGAGGGATGAGAATACACACGTGCAACGTCTAACCGTCTCTTCCCTCAGGTATGGGAGACTCGGCCCCCTCGGCCCCACCCCAGACCAACTTCCTCCCAGAGAAGGCTCCAGCCTGGATCTTTCATGCACTCATGGGAAGCTGAGTGTGTCTGTTTCCTCTGACCTGGTGTCACCAGCTTTGTATGTCCATGCTGTGCTCAGTGCCCCTCCCTGGAATGGTCATCCTCTATCCTGCAAGACCTCAAATGCTACTGCCACCGGGAAGCATTCCCTCACATCCTCAGTCAGCATGGCCCCTGCTTTCCAGAGCCCTGGCAGAATGCACTGCAGCCTGGCCCCTGGCCCTTTTCTGAGCTGTGTGTCCAGCATGTTCTTTGGTGAGTTTGCAGCAGCAGGGGCAGAATCCACGTGTAATATGCTCACCACTGTGCTTTTGAGTTAGCATGGTTCTTGATACAGAGTAGACACTCAAGAGATGCATGTCGTATTAATTTTATTCTATCCTGTTCAGTTCCTGATACACCTAGGGAGATGGAAACATACTGTTAGTGATCAAATAGTGAAGGTGGGCAAAGGTTGCTGTGAGTGCATCCAGCCTTCCGGAAGTGTGTGGAACCTCTTTTTTTTATTATTATTATTATACTTTAAGTTTTAGGGTACATGTGCACAATGTGCAGGTTTGTTACATATGTATACATGTGCCATGTTGGTGTGCTGCACCCATTAACTCATCATTTAGCATTAGGTTTTCTCCTAGTGCTATCCCTCCCACCCCACAACAGTCCCCAGTGTGTGATGTTCCCCTTCCTGTGTCCATGTGTTCTCATTGTTCAATTCCCACCTATGATTGAGGACACGAGGTGTTTGGTTTTTTTGTCCTTGCGATAGTTTGCTGAGAATGAGGTTTCCATCTTCATCCATGTCCCTACAAAGGACATGAACTCATCATTTTTTATGGCTGCATAGTATTCCATGGTGTATATGTGCCACATTTTCTTAATCCAGTCTATCATTGTTGGACATTTGGGTTGGTTCCAAGTCTTTGCTATTGTGAATAGTGCCGCAATAAACATACGTGTGCATGTGTCTTTATAGCAGCATGTTTTATAATCCTTTGGGTATACACCCAGGAACCTCATTTGTTAACAAAGTGGCTGAATCTGGACTTATTAAGGGCAGTGGTTATTTACTCGGAAACACCTGCACTGGCAGAGCAGCTGTATGGAACTCACAGGCACCCAGACAGAGATGCCAAAGCCAACTGAGAGAGGATGCTGCCTCCCAACATCCCTGCCCCACCCCTGGCGCCTGCATGTGGATGGAGAACTGGATGAAGCTCTGGTTCCAGCACAAAGGTCGGGGTCCCAAGACACTGGTTCAGCTCCTTCCCATGGGAGCACCGGCCCTGCAGCAACAGGGCTTGTGGTTGCCAGGGTTGATCATGCGACAGGCGGAGCATCTGCAGGGAGAGAGACAGTCACAAAGAGCACCAGCAGTTTTGGCTACTCACCAACTAGAAAGCTAGAAAACACCTAAAGTCTCAATCCAAAATGTTGCCAGCAGGAAATTCCCAGTGTTATGTTTCTAAATTAGGAAATACTCAGGAACAATTTTATGCACAAATCCAGAAAAATATTCAAGTGTGGGGTCTGCAGAATTCTGTAAGCCTGTTCTCGAGGCCGCCATCCGGAGGAGAATGCCATGCATCTGCCCAGCTGCCTGTGTGCATGTGGAAGCAGCATTCTCAGCCACTTGCCACCAACCCAATTGCCTGCAGGGGCCCAGCAAGGGATGGTGGGGCATGAAGCCTGCCAAGAAGGGCGTGTTCCTTCCATAGAGGAGGCCAATAATCGTGCTTTAAACAGGGGAATGTGGGCTCTGCAGGACGGACTGTCCATTGTCCAAAATGAGCCAGAAATCCAGATTTAATAGGTGAACGTTCTTGACATTTGATATTAGTAATGATCACAAAATTCTTTAAAATAGCCCAGGCCAGATGCAAGCACAGGCCAGCAGCACGCACCTCGAGCCCGTCTGTTCTCTTGAGCAGAAACTCCTTGTGGCCCTGCTCCCCATTTTCCACAGGTAAGGCCTCAGACGGCGCCTGTCCCACCTGAGAGCCTGCTGAGCTCCATCCGCGGCGCTTTTACCTTCTGCTCCCTCCTCCCATCCTTGGATGCCAAGAGCCGAGAGGCAGGTCCGACGTGACGAATCTCCTCCGAGCCCTCTGTAAATGTGGGGATGTATATGGGGTGCAGGGCGCTGGTGAGGACAAATGCATGCTGGATGCAAAGCTGTCAGCACAGGCCTCCAAACCACAGCGGCGGCGGCTCATGCCGTGCACACCTGCGGCTTGTTGACAGTGTAGAAATAAGAAATTTGGAAGCAATTGAACACCTCGTGAATTTGCACAACCAACCAGCACAAAGGTATTTAGCACAGGTGTTTCTGTAATTGTGATGCATGAGGACACTTCCTAGTGTTCGGCGGCCCCCAACATTCACACCTCCACCTGCCGAGGGAGGTCGGGAGGCAGGTTTGGGCCCACATGGAGGCCAGACAAGGTGCAAGTTTGCCAGCAGGGCCCACAGGCCCCCAGTGCATATTCTTATTCATATTTCATCTTCAGGCATCCTCGTCAGCCAGAGCGCCTGATTGCCTGTGCAGCCTCTCCCGGCTCTGCTTGCTTGTAGGTTACAGAGGGTCGGAGGGGGGCTTGCCGGAGATGCCGAGAGCATCAGCAGGCAGACAAGGAGGCGGCAGGAAATGCTCAAGCTCACACCAGGGGCCATGATCAACTCGCGGAACTTGAAAAGAGGTCAGTCCAGGGAATTGCCTGCTGGAACAAGCAGCCCTGGGATGGGGAGTTCAAAGTCACATGTCAACCGGAGCCAAGGCCTGGTG
Source organism: Homo sapiens (assembly GCF_000001405.40). NCBI lineage: Eukaryota > Metazoa > Chordata > Mammalia > Primates > Hominidae > Homo > Homo sapiens. The sequence goes on along the minus strand of NC_000010.11, from coordinate 128,431,095 downwards.
TGGGCCGGGGCACCAAGGACCCAGGGGCCCTGACACAAATGGATGGGCTGGAGGTGTGAGCAGCCAGAAGTGTAGCAGGGAAGGAGGCAATGGGGAAGAGGCCACCAGGCACCAGAGCGAACTCTCCTTCCTGCCGCATGGCAAGAAAATCCCCAGTTCTCTCCCAGGCAGCCAGCCATTGATAGAGCACCTGCATCCTGACCCACAGGCTGTAATGCAACCTTGACCTTTGCCCACAGAGTCACAGGTGGTCAGGACAGACCAGCGCCACCTCAAAAGCAGTTACCGCTCTCTCCCTAGCATCTTCTGCCTCCAGATGGGTGAAGTGTGCCTTGCCATGTCCCCACGACTCCCCACTTCTCCAGACACTAAGAGATGGCTCAAACTTACAAGCGGCCTTCCCTTCTGCCTGGACACCTGTCTCAACAAAGAGAGAGAGAGAGAGAGCAGGGACAGAGGGCAAGCCACAAGCCCCATGCTGCCCTGCAAACCTGCACACCACGGTCTGCATGCCAGAGGGACACAGGACAGGGCTGTGCGCAGAGCTATCTGGGAGCAAGGCAGAGTACATGGGAGACAGAGCAGCGCCTCAGAATGCAGCCCGGGTCCCCCATCCACGCGACGCCAGCAGCACGGGGAGCATCTGCAATCCAGAGCGCCATTTGGCACTTCTTTCATTTTTTAAGTACTTTTCAATATTATTTCTCCGTCGCCACATGGTGAATTTTGTCCTTCTGAGAGCCAAAGACAAACACAGGCATGCTCGACATACACAATCGAAGGGAGCGGTTTCCTAGCAACAGGAGCCCAGACCGCCAGGAGCCACTTCCCTGGCAGGGACGAGAGCACGTCCTGTGCGCGCCCATGGAGTCCTGAGAAATGGGCTGGGGTCTGCACAGCACCTCTTGGTGCCGGTGGTCCCTGCTGCTTGCAATGGTGAAGACAAGCACCTCATGCATGGCACACATGTACATATGTGCCTGCACGTGCGTCCACGGGCCCACACGCACACAGTCACTCCCTCTGCCTGCAGAAGCCAAACGAGGCACACCCAAGGCCAGCTCTGTATCAGCAGCGGGACTGTCCGTGGGTCCCTGCGTCCCGCCCAGCTCTGTACTCAGCAGCAGCACTGTGCGTGGGTCCCTGCATCCCGCTCAGCTCTGCTTTTCCTCATCCGAAAATCAGGAATGAGGCCCAGGAAGCGGAGCTGCGCACCTCACACAGACATCGGGGACTCTGCCTCAGCTTCTCACTGGACTAAAAGTAGATTCCAGCCCCACGCAGATGTGCTGAAGCCCCTGGCAGAGGCCTCGGAACCTCCACGTTTCACTCTTTCTTGGGGTGATTTTTCACTATTCTAACGTCTGAGAACAATTATTAATAAAATTAATATAAAGCACACAGCAGGCACTCCAGAGGGACAGGACCCAGCCCCCAGACCCTTGCTACCCCAAAGCGCCAGGTCTCACTGCATCTAGCCCAGGGTGTGTCTCTATTCCAACAGCGTTGCTTGGCTCTCTTCAGTCCCGCCTCTGCAGATTCCCTGGGTTCTAAGCGATGCTTCCCGCTGCTTTAGGAACGGAATGACATTGGCAGAAGGGATCCATCTAGTCTTCGCTGCAGCAAAGGAATCCATTCCATTTTTGACAACTTACCCTGTAAACGGTAGTCGTACTTAAAACCTTTTATTAATTCTCCCACTTTTAAAATCTGCTTGCTTTGGCTTTTCTCGTTAAATACTCCTGTCATCTACAAATAAAGTCTTTTTATTTTTGTTTTTCCATGTTCAATATGTATTTCTTTTTTTAACATCTTGTAATTTTAGTTTAAACAGCCATAACCATATTAAGGAATGCAGTTTAAGGTCTGTATGGGTTGTCAAAATGGCAAAGGTACCCTAAAGGATGGAAAGGAGAATTGGCCCATAGTGGACGATGAGAGACACGCTCTAAGATGATACGTGGAATATTATCTTCTCCGAGCTGAAAATGTAAACGAATCTTCAAATAAAACAGAAAAGAACTGACTCAGCCCCACGCTTTTCTCTCATTTGAGAACCAGTGGCAATACTGGTCTAAAGTGAACCTATATACCCGCCAAGAAAGCCCGAAGCCAGCCAACATCCAACCAAGGAATAACCCCTAACCCCCATGACTTGGAGCCCTGCAAAAGCTAGAGCCCCCACCTGCCATAAAATCCCCCCACCCCCAGCCAGGCATCCCATATTCTGAGAGCCCCACTCACAGAAGGTGAAACACCTTGCTATTTCCAAATCTGGGAAGATGCAACGACCAGTGAAGTCTCCAAAAATTATTATTATTATTATTATTTCTTTCCCCGTTCATTTCTAATTTGGTTTATGTTTACTTTCTCCTATTCACTTTTAGTTAGATTCTCTGGAGATTTATAAATGTTATTGTTTTTACACTCTTTTTCAGAAAACTAGCTCGTGGATGTATTCATCATGTCTATAATTTCTGTTGCTTTCCTCTTCCTACTAGAGAATGAAGCCCCTGAAACCCTCTGTTCTTTGAAGTTTATTTAGATTTTCTTCAGGGCTTTGTTTAGTGTCCATTTGCCTTTGTGTTTGGATCAAAGGGTAATCTTTTGATTGGAAGGTTTTATCATTTGTATTTATATTCCATCTGGTTACAGAAAATTTTTAATAGAGATGAGTGATTCCTGTTATGGCAAAATAGTATTGCTCATATCTGTTTACTCTTATTATTTATGTTGATGACTTTCTCTCTACTCTTATTTTATTCGCATTTCCTGCTAATAGTGAATGCATGTATCTCCTTATAATTGTATTTTTGTCAATATCTAACCATCTCCACTGCTACTTTTCTCCTGGATTTTATTTAAAATACCTTGATGCTATATTATTTGACCCTATCCAAGGAATTTAATTGATGTCATGCATTTATTATTTTTTATATTTTTATCAAAATAAATAGATTTTAATCTAATATTTAAAATTGAGAATGTGTATTTGTTTTCCTTCTCTATTTCTAAAATCTTTTCTTGTTGTGTAGCTGGATGTCTAATAAGCAACATTCTGTTAGATTTTCATTTTTAACCTACCCAGGGACCTGGAGTGTTTTTGGATGGGTGAACTTAAACCCTTGGGGCCACTGGCATAGTCATCAACACAGTTTATTGTTATCATCAGTTAGAGAAGCCTCATCACTTATCATTTTTGATGCATTAACCATGATCTACCTGGAGCTAACATTTAAAATTACTTGGAAGGTACGCGCTCCATTCTTCTCACTGCTATGGTCTCAGGCATCACACCCACATTTGTAAAATGGCTGTCATTCCAGTGCTCATGGGATCTCAGCACCACTGGCCTTTGGGGTTCTTTTAGGGAGGGTGGGGGCCATACTTGCACACCCAGCCTTGCCCATTTTTCATTACTTTAGTCCCGTATTTTCACACCTTTTTTTTCTTCTGGTTTTGGCATCTTGCCTTTGTTCATTCATGGCAGAAATCTGTATTGAGCTCACACCCTGCAAACACTGCCCCAGGCACAGAGGACCCAACAGAGGGCAGAGCGGGGAGTCTCTGGTCTGTGCCCCAACGTTCTAGTGGAGGAAGACAGGCAATGTACCAACATGGCAGACTGTAAGGAGCACTGTGGAGAAAATGAAGCAGGATCAGAGACGGGGAGAGGAAGACAGGGAGCCATCTTCTGTGGGGTCACAGGCTACACTGGCATCAAAACCAAGAACCAAATGAAGAGAGAAATAAGGCATGGAAATAGCTGGTGGGGAAAGTGAGGTAGTGGGAACAGCCAGTGCAAAGGCCCTGGGGCTCGTTCTTAAAGACCAACAAGGGAGTGAGTAGGCCTGGAGCAGGGAGGAAAATTGACAAAACCAGGGCAGGGGAGAAGGACTGGAATGCAGGAGGGGGTCTTGAGAAGCTTTTCAGCAGAGAAGTGATTTACATTAAAAGCGGTCTGATTAATTTTTTTTTCTTTTTTTTTTTTTTTTTGTGAGACGGAGTTTCGCTCTTGTTGCCCAGGCTGGAGTGCAATGGCACGAACTTGACTCACTGCAACCTCTGCCTACAGGGTTCAAGTGATTCTCTCCTGTCTCAGCCTCCCAAGTAGCTGGCATCACAGGCACATGCCACCACGCCTGGCTAATTTTTGTATTTTTTTGGAAGAGACGGGGTTTCGTTATATTGGTCAGGCTGGTCTCAAATTCCTGACCTCAGGTAATCCACCTGCCTCAGCCTCCCACAGTGCTGGGATTACAGGCATGAGCCACCATGCCCGGCTAGTCTGATTAAATTTTAAAGGATCCCTCTGGCCGCTGCGTGGAGGCCAGGCTGCAGCGAGACCAGGCAGAAGATTGTTGCCCCCGTCCAGGCCCCTTAGAGTCTGGTGGTGAGGCACAGTTGGAGCTGGAGACCTTTCAAAGCAGTACTGACAATTTTGCTGATGCATTGGATGTGAGGTGGAGAAAGAAAGAAGTTGAGGTGATTGAATTCCAATGATTACCCATGGGTTAGACATAGCCATAATCCCCCCACTCTCTTAACATTCTTCTTGTCTCTTGCTCTATCCATAACTGTCCATCTCCCATTCATATATTTTACTTATCTCTTAGATTTTTTAGTTTCACAGGTCAGCAAAAGTGTTTCCCCACAATTATATTTTTATTTAAGATATCTGTATTTCAGGCTTATCTCAGCCTTCCTGTGATCTCAGAACAGAACCAATGTTGATCGGGAGTTCTGGGAAATGCAAGTCTTATGGGGCCTTCCTGTCATTTTCACATGAGAATGATGGTGCGGCTTATGTCATGGGCTGAACTGTGTCCCCCAGAATTCATATGTTGAAGCCCTAACCCCCAGTACCTCAGAATGGGGCTATGTTTGGAGACAGGGTCTTTAAAGAAATAACGAAGTTAGTATGAGGCTGTTAGGATGGATCCTAATTCAACCTGACTGGTTCCTTATAAGAAGAGGAAATCTGGACATGCAGAGAGAGTCATCAGGGATGCACACGCATAGAGGAAAGCAGCTGCAAGGATTCAGTAAGAAGGCGGCCATTGGCAAGCCAGGAAGGGAGGCCTGAGAAGAAACCAGCCCTGTGGACAGCTTGGTCATGGACTTCCAGCCTCGAGAACTGTCAGAAAATAACCACCCATCCCCTGGTATTTTGTCATGGCAGCCCTAAAAAACTAACGGAACTTACATCCTTTTTCTTTAGATATTATGAAACCGTTATTCCGCTCTCTTCTTGCTTTGATTGTTACAGTTGAGAAGTTTGAAGCTCTCTTGATTTTAGTTCTTCTAGATGTGCTCCATTTTTCTTTTGTGGAACTTGGAGCATTCTTTTTTCTGGCAATTTCAGAATGTTACCAGAGTTCAGTATAATCCAACATATAGTGGTCAAACCTTCTCCTCATGCCAGGCTTCCTGCAAAATGTTACTGATATAAAGAGAAACAAACAGGACTCCTGTCATGAGAAGCCCATGCTCCTCTGGCAGGGGTCACAGGAGGAAATGAAGCAGGATGTAACTATTGCCATGGAAGGGGACAGTCTCAGGTATGCAGGTGATCACAGAAGGAACTGGGTATCTAGGCTTAGGGAAGTGAGACCCAGGGAGAATCTCCAGGAAGGGATCTTGATCTTTTCTGGACAAAGAAGAAAGTTACCTGGTGTGTTGCAGAGAGTGGGGTGAAGAGTGAAGTCAATCCACAAAGAGGGAGATCTTACAAAACCTCAAAGGTGTAAAACCAAACCAAACCAAGACAAAAGTATAGTGTAGCCAGGATCATGGAACCTGGTGTGCCAAGAGTCTGGCTAGGAAGCTAGACCATGGCAGTATCTAGGGGTGAGTGGGGACCAAATTTGCATTTCAGAAATGGAAATGCTCCACACCACAAAACAATGATTGCGGAGCGGAGAAATGATCGGTGAGGATGTTTTCCATTTCAGAGATGGCAACAAGACACAACTGGCTGAAACAATAGAGAAACAAATCAGCTCAAATATGGACAGTCACAAGAGTAGGGTGGGTTTCTCCCCAATTTATTCCACCTTGCTCATCTCTGGTGCCCTGCAACACATGACTCTCTCGGCCCCACCTTTACCTGTGGCCCTGCTTCCCAGGAAGGCTGAGGGAGCTCTGGGCCTGTGGGCACTATGGCCAATAGGAGAAGAAATGTTCCTGCCTCCTCCAGCGAGGCTCTGAGACTCACCTGGAGGATTGTGACTGTGGCTGGGGCATGGAGTGTGCAGACTGCCTGGAGCGATCCTGGGTCGCGATTCAAGCTCCTGCAGAGGCAGCATCCTTAGACAGCCGAGGACCACATACGAGAGCAGACAGATGTCTGCACAAAAGGAGAATTCTGCTAGGAAAGAGGAAAGGGGATGGAGGTTGTGGGGCTAGGGAGAGCATCAGTAGCCTTTGGAGAAGGCAAGGAGAGCAGGGAGTCCTCCAGGAGGCTGGAACAGTGAGGCTGGAAAGGAATAGCCAGACATGAATCCATAAACCCCATCACCAAAATTGCGGGCCCAGCTGTGGTGCTTGGTGATGCTTCCTATTTAATCTACCTGGAACATGACTCTGATTTTTCAATATTGGCTTTATTTAATTTCATTAATATTTATCTAGTTCTTATTTTATTTTATTAAGTTCTAGAACTTAATCAATAACCCTGATTATGACATCTGTTTCTCTGGCTCTCCAAGAACCTCAGAGTTAGTTAGTTAGTTAGTTAGTTAGTTTGTTTGTTTGTTTGTTTGTTTGTTTGAAACAGAGTCTCACTCTGTTGCCCAGGCTGGAGTGCAATGGTGTGGTCTCGGCTCCCTGCAATCTCCATTTCCCAGGTTCAAGCAATTATCCTGCCTCAGCCCCCCAAGCAGCTGGGATTACAGGCACCCACCACCACACCTGGCTAATTTTTTGTATTTTTAGTAGACACGGGATTTCGCCATGTTGGCCAGGCTGGTCTCGAATTCCTGACCTTAGGTGATCCACCCACCTCGGCCTCCCAAAGTGCTGGGATTACAGGTGTGAGCGACTACACCCGGCCAAGAACCTCAGAGTTCTACACTACGTGTCTGTCATATTTTCTTACATTTTATCTCTTTGTAGTTTCTTCTACATTCTAGAGGCAATGCCTTCACCTATATGTTTCAGTATGACCTGTTTTGTAATTCTGGCCCCACCACTGCCTAGATTTGTGACATTGGCAACATACTTAATCTCCAAATCTCAGTTTCTTATCTACAAACTTGGGATAGTAATGGCTTTTACCTTGTAGGGTTGCTGTGGATATTAAATGAAATGATATGTGTAAAACACCTGGCAAAGCTGCTTAAAACAAGCTAGCCATTCTTGCTTTCATTTTTATTTTTATTTTTTCATTATTGTTGTGGTTAGGAGTGTATGTTTGGAATGTCTATTGCTCGACAGCATCAATCCTAATTTTCATGTTTTCAAGAGCAATTTGACTTCACTGGCAGAGTGCAGCCTACACTATTTTGGTCTCATGGTTGCCACGTTGCCTTCCCTCTTCCTGGGAGTGGATCAGGGTCCTTTGCCAAACTCTCAGGCTTCCTGTGGGAGATCCATTCCAGAATGACCTTCGTCTTTATACTTCTCCTGCTTTTTGTTTTCTTTGAAACAAGACAACTTTTGCAATGGAATCCACTGTTCTTTCCAACACAGAGAGACCAGGCTGTTTGGGAGGCAGCTGTGAATCATCCTGGTACTGAGTTAACAACATGGTAAACAGCCAAGGGTGGACACCATGGTGCAGTAAGGCAGACACTTGTGTAAGGAGCCGTTCAGCAGAATCCTATGGCCTGAGGAGTGGGCCATGTGTGATGTCCACATCACATGGAGGTGGTGCGTCTCTTTCTTTCTAATACCTCCACCCCCACTACCCAGCCCCTGGCCAGTAGCTTCCGGAATTGGACCAGATACTTGTGCCAGACACAAATATGCTCTTAGACATCTGTAACGGAGTCGCCATAAAGTAACACATTTAGGAAATGTCTGTTGAGCACCTGCTATAGTGCTCTTATTCTAGGAGCTAGAGATATCATAATGAACAACACCAACAAAGACCCCTGCTATTGCACAGCTCCACTCAGATGACTAAAGCCCCACAGTGAAGCCACATAGGGGTCCAAAGCCTGTTCACAGCCCATGGCTGAGGGCTCCCACCCCGCTGGCACCTGCCCATCGGCCCCCACCTGCCCCAATCAGAAACTTCCTGCACCACAGCCTGAGGCATTGGTTTGCACTGGTGCCAGTTATTCAGGTCAACCACCAGTGTGAAATGCCATAGAGTGATTTCTGGAATATTCTGGAGTCCTAGCTCTTTTAGGGGTGGCTTTTACTGAGAATTTCTTTTCTTTTTTTTCTCTCCATCCCCCCATATGATTTCATGAGTATTTTCATGGAAAACAGAAACACGGCCCAGGGGAAATGTCTCTAATATTTCCCCCCATCCCCCTTTGTCATCTTCTTGGATGTGTCCCTCCAGTGCTCTTTTAAACGCTCCATTTTCAGTGATTTTAAGGTTGTCCCACTCAGCACCATGTGTCCTTTTAATGACATTTTTTGCTGGATTGTGTACTCAACCTTTTTTTATATAAGAGGTGTTCCTTTGAGATGCCGCCAATCTGATCTCATCGGAAGTTTATGAGAAAACCCAATATGCTCTGGTCCTACTGCCGAGAGGGTTTGGCAGGCGCGGCGCACACCAGCCAGCCAGATTTATCCTCAGCTCAGTGCAAACACGGCCGATCATTCTCCCGGCTTTGTCCTGTGCTGACGGGTTCCAGAGTGGTCTCTGGGGCTCGGCATTCTTGCCAGAATGTTCATGACATCACTCATATTATTAATAATTACAGGTTATTCACAGATGGACGGGCAGATGGACACACGGCAGCAGAGATTTGTTTAATCTCAGCAAGGCTATTTCCCCTACATATTTCCCTTTGCCCACTCTGGCTGCCTCCCTGGAGAAAAAAACTAATGAAAAAAACAAAATGTCTATGAAAGGGAAATGAAAATCCTGCCGGAGGTTTTGTTGCATTTTTTTCCCCCTTCAGCAGGAAAAAGTGACCCATCTCCCTTCTCCTTCTCGACACGGTCTCTGTGACACACTCCCTTGTGAGCTTTGGAACTACAAACATTCCTGAAGACAGACATAGTCCAGTCCTGCATCAGACCCTGGGATTGCTGCAGGCTTGATCTGGGCTTGATCTTTGCAACTTGTGATCCAAAATTCACAGTGGGAAAGAGTCACGGCTTATTTTATTATATTTTATTTTACTATTCAGTATTCACTGGCTGATCCACAGTTACTTCCCAAAATTCTAGAAGGATAATGGAGCATCTTTCAGCCTCTGGGGTACCAGGAACCATGCAGGAAGAGGTGCACTGCTAAACGAGGGACCTCTGGGCACCTCCCCTTGGTCAGCTGCAAAGGGGACCACCCCCGCTTGCTCAAGGCATGAGGTCATTCAGCCAGGCCTAAGCCAACTTTGGCATGTACAGAGAGGAAGCTGTCTCCATGAGGATGGGTGAAGACAGCTGCCCACTAGCTGACCCTACAAACGATGAGGAGAAGAACCTTCTGGACTATCCGTGCACTCAGTTTTTAAGTTGCGTTTATGCTCCCTATGCCTCTCTTCTGCAGACACCTGTGCTCAGTCTAAAGTCACATCCTCCATTGCCATTCAGCCTCTCTTTTCCCTTTTCTTTCATTCTATCCAACAAATCGAAACAATGGCCCTCACTCCCCCAAGCACCGCACAATAGTCATGATTTAGTAAAAATGAGACAAACTTCTCTCCCTTTGATGAAGAACATTATTTCCCTTCAGCTCAGTTCTGATTACCTCTTCACCAAAATTTAAAAGGTTTAAATGCTCTTTTCCTGGCCCTTAAAGGACAGAGGCTTAAAATCTTTGCATATTATTGAAACCATGCTCACATGATCCTTGGATGTTCTGTTAACACCTCTTATCCCTACAGATGCTAAGGAATAATCACAGACAACGTGAAGATGGTCATGGTTCGTTTGCTGTTGGAGCAAGCAAGACATAATGGTGGTGTCACTCAGTTGTAACAAGAAAGATATTTTCAGAAAACATTTCACCTTATAAGTGTCTCTCAACACAAAATATGTTGGGGTGAAAGAGATACTGATCATTTTTTAAACATCCAGGTATTTGACTGTGTTCAACGTGTCTTGTGCTGTTTGCCTGCCAAATCTTTCCGTGTGTGCAAACACCACCTGGCCGTCAGAGACTTGGCAACTGGGCTTTGATACAACTTGTGTAAACCTGGCCTAAAGCTACCAAACATTTCTATATTGCCCACATTCAGCAATATTAGGTGATGTGGTTTGGCTCTGTGTCCCCACCCAAATCTCATCTTGAATTGTAATCCCCACATGTCAAAGGAGGGACCTGGTGAGAGGTCATTGAATCACATGGGTGGTTTCCCCCGTGCTGGTCTCATGATAGTGAAGGAGTTCTCACGAGATCAGATGGTTTTAAAAATGACAGTTTCCCCTGCGCCCTCTCTCTCTCCTGCCCCCATGTAAGATGTGCCTTGCTTCCCCTTTGCCTTCTGCCATGATTATGAGTTTCCTGAGGCCTCTGCAGCCATGTGGAATTGTGACTCAATTAAATCTCTTCTGTCTACGAAGCACCCAGTCTCATGTAGTATCTTTATAACAATGTGAGAATTAACTATATTAGGTCTTCTATGGATTCATCACAATCCCGTGATTATTAACAGAACCTACACTTTTCTGATAAGAACCAACCCATTTAATTACTTAAAAAGGTTGCCAATGTAGTTATCTTTTAGAATTTACCAATTCTCAACCTATAAGGTCTTAATTCATGGAGAATGCCTGGTGTACAGTAAGAGCTTGATAAATACATTCTTCTTCAATAAGAACATGCATACATATAAAGATGTGGACTGCATCCTCCCAAATGAAATCTCCTCTCTCTCAGTGCAAAAGGCAGGGTCATTCTGAAAAGAGTTAATGGCAGAGAGAGAGGGACCAATCAGGCTGTCCTGGTTGATACACATGGCACACAGCTTATTAAATATTGAAACTCTTTAGAAAAATCTACTGACTGCAAAGTCCAATCACCTGTGGTGATTGAGAATACACGGATTCTACAAATCACACCCAAATGTACCACCCACATCTTCCGACAGAAGCCACCCACATTGGTGCTCTAGGGACCAGGAGAGGGTGCTATAAACCACCAGCCACCTCACTGGGTTATTTTTTCTGATGGCACAAATTTATGCCAGTGAGTCACCCACTTCTTTCTCAGCCAGCAGAAATGTACATGCAGACCAGTCGGCCAAGATGGGGCTCTAGTCTGAGGCCGTCTAAGGTAGCCCAACTAACTGGCCCACCTGGGGCTTCTACCTTTGACCTTGGCTTCATTAGCACAGTGCTTTTGCCCCCCTGAGCCAAGTAGGCTGCTGAAATATAGATCAACTGCCTTTTCCCAATTTCCCCTTCCTCTGGCAGAGGTGCTAATAAACAGGGCAGTGGCCAAAGAGTGCAGTGGGAGAAGAAATAGATTTGGGAGTCACAAATTGGATAATCTACCTCTGGACAATGGCAAGGTGGATCACAATGCTTTTCAATGCAAAACTCATCCACCTGGCGGGCCTCTCTGATCACTGCTGCCGCTATATCAGGCTTCTGCTTTCCAGGAGCCCCTGTAGCTCCCACCCTCATCCATTTCACCTACAGACCACAGACACATCCTCCCTACAGATTCCAGGACCTGGTAACAAGATGGCACTCCACTAGCCCCTGGGCACCCTTGTGACTCTAAAAAAGTAAAACACATGGATGCTGAAATTAAAATATCTTTGCTCCCAGATTTCCTGACTATGAGATGGTGGACGAACTTATCAGGGCTGTAGTGTGTTTATTGCTGTGCCCCAGTTCTGCTGGTGCCCTGAGTCCTGAGTCTTGGCTGGTCTGCTCTCAGGTCCCTCCCTGCTTTCTCCCCACTCAGGCCCAGCTCCTGCCACAATGGACAGCTCCCAGAGCCCACACTGACAACCTGCTCCCTCCTCCTGCTCCCACCATCCGCCCACTATGCCTCATTCCCTCTGATCCCAGAGCAGTCTGATTCCTTTTACAACCCAGAATGCCTACTCCCTTCTGAAACCCCCATTCGTTCTGGACTTGTCACCTTGATCGTCCTTCTTACAGTGGATATTTTCAACATTGTTGCGCTGCCACCCTATGAACCTCATCTACACGTTGATGCTGAGGCCGGCATGGCAATTCCATTTTTTCTTAGCGGCACTAAGCAATCATCATTTATCTTAAAAATTGGCACATTCCTCCAAATACATTCATGAGATGGTGGAGTGTCTGCTCCAATGAGAGTCGGAATCTTAAAGAAAGCATCTCCACCTACTTCTCCACATTCTAAAGCTAGTATGAAAAAAAGATAGGGTTGAAGTGTTCTTTAGAAGCAGAGATTTGGAGAAAACAGACATTGAAATGCATGAGGTGAAATATATCCAAAAATATAAGCTCAAAATTTCATTCGGTAACGAAACAAATACCAAGTAGAGGGAAAAATTCTAATCGCATACATAGAGATCAAGAACATATTGCATTTCTATGTAAAACAAACTGATTTCTCAGAACTCAGAAAGAAATTAGAATTATTCATTCATAACTTCATAGATGAGGTTTTGCCTCTAACATCCCACTAATCCCCATTTTCATCACAACTGGAAAGGAAGAAGTAGTCAAGCTTTTTACTTTGGGGACATTCGAGCTCCTCAGAGAAAGGCTTCAGCCTTTTTTTTTTTAAGGTATGTCATCAATAATTCTGGACTGAGTTATGCTGCCTGGTTTCCATCAGAGAAGCAGTAGAATCAGGATCTGCCTGTACTCTCACAGCCCACAGCTCTGTGCGCACAGCGTTGGCTATGTGTGCACACAGGGCTGTGTGTGCACACAAGGCTTCATGCACACAGGGTTCCTAGTACACAGGGCTCTGCTTTCTCTTTGCCAGTGACCAAGGACATTCACAGCTAAATGTCAGCTGTTGATTAATTAACTTCCCAGCCTCTGCAGGCAGACATTTGCTCCAAGATGAGGAGAACCTTAAGTACCTTTTCTGATCTTCAAGCAGTGAGGGTCTGTTTATCATCACTGCCTGGAAAATTCCACTCTCTGCAGGCGGCACTGGCTGTGTAAAGCCATGGCCCATTTGTGGGGCCATCAACTATCACAGAGGCCATCAGCTCTCTTGTCCACTGAAAAGCATCAGGAATGTTCACCCTGGATGCTAACAGCCAGCCCGACCAAGTGGGACAAGGAGGAGTCACTCACCTGCACCCAGAAAACACGGTCATCTTGAGATCTCAACCCTGGAACAACGGTAAACCAACCATGGCTTGCCTAGACATTTTTATGCTTCACTTAAGCTTCTGATTCAAGTGTAAATCAGCAAAGACAGTGTGTATGTGTGTGTGTGTGTGCACGCATACACAAGTATATGTGTATATGTATGCACATACTTCTCCACATTCTCACTTAATGATGGGGACACATTCTGAGAAATACGTTGCTAGGTGATTGCATCTTTTTGTGAACATCTCAGAGTGAAGTTACACAAACCTAGATGGCATTGCCTACTACATACCTAGGCCATATGGTATAGTCTATTGCTTCAGACTACATACCTGTACAATGTGTTACTGTATTGAACACTGTAGGCAATTGTAACACAATGGTAAGTATTTGTGTATCTAAACCTAGAAAAGGTAAATGGTAGAAAAGAAAAAATGGTGCACCTGTGTAGGGCACTTACCATGAACGGAGCCTGCAGGACTGGAAGTTGCTCTGGGTGAGTCAGTGAGTGAGTGGTGAGTGAACGTGAAGGCCTAGGACATGACTGTAAACTATTTTAGACTTTATAAACACTGCACTATTAAGCCACACTTAATTTATTTGAAAGAATTCTTTCATTAATAATAAACTCACCTTAGCTTACTGTAAGCTTTTATACCTTATAAACTTTTTAATTTTTTGACTCTTTTGTTATAACACTTAGCTTAAAACACAAACACATCATACAGCTATACAAAAATATTTTCTTTCTTTATAGCCTTATTCTAAAAGCTTTTTTCTATTCTTATTTTATTTTATTTTTACTTTTTAAACTTTTTTGTTAAAAACTAAGACACAGACACACACATTAGCCTAGGCCTACACGGGGTCAGGATCATCAATATCCCTGTCTTCCACCTCCACGTCCTGTCCCACTGGAAGTTCTTGAGGGGCAATAAGAGACATGGAGCTGCAAACCCGTCACAGAAGACTTTGATAACAATGGCCTCTTCTGGAACACCTGAAGTACCTGCCTGAGGCTGCTTCACAGTTAACTTTTCTTTTAATAAATAGGAGTACACTCTAAAATAACAACAAAAAGTATAGTATAGTAAATGCATAAACCAGTAACATAGTCGTTTATCATCATTATCAAGGATTAGGTACTGGACATCATTTGTGCTGCACTTTTACCTGACTGGCAGTGCAGCGGGTTTGTTTACACCAGCATTGCCACAAACACATGACCAATGTGTTGTGCTGTGTTCTGATGACCATGACGTTGCTAGGTGATAGGAATTTTTCAGCTCCATTTTAATCTTATGAGACCTACCACAGTACATGTGGTCAGTGGTTCGCCAAAACATCGTCATTCAGAACATGGCTGTATGCCATTAAGGAGAGGTGGCTGGAGACAACTCCATCTGGCCGCCAGTTTTGGCCTAGACTCTCACAGCCTGGAAGAGTTGGGGGCAGGATGAGTGGATGGGAAATTCTGAGGGAAGGTGGCTCCTTTCCTCAGGTGCTTCTTTTGAAATGTCCTCTAAAATTCAACTGGCAAGGCAGATTTCTCCCACTCCTCGGATGAAATGCATGGATGGTTTTAAATCTTGGACTGTGTCTAACTCAGGTACAAAGAGCAAGCTCCTGAGATGGACAGCATCGACTCTGTGTGCACTGCTCTTTGTAAATATCCTGAAGACACCGACATGTCGTGTTTTCGTGATTCCCTATTCCAGCTGTCCTTGGTGATCCGAGTTGGGGAGGGAAGGTCCCCACCCAGCTCTTATGGGTGAAAAGTTTCAAATAGTTCTAATGAAGAATGCTGGTTTAGGATAGAATATCCTTCATAGATACAAACTATTTTGCAGTGCTAAGTACAAGAACTGACTTTTTAAAAAGTGCCAGCCCAGTCCCTGCTCAAAACGATTTCCTAGTTTTCCCAAGTTCCGTACAGTATCTCCATTAAGACTTCTTAACCTGTTTAAGTAGACAAATTAAGTCATGGGGATGGCAGGGACCCCTTAAATGCAGATTCCGGTAGAATTGTTCCAGGGTGTCTGGGGATCCTATGCTTCCTGCCAGCTCTCAAGTGACCACACTGCACCACCCTTAGAGGAGAGAGGGTCCTTCAGGCCCCTCCTGCTCCTCTAGGCTCGTCTGCCTTGAACTCCAGGCCCTAACTGGGCAAACTCCCTTTCGGTGGACTGTGGGTGGAATTGGGTCCATGAAGTAATGTTGGAGTCCTAACCCCCAAGACCTGTGAATGTGACCTTATTTGCATTTCTTGCAGATGATCAAGTTAAGATGAGGCCACTAGAATGAGCTCTAATTCAATATAACTAGTGTCCTTATTATAAGAGGACATTTGGCCACAAAGATAACATGCATAGAGGGAAGATGATGGCAAGACACAGGGTGACAGCATGTACAAGCCAAGGATCGGACGCCTGAGGCTGTGAGAAGCCAGAAGATGGGCTTGGAATAGATCTAGATTTAAAACCATCCACGCATTCCAGCTACTCCTTCAGGGTGCTCAGAAGGGACTAACTCTGCAGACTCCTTGATCTTGGACTTCTGGCCTCTGTGAGACAAACAATTTGTGTTGTTGAAGCCCCCATCTGTGGCACTTTGTTACGGCAGCTGGAGCTGACTAATACGAGGCCTTGGATACACCACGTTGGCTCCGTCCTTTGCAGGAGGCCCTCTCCTGTGCCTTCAAAGCCCCACAAGTAATTATCAGGTGATTAGACTTAGGAAACTGAACAGAAAACAAACAATGGCCAAACCATCTATAAAAATAGAACTCTAACCCTCAACCTCTGTAGCAGTTGGCCGCAAACGCTAAAGACTTTGTTGATATCTGTCAATTTCCTTTATTTTTACTCCTGTTTCCAACTCAGGACCAGCCAGGGAAAGCCAAATGTGCTCCCCAAATGGATCTTCTTCTAATGAGTGCCCTTCAGCTCTCCGAGGCTAACAGCCCACACCCAGGGTGCCCCTGGAGCCTCCGTTTCCATCACAAAGCTTCCCCACTCCTCCGCCTGCCTTGGAGTCTCTGCCAGACACAAGTGACAGTGGCCAACCCCCTTGCCATAGCTCTGAGCTCTGAATAAACAGCCCCTGTTAGTTCTCCTACATGTGGTCTTTCTCCCTTCCTTCAGCCTCTCTGTCATACTATGTCACAAGCTCCACCAAGGGATAGCTCACTGCTGGGCATGTTACAGGTCTCAGGAAATATTTTTTGGATGGTAAAAATGTGAAGGAATGCTGTCATGGCGACAGATCAATATTTGTTGAATGAGTGAATGGATTTTGCACAACTTGTCTACCTGGGAGAAGAAACTATGGAAGAAAAAGAAACACTCCCATGAATCGTATCACCAAGGTTTGACTGCATTCGGTAACTCCACGCTTTGGTCAAACTGGGGGAAATGGCCAGATTGTGAGTTTCCCCTTTCCAATACAATGTGCGTTATTCTTTCAGCCTTATTTATTGTGGTATTTTTCAAATTATAATAAATTTGCTTTCTTCTGAATATTCAGATGCTTCAAAAGGTACCCAAAGGATGCAATTAGCCCCAGGGGAAATATGCTATTATGTGCACATATCATGTTTTGCATAGGCTTTCCATCATCTACATAATTTATATGCTTCTGCATAATTTTGCCTCTTTTTATGTTTTCTATGTGTTTGTGAGATAATCTAGAAGTTTTTTTCCTACCATCAGAAACACAGAGAGAACTCAAGTCAGTGTTGTTCCTTCACCCACTCTGCTTGACTTCCATTGAAGCCCCTTACGGGAACCTCAGGGGACAGTTGCTTTTCATAGGCACCAACATCAAGGCATGAAAAAGTAGAAGGTTCAGGGAGCTTTCAGGAATGAAACAGAACCTTGTCCATTTTCATATTCTTCTGGGTATTCACTGGGGTCTCTGATGAACGGTGCTAGCATTTTAAAGCTCTTTAAACTGTTTATAATCCTCACTTTGGTTTTGAAATAGAAAAATAATGCCGAAATTAATGGCTTTTTAAAGCTTCTGATGTGAGTTGGTTGCATACAAATTTCCCTAAAACCGAGAAAGTCCATCATCTGGGGAACAGGTGAGTTGTGTATAACTATGGTTGGACTTTCATTGATTTTTCTCTCTCAACAGCCTTTTCTATTTTCCATATTTTTAATTTCTGTCTCTCTTGTGCTTCCCTTCTTGCTCAAATCTCCTTAGAGTGCAGTTGTCAGATACAGAACAGAGTTGCCTCTGCTGAGCAGTGACCCTGCTTAGAGATCGCAGACTCAGGTCTGACTGGCCTTAGTCAACAGGCCGGCCTTCTGGTCAGCCTTGTCAGACTCAACATGATGCACCTCCCAAACAATCATTTCAATCTCCTCTTTCATGAAGAAATAGTGATATAAATTTAACACTGCTAATGGCTTTCTTTAGCATTGTAGGGAAGGTGAATCACAGACATTAGTAGGGAAGGTGAATCACAGACATTTTTAGAAATGACCCCATTGACTACCTCATTTTCATAGATGGAGAAACTGAGCTTAAGAGAGGTACAGTAACTCCCACTCCCAAGCTAAGCAGTGGAGGAGAGTGTCCAAGTTCACATAAGTCCTGGTGTTACTGGGTGGAGGGTGTCCAGGTTCTTGGCGTTTTGAATAAAGAATTGGACAAAACACACAAACAAAGCAAGGAAAGAATGAAGCAACAAGAGCAGAGACTTATTGAAAACAAAATCACACTCCAAAGGGTGGGAGTGAGCTGAGCAAGTGGCTCAAGGGCCTACTTACAGAATTTTCTGGGTTTAAATACCCTCTAGAGGTTTCCATTGGTTACTTGGTGTATGCCCATGTAAATGAAGAGGCTAAAGTTAAATTACAAAGTTACTTACTTCGTTTACACCCTATGTAAATGAAGAGGAGCAAGTAAAGGTACAAAGTAATTTATTCCGCGTATGCCCTATGTAAAGAGGGTATTTCTCTCATAGCTGAGGTGTTTCCATTTGATTTAGTTCTGGGAAGTCTTTAGGTTCCCTGCCTCTGGGCCCTATTCCCCTGCCTCACTTGCACCTTCTGCCTGTCAGTCTAGAACTATTTGCAGGGAAAAGCCAGGGAGGGTGGGTTTCAGCAATCCATGCACAGCAGGGATAGTGACACACACTTTGAGAAAGCAGCCAGTCAAGGAAAGGGATGCTACCCTTGGGGACCAGGGCTAAACTAACTGACCACATTTGCTGAGGCCTCTTCCAAGTGTCAAGAACATTATTCAGTAGCTTACTGCTCCCCAGTCTAGGTCATGGGACCTTCTGAGCAGTACAACATAACCGTAGGAACCACCAAATCCCCCCACCATCCTCATCTATCTACATAATCACTGCAAAGACAAAGGCACCCAGCAACCACCCCACGGAGGCCAAACAGACAGCACCAGAAAAACAGGATGGTTCTGCAGAAAGACTCTAGGGCATATTCTTTTTCAAACATTTTTAGCAAATAAAAAGATTTTCTAATAGAGCACAATGAATAATTATGTATTGAAAGCAATGATCCCTGGGTTAACAGAAATGTTGATTCAAAACCTCCACTTTCTATAGCAAACACGGCAACATCCATGAAGGGCAAGACAAACCCTCACAGAAGTGACAGATGTAAAGCATCTACAGTAAATGGAAAATGTTGCCTCCTTGTCCCAACACAAAGCATTGCCAAAAGAGAGGGCAAGGGAGGAATAACACACCATTTCCATTGTCATTGATGATATCATGCATCTGACAGTCCCACCAGAAACAAGGCAGATGGGAAGGCAATCAACCTTGATTCTGTAGAATGTGTGACCTTTGTCTTAAAACATTCCATGCACCAGTGCATCAGCATTCCATGCTGTTTCCACTGGGAATCATGCGTGCCACCCACCACCACTCCTCTGCTCCTCCTCTTTCTGGGTGTGGCCTTTTAGCTTCAGCTGTCCTTCCCTCTTCCCCTCCCTTTTCTGCCTTTTCTGACTGCTCTGTTCCTCTTCTGTTCTCCCAACATGAGACTTTCATTCTAATAGTCTCCTTATCCTATAAATTACAAAATATTTCAGACGTTTTCTGGTTTTAGTACCTAGATCAACTACCCCCTTTTAGAAAGAGTGAAGTGAGACCCAGAGAAAGGAAGAGACAAAGGGCTAGTGGAGGAAAAGGCAGGACAGGAACCACAATCCCCTAACTTCCTGTCCACAGTTACTTCCTCTCTACAGCTCTGTTAGAAATCTTCCCAAGTTACCATCTTTGGTAACAATGGAGATGGTGACTGCATGCACTTAAGTTTAATAAAATAGCAAAATATTTGAGGAAAAGGGTGATTTCAGCTCCATTGTTTACTTATCTCACCAAAACACCACCAAAAGTCCTAAAGGGAACTAACAATGAAAGGTGTGTGTGATGCCCCACCCCCCGCATACCCCTTGCAGTGGCCAGGTGGGAGCAGAACCTGCAGGTGACACCAGGCACATCCAGGGAACATCCACTGGAAGACACCGTTCCTCTCGCAATCAAAATTTTGGGAAAATGCCTTCCAGTGGAAGGACCCATGGTTTGTTCAACAGCATCTCAAAGCAAAAATACATCAGAGAAGAGAACTCCTAACTGAAGCTACGGACTGATTATAGTGTCCTGGAAGGAATTCTGTTTCCATCAAGAATCCCCACACTTTAAATACTATGATGTATAATAATAATAATAATAAAATAATCCATACCTTGTCCCAGCAGCAAAGGCCATGATGGAGAGCAGAAAGCTGGGTATTAAAGCTTATCCCATTGTGTAGTAGCTCTCATGAGCTGTTGAACTGTACAACTAAATTATGTAATTAGTTATTTAATATGTGTTTGTTCTACCGTCATCTAAGCTCCATGCAGGCAAGAGCCATCATTGCCTTATTTTTAAGCTCAGCACACAGTGGTGGGTACTGTGCAGAGAAGGTGCTAGATCACTGCTAGAAAAGGGGATAATTGACAGATTACTGGGGGAAGGAAATTATTGAGAAAGGAATCCACCTGTTGGAATTGGCCAGCACTCCCCCCCCACCCCTTGAGGTGGAAGCAGCTCGCCTCTTAGAACACACTTATGTCCACTCCTAGTCGGGCCTAATGTATGAGATGAGCATTTTGTAGCACCAGGAAAGGTGGAATTCACCGAATCTCTTTATATCCACTTACCAGACCTGGAGAGATATCTCTGCATTCCTTAATAAGTGAAGAGAAAAAAAAATCCAAAGATTCTGAAGATTCTGTGACATTAAAAAACAAGAATTCACAATATAGAAAAAAGGCACTTTTGAAAAATGTGAATGGTAGACTGGAAAAAGAAAATGTGGTATACATACAACACCATGGAATACTATGCAGCCATAAAGAAAAATGAGATCATGTCCTTTTCAGGAGCATGGAAGGGGCTGGAGGCCGTTATCCTTAACAAACTAACACAGGAACAGAAAATCGAATACTGCATGTTCTCACTTATAAGTGTGGGCTAAATGATGAGAACATGAGGACGCATAAAGGGAAACAACACACACTGGGGCCTATTGAAGGGTGGAGAGTAACAGGAGGGAGAAGATCAGGGAAAATAACTAATGGTGAAAATAACTATGGCTTAATACCTGGGAGATGAAATAATCTGTACAGCAAATCCCCATGACACAAGTTCACCTATGTAACAAACCTGCACATGTACCCCTGAATTTAAAATAAAAGTTTAAAAAAAAGAAAGAAAAATGTGTACAAAAACTTACAAAAATAAGATTCATTACAGTTCTACAGCACCTATTGGAACTCTCAGAAAGATCTTTAAAAAATAGGAGAAGAGCTCTTAGAATTGAGAGACAAAGGATGAGAAAAGGATGAAAGAATAACAGGATGAAAGGCAGTGAAGGGCATCAATAAAGAGCAAATTAAAGGAAAGGAATGATGTCAAAAATGTTGAATAAAACAGAACCAGAGGCTCTAAACAAAGGATTGGCCCCTCAAGAAAACCTCAGATCGGTGAATAAAGGAGTTGATGACCTTCTAAGGAGTGAGGATACAGAAGAAAAAACAAAAAAAAATTGTAAGAGAGAACATGATAGATAGGAGCAGCAGAGGATGGAGATCAGCTATGTAGATGATTGCTCTTCATGAAAAAGAGACCAGAATAAACGGAAGCAACCCCTGCAGAATACACCTTTTTTAAGACACACAAAAAAAACAAAAAGCTTCAATCTAAAGTCTGAAATAGTTTACCACCGGCAAAAATTGGATTTGAAAAGCAAAGTCCTCATACGCATACATTGAAAAAAGGCTTGGAGTTTTAAGGATTAATTTTTTAAAACATGACAAGTATCCATGCAAGAAACAAAAACAAAAGCAAAGATGAAAAGGTGCTGCTTACACAAAGTAAGTTAGATTGGCTTCAGATTTCTCCTCTGCAACATTAAATGTCCATTTATTAGGGGAGTTTAAAACCCCAGGAAAACTGAAAAAAATTAAATTAATATATTTGTATTAAATACTATAACAGTAAAAATCAAAGGACAATGTTTTATGCTTAATATTGATAGAGAATATGCTTTAAATGTGTTTTCTAACCAACAAAAATCAAGTCAAAATGGATTAAAGACTTAAATCTAAGACTTGAAACTATTAAACTACTAGAAGAAAATATTGGGGAAAGGCTCCAGGACACTGGTCTGGGCAAAGATTTTTTTGTGTGAGACGGCAAAAGCACAGGCAACCAAAGCAAAACCACACTCACGTGGTCACATCAAACTAAAAGTCTTCTGCACAGAAAAGGAAACAATCAACAAATTGAAGAGACAACCCACAGAATGGGAGGAAATATTCGGAAACCATTCATCTGACAAGGGATTAATATTCAAAATATATAAAGAGTTCAAATGATTCCATAGCAAAAAATAAAAACAAATAATTCAATTGGAAAATGGGTAAAAGATCTGAAAAGGCATTTCTCAAAAGAAGACATATGAACGGCCAATAGTTACATGGAAAATTGCTTAACATCGCTAACCATAGTGAAATGCATATCAAAACTACAATGAGCTATAATCTCACCCCTGTTAAAATGGCTGTTATCAAAAAGGGAATAGCAGATGCTGGTTAGGGTGTGGAGAAAGGGGAAATATCATACACTGTTGATAAGAATGTCAACTAATACAACTTCTATGGAAAACTGTATGGAGGTCTGTCAAAAAACTAAAAATAGAACTACTATATGATCCAGAAATTCCACTACTGGGTATATACCCAAAAGAAAAGAAATCCATGTATTGAAGAGACATCTGCACTCTCATATTTATTGCAGCATTATTTACAATAGCCAAAATATGGAATCAACCTAAATGCCTATCAATGGGTGAATGGGTAAAGAAGATGTTCAGGTAGTTTTGTTCAACTTACACTTATACACAATGGAATATTATTCAGCCATGAAAAAGAAAATCCTGTCATTTGCAGCAACATGGATAAAATGGAAGGTCCTTATGTTAAGTGTAATAAGCCAAGTGCAGAAAGATAAATATCACATGTTCTCGCTGATATGTGGGAGCTACAAAAATAGTGGATCTCATGAAGATAGAGAGTAGATTGGTGGTTATCAGAGGTCAGGAAAGGGGTAGAAGAAGGGAAGGATGAATAGAGGGTGATTAATGGGTAGAAATATACAGTTTGATAGAAGAAATAAGACCTAGTGTTTGATAGATCAGTAGGGTGACTACCGTTTACAATAATCTATTGCATGCCTCAAAATAGCCAGAAGAGAAGAATGAGAATGTTTCAAGCATGAAGAAAAGACAACTATTTAAGGTGATAGATATCCCAATTGCACTGATTTGATTTTTACAAATAATATGCATGAACTAATTATCATCTGCACCCCCAAAACTATGTACACCTATTACATATCAATAAAAGTTATATTAAGGTAGTCACTCTCAGAATTAAAGTGTGATATCAGTCAGTAGGGAAGATCAACAGGAAAGAATGTTTCCAATAATGATGGCTAAGTTACTG
Source organism: Homo sapiens (assembly GCF_000001405.40). Classification (NCBI taxonomy): domain Eukaryota; kingdom Metazoa; phylum Chordata; class Mammalia; order Primates; family Hominidae; genus Homo; species Homo sapiens. Next base: position 128,407,659 of record NC_000010.11, on the reverse strand, counting down.
GGATCTATAACTCAGATTCCTGAGTACTGCCATTGAAAACAATGAAAAATGATTGCCAAACAGACATCCCCTAAAAAGCAGAGAAGAACTGAAATAGTAGTAGGGAGCTCCCAGGTCATATTCTGGAATTAGAATCTTAAATGACCCTGAGGACATTTCTGGAGTCCACTCTCTTGGGCTTGGGCAGCTCTTGAGGATGATGTGATGAAAATCAATGAACCCTTTCATTTCTTCATTCCTGGGGATGAATAGAGGAGATTCCCTTGGGACTGAGCAGAGGAGAAGAAGACAGACAGAAAAAGTGTCCTGTCACTCAGAGACTGTGGCCCCAAGGCAGTGATGGTGCATAGCTGTGTCCCAGGTCTATACAGCTTGGGTGGCCAGGGAGGCTCCAGGTAAGAACATGGATTGAGTTGGACCCACAGATGCTGGTACCAGGAGAAACAACTGCAGAGCCTCTCCAAGGAGGGCCCAGTAGTATAGTTTTCTTAGGGTTAACGTTCACAGGACCACATAGAGTCACTAAAAAAAAATCAAATTAGTTAGTGTTGGAATCACCAGATAGGCAAGATAACTTCACTGTGCCTGTTATGGTTAAAGAAATAAAGGACAAATTTTAAAAATGGGAAAGGGAAAACAATAAGAAGTGACATTAGCAGATCTGAAAAAGGACCACATAGTGTCTAGAAGTGAAAAATACATTAACTGAAAGTTTAATAAAATCAATATACATATGTGACTGCAGGATGGACTAAGTAGAGAGAAAATTATTGGACAAACTATTGAATTCAACAATTGAACAAATGATTGAACAACACTGATCAAAAAAAAGAGAGAAAAGATAAATTCAGCTCAGACAAGGGTGGACAAATCAGAAGAGATGGTCTGGAGTATGGGAAGATAGCAAGCGTGCCCACCGCGCATGATTGATAGGAGTCCTGGAAAGAGAGGGGAAATGCAGAATTGGAAAAATGTGAAGAGATCAGGACTAATAATTGTCCAAAATCAAAACCAGTGGCAGGCACTAATACACGAACTCAAGAAGTCAAGATAATCCCAAGCAGGAAAAATGAGAAGAAAGACCTAGGAAAACCAAGTGAGGCTGCTGAAAAGTGAAGATAATAAAAATATTTTAAAAGAAACTACAGGAAAGATCTTCCCCTTTTGGAAATCCTTCAGTGTAGGAATGAATTTCTGGGAAAATAGGAATCACAGTAATAATTATGTCCAGTAGGGCAGATAAAGAACAAGAGAACTAAACTATCGAAGAGGTGATAGTGATTGGTTAAAATACCCCAAGTCTTTTGTATTACTTTGGTGTAGGAAAAAGACTGTGATTAACTTTAAACTTTAATAAATTGTTTGCATATTGTAATTTCCAGGGTAACCCCTAAAAAAATGGAATCTGAGAGGCTCTCAAACTTGAAAGAAGAAAAACAATGAAATAATTAAAACAAACAAACGAACAAAATCCCTCCAATCCAATCCAATCCAGGACAAAGAAAGGAAAGAAAAAGATGGAGAGGGAGAGGATACATACGCACAAAATAATGTGGTAAAATTAAACTTAAATATAGCAGTGAATGTGAACTGCAAAATTTTCCCTTTCTTTCTGGAATTCTAGGATTTGCGGCATTCATGGCTTAACTCTGGGCAAAGATGCCAGCTATTACCAAGAAAACGCCTGTTTCCTTCTTTTTTCCTCCTCCTAAGCTCCAGGAATCGCAGAGAACCATAAGAAGCCACAAATCCCAAGTCTGGAGGCCATGTTCATGGAGAAGCCTGGGGAGAGAGGCCGAGGAGAAACTGCAGAGGGGGTAATTGGCTTGCAAATGTTTAAAGATGGAGAAAAAGTTGGTGTTTGGGTGAGGCTGGTGGAGGCCGGTGTTTCAGGCTCTGTTTCCGAAGAAACGGACTTAAGACATTGGGCACTGCAGGCAGGGGGGTGACCTGGGCACCAGACAGAGGGAGGAGGTGAACTGTGATGCGGCTGCAACAGGGGCCACAGAGGAGGCCACGGGTCACTTGAGCTGTCCTAGACCGAAGCCAGGGGCCCCTCAGTGGCCAGCCTGTGGACATGGGCTGCCCCTGAAGAGGGGCTTAACCTCGGGCAAGGCAGCTTTCTGCTGCCAAGGGCAGTTCCTGGAGATTCAGTGAAGCGTCAAGCCAACACTTCTAGAAGCTGGAGAAATGGGAGCCTTCATTATGAAGGGGAACCTGGGCACCTGGGTGGTATGAAGGGGAACCTGGGCACCTGGGTGGTATGAAGGGGAAGCTGGGCACGTGGGTGGTTTACCGTAGGGTCCACTTCTAGGGAGATGGAAGTCAAGCTCACCCCAGTCACTTCCAGGCAGATCTGATTCAGACCCCCGGCTTGGAGTGAGTCGGGCGCTTCACCTGCCTTCCTTTCTCACCTGCGCCTCCATTTTCCCTGTTGTCCATTGCCAAAGTCAAGCCGTGCCAGTGCTGTCCGGTCCCACTTCAGCCTCCACTTTTCCTGTCTACGACTCTGCGGAGCATCACACTGCTCATCTTGGAGGGCGCCGTTCACACTGTGGGCCACATCAACTCCCGCCCTGATGTTGTGCAGCTTACACATCACACCGCTGTGCGAGGGGGTCCTGTTGACCTGGGACCTCTAATACAGTCAGCTGGGAGAGCTGCCCCAGTTCTCAAAAATACTCCCATATAAGCTATAGTCCCGTCAACTTCTCCAGAGCAGGTTTCTCAACATATCTTCAAATGAGACTTTTTCCTCCAACAGCCCCTTCGGATGGGGCTCTCTGAGAGAATCTAAACCCAAACAAATAATTAAAATGCTTTTGTTTAGGTTTAGGTTGTTTCTTTCAAGACTAACTGCAAAGTTTGTAGCAGGAAAGGGATCAGACATCCGGAAACCATGATATAGGGGATTGTCAGCACTAAAAAGAAGGAACATCAGCGCTCTCCTCTGTGTGCTCCTGATGGGAGGTGGTGTGGGTACAGGGAGGCTCCCAGGGAATCCCACTGAAAGACCCGGGACCAGAGGCCAGCCCTGACTCCTCCACCTTCTCCTTCTGCCCGTGGCTGGTCAATCTCTCTTCCAAACAAGCAAACTCTCTTAGCAAATGCGTCCTTTTCCCTAGACTTTGAAGTTGATCGGACATTTGTCACTCAGCTGATCACAGAGTGAAAGGACTAGAAGGCCCAGCACCATCTCCCCAACTTCCTGGGAAAAATCACCACACATTCTCTGCAGAAGGTCTGGACGCTACACCCAGGAACGTTTCCTGCAGAAAGCCTGGCCCAGGGAGAATCAAACAAACTGGTAAAATTTAAAAAATTAAATTATTTGTGGAACATAGAAGGAAATACCTGCTGTTTCTTTTATCTTTTGTTTATCATAATTAATGTGTTTAACTCATGCAATGGGCAGATGCATGGAAAAAATAGCTGAGAAAATAATGAATATGTTTTATTAAAAAGTTCAGATAAAGTTGAAAAAATTTGAGGGTTAATTAATCACAATAGTATCCAGTTACATAAAAGCATAGAGACACATGCATTGAATTCAGTTTTAAAACAACTAGCAAGATATCTTGTTACTGCCCAAATTCTTTCCCATGGTCTTCTTGGGGTAACATTGTAGTCCCATTTCTTATATGTTACATTCAATCTGGAAGATGTTATAAACTGAAAATCCTAAAAACCAACTTGTTCATGATTCCTTTTACATATATTAAAATGTAAATTATATTATCTCTATAAATCTGACATTATTAGAATTGCATACAATGAGATTTCTGGTTTCAAATAATATTTTTTCATAATGTGTAAGGCCAATTCACAGATATATCCTAGGAGTTTTGTCAGTTACTTGAGCATTTAATTTTTTATTCTGTTGTCATTTGGCTGAACATCTAAAAAGTTAATTTTGCAATATAAAAACCTCTCTTTTACTGTGGTAATTCCCCATCAAAAGCCATTTCTATGGAATAAAACTATAGTTTCTGAAGTGATTGTTTCTCTTACTGAAGCCAGTGGAATTCCCAGGGGTTTCTCAAACATACCTTTGGGACTTATCCATGGCTCTTTTTCCTATAGAAACATAATTGAATTCTGATGCCAAAACTTAAAGAAATAATATACTTCAAATGAACAGTCCTCTTATGCAACCCAAGTTTTATTTGCCTTTAAGAAAAAAAACAGAGGCCGGGCGCGGTGGCTCACGCCTGTAATCCCAGCACTTTGGGAGGCCGAGGCGGGCGGATCACGAGGTCAGGAGATCGAGACCATCCTGGCTAACACGGTGAAACCCCGTCTCTACTAAAAATACAAAAAAATTAGCCGGGCGTGGTAGCGGGCGGCTGTAGTCCCAGCTACTCGGGAGGCTGAGGCAGGAGAATGGCGTGAACCCGGGAGGCGGAGCTTGCAGTGAGCCGAGATCGCGCCACTGCACTCCAGCCTGGGCGACAGAGCGAGACTCCGTCTCAAAAAAAAAAAAACAAAAAAAAAAACAGAACATTTACACACACACACACACACACACACACTTATATTGGGTAGTTATTGTGTTTTTAAGTGGCATAACTTGATGTGTGTGTCTTGGCACCTGTCCTGGACAGATACTAAGGTGGCCCCGTGACCCTCCATCATGGAGTCTGCACCCTTGTTTAGTGCCCCACTCCCACCCGGAAGTGTAGGTGGGACCAGTGACTTGATTCTAACCAACAGAAAATGGCAGAATGACAAGTTGCATGTGACTACCTTACATAAGATTGTGACATCTGCCTCACTAGCAGACCTTCTCTTTGCAGGCTTTGAAGAAGCAAGTCAGTCACCATGTTGTGAGCTGCCCTATGCAGAGGCCACATCGCAGGAGTGGAGGCTGATGTCCAGCCAATAGCCAGCCAAAAACTTGGCCTCCCCATCTTTGATCTGCAAGGAAATGAACATCACCAACAAACACATGGTTCTGGAAGCAGATCTTCCCCAGTTGTGCCTTCAGATGAGAATACAGCCCTGATACCAATACTATAATTAACGCCTTGCAGAGGACACAGCTAAGCCATGCTCAGGCTTTCGACTGATAGAAACTGAGATATTAATATGTCACTTTAGGCTGCTAAGTTTGTGATAATACTGTTACACTAATAACTAACATAGGATTCATACACTGTTGGACAAACCTCCTACCTTCTCTACACTGGCAGCTGAAACAATCAGTCATTGGGCTGGCCTTTCCCTAAGTTCCATTCCTCTTCAAGCCCCTTGTTCTGTTCTTGTTGCTGACAAAGGCCAAGCCCCCAGCCCTTGCTGCCTGAGCTCTCTGCTCCTCAGTAGTCTAAGAAAATTCTGAACTCCCTGGCATGGCCCCAGGGGCCCTGTGATCAGGAGAATGCCAGCTCTCTTCTTCTGTCTCTGCTTCTTTCACTGGACATGACCACACATTCACACCTCCACACCTCCACAGCTTTGCCTTTGCTGGTTCCCCTTCTTTGAGTGTACTCTATATTTGCTCCATTTCTATTTCTATATGGGCCCCACAGAAACCTTCAGGGATGACCATCGTTATCCTCAGTTTGAACATGAGAAAATTGGGGTCCCATGAGTTGCCCAGGTCCATGCCAGTCAGGGACCATATCAGGACTAGAATGCAAACTTTCCAAAACCAGATCCTTCTCTTATTCCACCTCTTCCTTCTCTGAGAACGATTCAGTATTCTCTTACTGGTTAAGCTTCTATGGTGGGCCTGGCCATGAGCAAGCCTCTGGCCTGGAGAGGTTTGCAGACAGGGATTGTGCTTTGTCTGCTCTTTGTCCTCACCCTCACCCTCCTCCTGCTCCATGCCCAGGAGGTGGACAGGTCTGGGTGCATCATATGGCTTCTTTACCCTTTAGCTTTACCCTTCAGCTTGGGGTTTAGTCAATGAGGGGCACTGGCAGGAGATTCCAAGGATGAAGTGGCGCCAGGTGTGATTGCCCCTCCAGCAACCTCCCTATCAGATGGCAGTTGTAACTGCCTCTCTCCACCAGCTGCCATAGCTGCTGCCAGGCAATGCTCTCTGGGGCTAGTGACCACTCTTCCCTGCCCTCCAAGGCCTAGTCATGCCCCTGGTGTTAGCAGCTCAGGGAGATCACACTCTCCCTTAAGATCTCCTCCTCATATCTTGACCACAATTGGTAAATAGTCCCCTTACTAAACTCTGCTCAAATACCCCAGATTGAATGGGTCCCCTGTTTCCTGCCAAGTTCTAACTGCTACAAAAAGACTCTGCAGGGCTGGCCCAGGAATCTGCCACTGTCTAGAAGATGGCTTGGGACCCACAGTGTCATTCCAGAAACAGCAGCAGCCACTTCCCAGAGGAACCCTGGTTGCCACTGAGAGCGCTTCCTGTCTCCAGTACTCTCTCCAACCACCACCCAGCCATGGGGCTGCCTGGCTCAGTGCCATCTGCCTCCAGAACATCAGCATCTTCTCTAAGATGTGCCAAAACTCTCTGCACTGGTGCAGGACAGTCCTCAGCATGGTCACGTGCCCCATGGGTGCTTGCATAGTGTCTGCCTCATCCTCCACATAATAAGAGCTTCTACTTCTCCTAGATTATAAAAGAGTTGTTTCATTCATTATTATCTGCCTAAGTGTACTTAACATAACTCCAACTGATCCTGGGAAATATGATCATCAAGAAAAGCTTGTACGATAATTAAATGTAGTATTGAGAATGTCGTTAAAGTCAATGGCCCAGTCCATTAGCAGTTTAAACACATTTTACCTTAACGTGATTATATTCAATGAAATTCGGAAGATGTAAGACAAGCGAGAACATATATAGAGTCAGATACTGCATCTCCACTGTAATCAGATAGCCGGCTATGAAACACAGGTGGCTATATGGCAGAACTCCAACAGCAAGCCACAAGCAGCAAACCCCAAGCTCGGGCAAGCTTTCCCACACGTACAACAAATAATTTTAAATAAACTCAAGTAGATTCAACAAACACAGTGATTCCTATTGCTCTGTAAAGACACCTGTTCTCTGAATCACTGGTTAGAAAGCCAAATGCTGATTCTCAGCTATGACGGAAAAGGATTTGACTTGATGGAATGGATTTAGGTTCAAGGGGCTCCTTCAAGAGGCCAGACAGCCTTTGGCTGGAGTCCCTGTCATTGGCAATGCGGTCTTGGGTGCCCAAAGACTCTAGAAGCATCGCATCAGCCTTATATGCTGGAATTAGCAGGTATGACCACAAGAGCAAGGAGACACTGCCCTTGCCTTACTCAGATCCTGATGAGTCTCTCCAGATGGTGGGGAATGGCTTTAAGCCTCAATGGATGAGTGTGTTCTTGGGAAGTGATAGGCTCTTCCTGCAGAACAGGATAGTCATGAGCATGGCCTGGTTTCAAAGGAGAGCTGTGCTCATCCTAATCCAGGCGACATTCTCCCACAATTTTATGACCCATTCCTTGGAAATAAACGGTCCAGTTTGCCATTCTCCTAGGCAATCAGGGAAGGAAAAAACGAATTTCAGAATAGTCTGTGACTTTGACTAAGCCCATTTTATCAAGTGTTCCTCACTTCCATGGGTTGGAGGCTCTGCTAGACTACATGGGCACAGCTAGATTATATTTTCCGGCTTCTCTTATACTTTGCTGCAGCCATGGGAATATGTCCTCTGCCATGGAACATGCACAGACATGAGCAATGCCTGAGCTGGACATAGGAACGCCTGCTCTTCAGCCCTTGGCTCCTTCCAAGTAACCGTAGCATCCATGTGCAGCCCTGGAGCAGCCCAGGTAAAGACCCCACCCAGAGACCACGCATGAGGAGCCAGGGCACTCTCAGGACTGCTGCATGGGCAACAACTCAACTTCTGCTGTCCTCAGCTACCGAAATGTTGGTGCTTTGTTACTCCAGACTAGCTTCCTGGAACCCATGCAGCCTCTTTCGTGAAAGGCTGAGATGAAGAAGCTCACCTTACTTAGTTGAATGCATCATGAGGTGGGGACAAGTCTTTAGGGCCAGCCTTCCTGTCCCTGAAGCATGCCCTCAGCACCCACAGGGCTCCCTCAGGTTCCGTCAGCTGTGGGTCAAGTCCTGAGAACTATACAGACCCAACAGGGCCTGAGACACAAAGACATATAAGGGCCATCTCTGACCCTCAAGGAGCCCCCAGATGAAAGTGCATTGGGCTGTGGGGCCCTACTTTTTCTCCCCCTGCATGAGGTCTATTGTCTTGTGCACCTGCTCTCGGTACCCAGTGCCCCATAGGCAGGCATTCAAATAATGGTGCTGTAGTGACAGGCATCAGCTTAGCAGGAAACACATCCACACACCTTAGCTTCTCACCAACCTGGGCATGGGTCCCCGGCCCCACTGACTTAACTTGCCTCCCTGTGTTGCCCTTGCTGGTTGAATGTCTTTCCCCCTGTGGATGTCAGCAGGCTTCTCCTCTTCCTTCTTGGAAGATGATGAGCTTGCACTTTCCCACATTCTCAAGTACCCTTGGCCACATGACTTACTTTGGCCAATGACATGCAGGTAGAAGGGATGTATGTCTCTTCCAGGCTGCAACATTTAAGAGCCAATGTCTGTTCTGCTTCTTCCTTTTCCCTGATCCAACACCAGTTTAAGGATTCCATCAGCCCAGACCCCTGTGTGGATCAGAGCTCACCCACACCGCACAGACATGTCCTCAGATGGAGGAATAACCTTGACATTTCAAGCCACTGAAATTGTGCAGGCTTGTTTCTGCAGCAAAGCCTGGCTTACCCTGGCCCAATTCTTACCTTCAGGGACCATTTACCCTGACTCTGAACCACATAAGCACAGTGGGGTTGCTTCTCTTTCTCTTTTTAGAGTATTTTCACGTATGTTTACAAATTGCATGCTAGGTATTTATTTACAGTCTCTCTCTCCTGCCTTTATTCATCTTTTTATCCCCAGGACCTGGGGCCCAGTTTGGGATATGATAGGCACTTTCCGAATTCATCTCAATTCCCAGATGAAGTAGGCCCTGGGGTGTAGCAGAGGCCACCTCTTAAAACACATCCAAAAGGTTTGTCTTGCTCTCTGGCATAAGCCTTGGGGACATTCTAATTCTGGAACGAAATGTCAAGGTGTTTGTGATTCAAGTTACAGGTCTGATGTGCTTCTGTCTGTGCCATGAGCACAGTGGAAAATGGAGATTCGAGGAAAATACAATCCTACCCAAGTGAAAAGGTGGAAATGGCAAGAAGGCAGGCTTTCAAATGCGCCGTGATAAGCCTGAGCAATTGCACGTCTCCTGCAAGCTGGCAGCAGCTGAGCGCTTGGACTCCTTGGGTCTCTCTCAGCGCCAAGCACTTGCGCCCTGGGCAGTGTGCTGTGGCATGACATTATTCTCTGTGACAGGGACACTGAGGAATGAGGAACATTTCCCACATGGAAGGCTGCGTGAGTGGAAAGGCTGTGAGCAGCTGTGAGCATCAGGTAAAGACTCTGTACTCAGAAAACTGAAGCCTAAAAGCTGAGGTCACTTTCAGATATGGAAGGATCCAGATCTTTTTCCAGATCTGCCAGAAGGCACCCCCAGCCACTTTGGACAATAGACTCATTTATACACACAGGGGGAAGTCTAATAAGGCTTAGGGTACAGATTCAACCACACGCACCCTGGTCAGCTGTAGACAAAATCGAGAGGCATGTGGCTGCCTGCTTGGGTGAGCATCTGAGGGCTAAGTCCAGTCCTGCAGGACTCAAGGCTCAGGCCTCAGGTCCCTGCAATGCCCAGGTGACAAGAGCTCCTCAGAAGGCCAACCCCAGCTGAAGTCGTGAGCCCCCAGCCAGGTCTTGATCTACCACCGTGTCACGGTCAGGGGTGAGGTGTCACATCTCATTTCTTGCTAACAGTAGTGTGCCAGTGTGACATTTTATTGTCTTAATGGCTGGCCACAGATGAGTGAGGGTACTGTGTGTGCTGATGAGAAGGCTTGATATGTCCCTTGAGGGGAGAGAGGTGAGACCCAAGGTATTAGGAGAGAGAGTAGGGAGGGGGGAGAAGAAGGCAGAAGGGAGACAGCTGTGTTCAGAATAGCGAGGCCATCGGAACTGAAATGCTCCAGGGAAGGAGAAACAGGGATGGGATGGAGTGACCAACAGTGCTGAAGCTCCGGGGCCCCAGATCTGGAATTTGCACAGCTCTCCTGGCTTCCACAGGCCGTGGAATGGAAATGAGTTTGGGCCAGTGCTGTTTATATCACAAAGGGTGGTGAGCCCCCTGTTGATATAAGATTACAGTAGTTAACGTTAGAATATAATGCATTATTCCTATTGTTTAAGTTAGAAATAGTTCAAGTTTCAGCTTGCAATGGAGAAGTGACTGTGGCTCATGAAATCTCGTCGGGGAGGATTTTTTTGGAGGTGGGGTAGTCAAGGCACTGTCAACTTTCTAGGAATGCGCCACATGGCCGCTTCCACTGAGTGACTGTTAGTTCCCTCACAGATGGGACCGGATCTCCACCAACATGGGAACTGCATCTTCTTTAAAATGCCCAGGTTCCTAGGAAAGACCTAAGAAAAGAAGTCAATGGCACGTTTGCCAACTTTTTCTTTTGTCAAGAACATTATGAGAAAAATAGTCATCATTATTTAAAAAAATGTTAACAGCAAAAAAGAAAATAAAAGATCTTACTCTCAGGTAAAGGACAACCCTTTACATTGAATCCATTGAGCTTTGTCAAAGACTCACAGGTTGTTTCTTATTTTCTTGTTTTTCTAGATTTCTTCTATGGGAACTGTCACAGGTCTGAAAATAGGCATCTGTAACCATGCAGCCTACCTTGGGACTCACAGGTGGGTTTGCTACAGGTGGTCAGAAAGACAGGGAAGCATCTGACCGGGATGTTTAGAAAGAGAACTCAAATTAGAGGGGCTGCCTTCACTGACTACCAGAGGGAGTGCAGAACTTCACATTGGGCACCTTGGATACACTTGTTCAATTTCTTTTTGTAGGAAAAACAAATACAAAGACAGGCCAATTTCATCATTCTAAGACAAGTAGGGCTGTCAAAGAATTTTAGGGTCGCTGTCCCCTCTGAGGGACTCGCCTCTGCAGCCCTGGTTTTGGGACCATGCAATCGAAAAAGGGATCATCCAGCTTGGCAGCCCATCCAGGTTCCAGGTCTCCCACCGGTCTCCACCCTCACTTCTTCACCACCCATTCGATGAGCGCTGATTCAGACATCATCTCAAGAGGCCTGGTGCAGCTTGGAAAGCTTTGGTAAAGTGTACTTCCTGCCACCTGCAGAAAATCAGTTACCTTGACTACCAAATTCTCCTTCCCAAAAAGGAGTGCTGGTAACCACATGTATTCTCCCCAGGGTTTTGCATCCCAGCATCCACTTCCCCAAGGCGACTTTTCTAGTAGCACCTCTTAACCTTGGATCGACCTTGGGCTTAACCGGGGATCTTACTGACAGCAGATTCCAGTGCAGTGGGTCTGGGGGGCCTGGAATTCAGAATTTCTAATAAGCTTCCAGGTGGTGACGTTGTTAGTCCACAAGTCACATTTTCAACATCTCAAATCTAGAGCACACCACCCCTCAATCAGAAATCTCCTCAGTCTCAGGTTATCTTCTACCAAGCACTTCTTTAATAGCTCCGCTGCACCAGCTTGACTTGGGTATACATGTGACCCCGCAGTGTACCATGAAGATCCCGATGTGACCAGACCATGTTTCGATCCTATTTCTTGTCTGCCTTACATGTAACTAGGACCATGTGGGTACCACAAAGACCTTCAGATATGATGCCTGCCTTCTCTCTGTAAAACACTCTAAAGAAAATCTAGCATCCGTTAACAAGGGTAGATGTGAGAATGATGGAGAGTAATTTATATTTTTGTATATTTCTTAGAGTAATGGGATCTTTTTGCAGAATATTTTACTTACTTCATGCATATTTAAAGTATTACATTGTTAACACAAATACAGATCTTTATAATGTGTGTTCATTGTGGAAACTTTGAACAATACAGAGATATAAAGAACTAATTTTGGCCAGGCATGGTAGCTCATGCCTGTAATCCCAAAACTTTGGGAGGCTGAGGTGGGCAGATCACAAGGTCAGGAGTTTGAGACCAGCCTGGCCAATATGGTGAAACCCCATCTCTACTAAAAATGCAAAAATTAGCCTGGCGTAGTGGTGCGCACCTATAGTCCCAGCTACTCGGGAGATTGAGGCAGAAGAACCCAGGAACCTGGGTGAACCTGGGAGGCAGGGGTTGCAGTGAGTTGAGGTCACGCCATTGCACTCCAGCCTGGGCGACAGAGTGAGATTCCATCTCAAAAAAAAATCAATTTTTATGAGGGTATAATTTTACCACTCTTCTCTTTCCCATGCATGTCTGTCTTGAGGTCACAGAATACATAGTTTTATATTCCTTTTTGCTTAACATTTTATAAGTATCATTGTCCTATTAGAAACTCAGTAAACCTCATTTTTGATTACCACATAATACTCCATTACACTTTAATGGTTGCCTTTTACTGAACATTTATATTGTTTCTTTTAGTGGAGGGGGATTAGTGCTACAATGCATTTCTTTTTATGTATATCCTTCTTTATATTTTCATTCAGTTCACCATGTTCGAGCATCTAATATGTGTTAGGCACTGATCATTTTCTTAGGATGGCTTCATAGAATAGAAAATATTGGGTTAAATGGTAAAGCAATGCATGTGTCAAATTGCTCTCTAGAAAGTTTGTGACAATTTAACCCTCCCAATGATAGCCCAGAGAGAGCCTGGCTCAGCCCCAAAACCTCAGCAGCATGGAATTTTGTGAATTTTTATACTTTAAAAGCATTTTCAAAGCAGATATTCACACACTTTGTCAATGACTGTATCTGTCCTTAGCCCAATTAATGATTCACAAATCGTCTGTCCTGTCCTCCGAAGCAGAAAGCTCCTGCGTCCTCACTCTGGCACTACTGGAAGCAAGGTCTTGAGCCAGTAATAAATGAGTAAAGGGAGAAAAACCTAGAATCTTGTAATTGATTATTTAGCGCAAAAGAGGAAGAAAATGATCACAGGTGGTGATGGCAGATGTGACAGCCCGGGATACTTGGCAAAATATGGCGCACATTTGATTATGGGTACGGCAGCTTCTAAGGTGTTGATTGTCCAAGCAAAACTCTTTTGTCCCTCCATAGCAATGAATTATGTAATATTTTATTTTCTCCATTTACTTTCTACTCTCTCTTCTAAATACTTAAATCAGTGACATCCATAGCAGATGCTGTGTGAAATTAGATGCCTAAGAGAGGCTATAAAATTCTCTCAATAAACAATGCCAGCAATTAAATGTTTCAAAAGAGACTATCACTGTCATATCTCAAAATGGATGCGTGACCACTTGAAAGGCAGCAACCATAGATCTGAAGTCTGGCAAGGAGCTCAAATCAACTGTCATATTAGGCACCAATTCAAAACGTCATTATTATTATTATTATTATCATTGTCATTTGTAATTAATGCATACTAATTACTTTCCGACTTTCTGCATCAAAAATAAAAATCCCTTCTCTTCTCTCCTGGAGTCTCGAGGTTACTCCCTGACAATCTGATTTGATAATGAATGTCTCCTAACAGAAAAGGTAACATGTTCACCAGCCTGGCTCCAGGACAATCCTACCACTCTTAAGATCATCTCCCTGGTGCTGAGGTTTGGGAAGACTTTGGCTCTGGGAAAGAAAGTCAGAAAATTGCTATTATGCTTCTAATACATCAAAGACGACTTCATTTGCATTTCACCACTACAATAAGGATGAATAGGCAAATGGTGAACAACCTGCAGCCCAGCTGAGTTGAAAGGCAGAAAAATATTCCGCTTTGAAGCAAGAAGACAGATTGGGCCATTCCAGCAAGGACGTTAGACTGTCTACATCTCAGCCATACCAATAGAATAGCAACGAAGGTTCCAAACTGAAAGTCCTAGCCAGCCCCACCCTTGCACATATTGTTATGACTTGTCTCTCACCCAGAAAAACCTGTGTCTCACCAATGAGATATTTTCATCCCCAGTGACCTCTTGGGGTTAAGAGTGGGGAAAGTAGAACTATATTAACCCCTCCAGCAAAATCAGCCAGAGGAGAGAAAGAGAAATTCAAAACAATAAAAATACAAACAAAATAATCACACACGTGCACATACAAGCACAACAGAGAGGAAGTGACATGAAACCATGTGCAAGGCATACTCTTGCAAATTGTTCTGTTGATGGGAGGAATCTACTTCTTTCCCTGCATCTGTTTCATGCTTGTTGCATGCATCATATTTAACTTGAATTCTCCCAATACTCAAAGCTTCAAGATAAGGTCATTAGTGTTCATTTTCTGGCAAAAGAACTGAATGAGGTACTGGGGGCTGATATGGCTAGGGAGAAGTTGAGCCTAGCTCTCTCGCGTCTCACTGTGTAGGTACATTTGCCTAGACCACACAGTGCCTCTCTGTTATTCGACATTCACCTCTCACCTGCCGCACTGGCTTTATCTCATGCGTAATGTAAGTTGTGCTATTTAAAGCTAGCCCTCAAGATGAGAGGTTGGTTGTGCCAGGTGGCTATACTGTCATGGGATTGAGACTTGGATTCTTTTTTTTTTTTTTTTTTTTTTTTTTTTTGAGATGCAGTCTCACTCTGTCACCCAGTCTGGAGTGCAGTGGTGCAATCTCTGCTCATTGCAAGCTCCGCCTCCCAGGTTCACGCCATTCTCCTGCCTCAGCCTCCCATGTAGCTGGAACTACAGGCACCCGCCACCACGCCCCAGCTAATTTTTTGTATTTTTAGTAGAGATTGGGTTTCACCATATTAGCCAGGATAGTCTCAATCTCCTGACCTTGTGATCCGCCTGCCTTGGCCTCCCAAGAGCCTTGGCTTCTTACCAGCCATCTTTATACTTATCTGGGGCACAGCCAAGCTCTTTCATGAGCATGTTGCCACTAATACTAGGTATGGGGTGATGACTAAAAGTGCAATCACATCACTAGTGCAAAGCCCAGACTACTGGTGGTGGGTGAGGAACATCTACTTCATAACCAGTGTTTAACTTAAATCCTAAAATATGTGAAATGGGAAAAAATATGGTGATCAGTGACTGCCTAAACTCCAGCTTCCTCTGCATTAGGTAGAACTCTTCTGGTTGCAAACAACAGAACACACAGTGAAAACTGGCTTAAGCCTAAGCAAGGAACAATTGTTTTCTGTAGCCACATAGTACATAGGTACATTTGGGCTCCTGGTTTGGCCAGCCCATGACTTAGCCGATGCCACCAGGGTGTCTCTCTCAGCTCTTCTTCCCTGGCTTTGTTCTCAGCTTCCCTGCAGGGTTCCTGTAGGCTTCAAGACCATATCCTCAGAACACAGAGCACCCTGACCTCTACCAATACCTCAACAAAGGTTCCATGAGTAAATCTTTTTGGCCCCATCAGCATGAGTTGATTTATGAGCCTGTCTCTAAGCTAATTACTAAAGCCAAGGGGATTGGATGTGTTGCTTGGCTTAGCCTTGGACACAGATTTCACCCACATACATTGGCTGTTTTGGTGGGCACATTTACGTAGAGGAGAGTTGGAGATGTGGTGATCAGAAAGACGATAAGAGGATGCTGGGAGGCAAAACCAACAGGACTAGAGAAGTATGTTTGTGATTTCAGGTCAACAGAGCTGGGGCTATGGTGAAAATTCAAATCATGACAAATGCAAATGATAACATAGGCACTGGCCATGCCTCCACCTCTTGTAAATAGTCCCTTTATTAACTTCCCAGATTATCCAGTTTGAGTATTAATATGGTTTGGCTCTGTGTCCCCACCCAAATCTCATGTTGAATTATAATCTCTGGTGTTGCAGGTGGGGCCGGGTGAGAGGTGATTAGATTATGGGGTGGTTTCTAATGGTTTAGAATAATTCCCCTAGTGCTGGCTCATGATAGGGTTCTCATGAGACCTGGTTGTTTAAAAGTGTGTAGCACCTCCCCCTTGCTCTCTTCCTCCTGCTCCCACCATGTAAGACATGCTTGCTCCCTCTTCACCCTCACCATAATTGTAAGTTTCCTGAGGCCTCCCCAGAAGTAGAAGCCTGTATATCCAGCAGAACCATAAGCTAACTAAATCTCTTTTACTTCTAAATTACCCAGTCTCAGGTATGTCTTTACAGCAGTGAAAGAACAGACTAATGCCAGTATGCAATATATTTCTTGCCAGCACCTTGACTTATAACTCCAGGTAAGGCAAAAATTCTTCCAAAATATTCTTTGTGTATTTGGGCATCTTATGTAGGTTTCCAAGTGGTGCTGAAAACACCCTGCTTCACTGTCCTCAGGGAGTGTCTCATCCCTTGGCTCACTCCCGGCCAACACCACCTTCCAGATGGACCCCACCCCTCATCTCTGACCATCGTTCCTGAAACCCAGGCCTAAAGAGTTAAGGCACCCAGTATAATCTCAACACTTACTAGACATCCTATTCCCCCTTTCACCCTGGACATACACACACACCCCTTACATATACTCATATTAAATTAATTGTGAGACAAGGCCAAGTGTTGGCAAAGATACGGAGCAATGGGAGCTACTAATATACTACTGGTGGGAGTGTAAATTAGTTCAACCACTTTTAAAAAGGGCTTGGCACGATCTACTAAAGCTAAACATACACCCACCCTATGACCCGGTAATTCCACACCTAGACATATCCAAGAAAAATGAGTTGACATGTCCAAAAAGGACAAGGATAGTTATAGCAGCCCTGTTTGTCATAGCCCCAAACTGGAAACAATCCAGACGTCCATCAACAGGAATACAAATAAACAAACCGTGGAACTGAATGGAAAACGGGCTGCTGATACATGTAACAAGCCTGAGTCTCTGTTACTACGTTATTATGTTGAGGGAAAGAAGCCAAGCACAAAATAGTGCATATGGCATGATTCTATTTATATAAAAGTAAAGAACAAGAAAAACTAATGGAAGATGAAAGAACTCAGGATAGTGGCTCCCTTGGGGAGGGTTGTATTGAATAAGAGGGGAATGGAGGAAACCTCTAGGGGCTGGAAATGCTGTATATCTTGATCAGAGTGTACATAGAGATAAAATTTTATCAGACTGTGCATTGAAGATTAGTAATAGCCTTTACACATTCTATTGTATGTATTACACCTCAATAACAAATTAAAATTCAGAATGAGTTTTATGGACTACAACAAGGTGAAACACAAATGTCCATTGACATCAGATGTCTGCATGATTCTAAATATGGTTGTTTATCAACATGTTTAATTCAAAACCATAATAATAAATGGCTATTTTTTTAACAGAAACAGCACAGGCAGCAGGTAACCAACAAAAGCTCAGAGCGATGGTTATAATAATTAGCAATTCATTTGCTACATTTTTATTGCCAGCCCAGTCTCTTTTTCAGATTAATTCCCCAAACTGTACAAGATTATAAACACAACTCATGGGAAAATGAGTCATTTTGAGACCCACAGGCAGAAGTGCCGCGGCACAGTTATCAGAAGGACCCAGAGGCAGTCCTCTGTAATGGAAGAGTTTAGTTCTGATGTGGATACACAGGTTGGAGTAAAAAAGCAGTAAGTGGTCACATTAAGTAGACTTCCCTGGAAGAGAAGGGATTTTTTTTTCAAGCCTAGAGAAAGTTTCTCTAGGTATCTTTGATGTAACTGTACTATTTTTGACAAGTAAAAAATTGACCTAGGCTAAGTCCTTGTGACTTCCACTTTTACAGAAGCACTCTAAGCTACTTTCCAGCTGTCTACATCTAAAGCAAGAGATCGATGTGGTCATCTGCAATGCATTTATCTTGCAAAATTTATCTACAGTTTGGTGTGAAGGGTTTGAAGTAGACCACAACCTAGCAATGAAATGCCAGGATCTCAAGTTGGAAACCATTCTCTAGGTCCAGGGCAACCTAGCTGGTCAAATTTCTCCCCTAGCTGGTCCCCCAGAAACCTCCCAAGTGGATTCAGGGAAATTGTCTTGGGTCAAGATATAAACAACAAAAACCTGTGCTCTTATGAGAATGTGTGTAGGCAATTCATTGTGTTTCTACGTACTGAAAGACCAACCTGACTCCTCCACCCAGACTGCAAGGTCAGGATCTAATCCCCGCCTGCTTTTCTAACCGTGTTTCTACCTCCTCCCATGGGGGCCTCGGCTGTGGTGCCCTTTCCCACCCTTAACCCTCGCACCTTCTCTTCCCTCTGCCGGGAGAGTCCTTCCACTTCCCTTCCACCACCACCTCCTCAGCCTCATTCCACTTTCCTCAGAGACTCCTTCCCTGAACTCCTATCTGGAGCAAGTCTGCCTGGGTACTGCCTCTCACAACACGTTTCCTTGTCCTTTGTGGAACACATCATCATCTATGATTGTATAATGACTTATGTGCTCACCTTTCTACTCCCCAGCTAGACCATCAAAGACAGAACCTCATCTGTGCTTTCTGCCAAAGCATGTCCAAAGATGAGTACAGCAGGACTTCCAAATGCTAGCATGAATAAATATTTACAGACCAGTGTAGCTAAGACAAGAAAGAGAAGATTCCAGACATGCGATTACTGCTCCAGTCAGCTACCCACTCAAGGATGTACTCATTAAAATGATGCACATAAAAATCAGTTTGAAAATAAGTGTTAATCCTAAAACCCAATGCAGATGATGCTGTAGGAACAGGGACACTCATTTCTTGCTGACAGTGACAACAGCAGCAGGACAACACCTTTGCACCAAGAACAATTATTTGGCATCAGAAATAAACTCAAAACCGGCTGGGCATGGTGGCTCACACCTGTAATCCCAGCAGTTTGGGAGGCCAAGGTGTGTGGATCACCTGAGGTCAGGAGTTCAAGACCAGCCTGGGCAACATGGTGAAACCTCGTCTCTACTAAAAATACAAAAATTAGCCACATAGTGGCACATGCCTGTAATCCCAGCTACTCAGGAGGCCAAGGCACAAGAATCGCTTGAATCTGGGAGGGGGAGTTTACAGCGAGCCAAGACCGTGCCACTGCTTTCCAGCCTGGGCGACAGAGCAAGACTGTCTAAAAAAAAAAAAGAAAAGAAAAAGAAAGAAATTAACTCAAAATGAAAAAAAAAAACTCTTTTTACAAAGATATATATTTCTTATCTTTTCATAAAAACTGAAGATTAAAAATAACCTAAAATCTGCAGCAGAGGGAACTCTTAAATATATGTCAACTAGATCTACTTTTTGAAACTATTTAAAATTATGTATGTACATTATAGCCATCACAATTATTTTTATTATTTTCTCATGTTAAATGAGAAAGCATGCTACTCTGAGCAGATATGAATAAAAAGTGAATGGGAACACCAAAAATAAACATCTTTGTGTAAAAAAAACAAAGAAAAAACTATTGTCTAAATTATGCTTTAATATCATTTTAATAGTAAATAAGGTCAAACAACAATGAAAATTCTACCTAGACCTCCATATCCAAAGTTATTTGCTGTTGATGGTGACAGCCACTAGCAGCCCCTGACTCAGCCTCCCCCTCCCACCCTTCATGTCTCGTGTCTCGCCTCTTTCCTGGGGCATCCTCCTGCCTCCCACCTCCACTGCACTGTTCTGCTCCAGCAGAAAGAAGTCTCGCTTGGAGAGAAGCCAACACTGACGGATCCTTTAGATCCAGTGGCCTCAGAGACAGAGGTGGGCTTGCTTTCTCCTGCCTGAAGACCTGCCTGGGCAAATGGTTACCCCATCAAAAGAGACCCACATCTGGCTCTGCACAGCCTTGAAATTGAGGGTTTTACAGAAGGTCTTTGGAGGGTGCTTGGGAAGGGTGCCCTACCCCAACTCCTCAGGAGGAAGCTGCAGCTGAAGTTGAGGTGTCCGAGGGGCACCTGGGCTTTGGTGCTGAGGCTGAGCCTGTGCCAGACAAGAAACAATAATTCATTTTTTGTTATCCACCCAACCTATTGATTGACAGCTCCCTCAACATGGGTCGGGAGAAGACAATCTTGAAGTTCCGTCTTTGACTTATATACCAAAGTGTTCAGTGCTCTTTAAGCTATTCAAATGAAGATGAAGTTTACAGGTAAAAGACAGGCAAAAAGGAGGTGGAGAAAATGTACCAACACTCAGGTGACAGCAAATGACTGGTTGCTTCGTGTATCCCGTCCTTGTGCATCGTTTTACGAAGAGCTAAATAGATTAACCACGTGATTAGGAACAGCCAAGGTTGTCATATGTCCCTATTGTTACTGTCCTTAAAGTTTCATCAGAAACTTGACCGATCAAGTTTCCATCGTGTGTGCATGGGCACTGGCAGCCAGTTGGCGCTGCACTGACAGGTCCTCCCCAGGGTGCCACAAGCCCCCGACGTGACTTGCCATTCCTGGGCCATGCATCACTCCTGCTGGGAAATGCATCCCTCATCTCTCTGAAGCTTCCTGGAGGCTCATTTAGGCCTTGGCAGGATGGCGGGGACAGAGCAGCTGTTCTCTCTGACTCTTTCCCATCATTTGACCGGTTTTTAATCCGCAACAACGCTTCCAAAATTGAAAATGGAACCAGGTTGGATTCTCGAGCAGGGCCGACCAAGTGCAGGGCTGGCTGGGCACCGCATGGTGGGTGCCAGGACGAAGATGAATCTCCGCGATGCCCGGACTCCTGGCGAAGCAGAAGCCGGGCTGCCAGCCAGCGCCTGCATGTTCCTGGGCAAGGGATGCTTTATCCTGACAAACTCAGACATCCCATGACCCTCCCTGAGATCCCCTTGGTTCCCTCTCAGTCACCAACAGACTGTCTGGGAGGTTTCATTAATTTATGTGGAAGGCACTGATGTAGGAGACAAATTTTCATCAGGAGGCGGTGCCTGCCTGCCACCCTTGAGTTCCTTCTAATTTCTATTCATGTAAAATATTTCTCAAGATTTCCTCCAGGGATTTGGGCTTCGTTTTTAAAACTGTGATAAAACACATGTAACATAAAATTTACAATCTTACCATTTCTAGGTGTGCAGCAGTGGCATGAAGTACACGCTCAGTGCTGTGCAGCCAACACCACCATCCGTCTCCAAAACATTTTCATCTTTTAAAACAGAAACTTTGGCCCCATAAAACACACACTGTCCATTCCTCCCGCCCCCAACCCCTGACAACCATCATTCACAGAAACTCTGTCCCCGTGAAACCCAAACCGTCCATTCCTCCCACCCCTGACCCCTGACAACCACCATTCACAGAAACTCTGGCCCCATGAAACCCAAACTGTCCATTCCTCCCGTCCCCGGCCCCTGACAACCACCATTCCACTTCCTTTCTCTATAAATCTGACTCCTCTAGGAACTTGATTCAGGTGCAAGTACACAGTATTTGTGCTTTTGTGACTGGCTTATTTTACTGAGTATAAGGTCTTTAAGGTTCATGCAGGTTGTAGCATGTGTTGGCATTTCCTTCCTTTTTAAGGCTGAATCCCATTCCATTCCATGGATACACTATATTTTATTTATCCATTCATCCACTGATGGACACTCGGGTTGCTTCTACCTTTTGGTAATCGTGAATAATGCTGCTATAAACATGGGGGTGTGAGTACCTGTGCAAGTTCCTGCTTCCACTTCTTTTGCGTATATACCCACAAGTGAAATGGCTGAATCATATGGTAATTCTGGTTTTAATTTTCCATAGTGATGCACTGTTTGACATTCCCACCAACAGTGCACAAGGGTTCTAATGCTTCCGCGTTCTCACCAACACTTGTGATTTTGTTTTTTTGCTAGGAGCCATTCTAATGGATCTGAAGTGGTGTCTCATTGTGGTCAGACTCCTTTTTAAAAGTCAAAAACAAGGCCTGGCACGATGGTTCGTGCCTGTAATCCCAGCACTTTGGGAGACCGAGGCGGGCGGATCACGAGGTCAGGAGATCAAGACCATCCTGGCTAACACGGTGAAACCCCGTCTCTACTAAAAATACAAAAAAAATTAGCAGGGCGTGGTGGCGGGCGCCTGTAGTCCCAGCTACTCGGGAGGCTGAGGCAGGAGAATGGCGTGAACCCGGGAGGCGGAGCTTGCAGTGAGCCGAGATCGCGCCATTGCACTCCAGCCTGGGCTACAGAGCGAGACTCCGTCTCAAAAAAAAAAAAAAAAAGTCAAAAACAGAAGAATATGTACATGTTTCTGAGGCTCCTGTAGGCAGATTCCATCGGCCTCACGAAGACGTAAACCACACAACAACCTCAATAACAGCCACTGCCCCCTCTCCAGCAGCGCCTTGGGACCCAGCATTGGCATGGGCATCTTACGTAGACACTCCGTGTCCGGGGAGTGAGGGATGACTTGGTGACAGATGGAAGACTTGGCCACTGTGTGCTGAGGAGGTGAATGGATAGGGGAACAAAATGAGAAGAAAAAAAAAACGATATCTCAATAAGGCACAGGAAAAGAAGAAATGGAAGACAGAGGCTGTGGACAGATCCAGCCCTTTGGAGAGAAGCTCTGAAACTTTGATGGTCTCTCGGCGTGAACTTGCGGAGGGTCCTCCTCACTAATTAGCATCCCCGTGCATATGGAACACCAGGAGGACTGTTCAGCAGACCAGCCAGCCCTGCTAACTCAGCAAGTCATCTGGAACAGAAGCCAGCTCTGCAAAGCCGCACACTGAGCGCGGGTCATGGATCATCTTTTGCTAAGTAAGAACCGAAGAAGGCGTCCTGTTAATGAGATGCCCGCCACATGACAGACACTGAGCAATTAAACCAGGAGAGGCCAGAACACAGTAATTAAAAAGAACAGATGAAAATGGGAGAGTCACAGAGAGGGAGAGTCAAAAAATGGTATACCCAAACTCCTCAGAAATGGAGAACACCTTCAGGATTGCTAAAAGGGTTCAAGGGAATGTCCACTTCACAGGGTTTCACCACACGATTTTCTTGGACTTAAATTTTTTTCTGTCTGACTTGGCCTGGGCACTACTGGCTGATGTGTCTGTAGCACCCCTCCATTATTCCAGAACATTCCTTTCCTTTCTTGCATTCTTCCTGTTTGGATTGTTCTGTGCATGCAACACCTTGTTCTGCCTCCACCCTTTCCCCTGAGTGGACATGGCAGAGGCCACGGGCTCACATACACGGAGGAGCTGTGGCCCTTGCCCTAACGAGCTGTTCCTGCCCTGACCAGCCCAACCTTCTTCTTGTCACCGGCATGAGGATGTTGTGTTTCTCTATCACCCGGCATTCAGCTGTGTCCCTTTCCACAAGTCAATATGAAGAATGGATTTGATCCAAATGTCAGTGGTAGTTTCTTTCCCAGGCCCACTCTGAATTCCCCAACATGCCACATCCTTAGATAGCCTCTCCACTGTCAGCTGCGGCGGGGGCGGTCAATGCCCTTTGACTTCTATTCCCCAGGACTCAGGACCGGCTTCACAAATGCCCGACCTGAGCTGTTGCACAGGTTCCCACCTTCGAAAGCCAGAAGCATGGTTTCATGCTCTCCTGTAGTCCTCTTGAAAATCTTCATAATTTTTTAACAGGAGACCAGCAAATTATGTGGTAGGTCTCGCCAAGAATTTCTGATGTCTTCTGAAACATTCCTAGCTCCGGATGCTATCTTCCCACTGCTCTGCCCTGTCCTCTACTCATGTTGTTCTCAGATCTGTACAAAGTCCCATGGTACAGACAACTAGACAATACAAAAACAGGGTAAGTGTATTTCCCCCATCTTTATTTCTCAGTTATCTCTATTTTCAAGCTAGTGTCCACTTGTAGAAGAGAAGAGAAGATCTGGTTATTTAAATACATATCAAAAAAAATGTTTATCTGCAATAAATTATCTATCTGATGGGGTGGGAAGCTTCAGAATGAGACACATTTTGCAGGCCATCTGCAGTAAGGTAGACTTTGAAGATAACTGGGTCTGAAACTTAAAAGACAGTGTTCAGATCACCCTCCCACCCACTGGCTCTCAGGTTGTCTCCATTCTTCAACCGATTTTAAAAAGTAACTCTCATTTGTTTCATGTACATTTTTGAAAATAAGTACAATACATAAAAGCTAAATAAAAGAACTTCTAAAATCCTTCTGTTAGCACATTGCACTCACTCCTCAAATACTTCATGAGGCCGTGCTTGTGGGGACACACTTTACATGTGGGAGTATCGTTCACCCTGCAGGAGCACTGTTCACCCCAGGGAAAGACTGTTTACCCTGTGGGATCACTGTTCACCCCAGGGAAGGACTGTTTACTCTGTGAGAGCACTATTCACACTGTGGGAACATTCTTCACCCTATGGGAGCACTGCTCACCCTGTAGGAGAATCATTCACCCTATGGCAGCACTGTTCACCCTGCAGGAGCACTGTTCACCCCAGGGAAGGACTGTTCACCCTTTGGGAGCACTATTCACCCTGTGGGAGCACGGTTTACCCCAGGGAAGGATTGTTTACCCTGCGAGAGCACTAGTCACACTGTGGGAACACTCTTCACCCTATGGGAACACTGTTTACCCCAGGGAAGGATTGTTTACCCTGCAAGAGCACTATTCACACTGTGGGAACACTCTTCACCCTGCAGGAGTACTGTTCACCCCAGGGAAGGACTGTTCACCCTGTAGGAGCACTATTCACCCTGTGAGAGCACCATTCACTCTATGGCAGCACTGTTCACCCTGTGGGAGGACTGTTCACCCTGTGGGAGCACTGTTCACCCTGTGGGAGCACTGTTCACCCCAAGGAGGGACTGTTTACTCTGTGAGAGCACTATTCACACTGTGAGAACACTCTTCACCATGTGGGAGCACTGCTCACCCTGTGGGAGCATCATTCACCCTATGGCAGCACTGTTCACTCTGTGGGAGCACTGTTCACCCCAGGGAAGCACTCTTCACCCTTTGGGAGCACTGTTCACCCTGTGGGAGCACGGTTTACACCAGGGAAGGATTGTTTACCCTGCGAGAGCACTATTCACACTGTGGGAACACTCTTCACCCTGTGAGAGCACTGTTCACCCTGTGGGAGCACCATTCACCGTATGGCAGCACCGTTCACTCTGTGGGAGCACAGTTCACACTGCAAGAATACTGCAAAGCAGCCACATTGGGCCTCATGGAACTTACAGCTCAGGCTGGGAACTTGACAGTAAATTGGCAAGCAGTCACATGGTGATCTGTTCCAGGGGCTTTGCAGAAAAGGAGTCAAGAGAGATGAAGGAGGTGCTCCTAGATCTAGGGCCTGGGGAGGGTGTCTCTGTTATGGCACCACCGGCAGAGTTGAGGTGGCAAGCATGTGTCAGCAGGAACAGCTCGTGCAAAGGGTCGGAAGTGGAACACAGGGCATTGTCTGAGGATAAGTTGAAGCCAGAATGCCTGGAGCAGAGCCAGCAAAAAGGGAGAGTGGTAAAAAGAAAGGCCTGAGAGAGGCAGCAGGTGCCATGTTCTGGGAACCAGGTGAGATGCTGCCTTCAATTTTGGGGCGGAGGGGGAGAAAGTGCAATAGGGGTTGGGAAAAGTGCAGCGGGGGTTGGGCAGAGGCAGCCCAGGATCTGGAATCAAATGTTAAAGGAC
Source organism: Homo sapiens (assembly GCF_000001405.40). Taxonomy (NCBI): domain Eukaryota; kingdom Metazoa; phylum Chordata; class Mammalia; order Primates; family Hominidae; genus Homo; species Homo sapiens. The sequence goes on along the minus strand of NC_000010.11, from coordinate 128,382,104 downwards.
AATAGTAGTAACTGCTCACCTACATAGAGTGCTTGCTGTGTGCCGAGCACCAAAGCAGAGCATAGGATTGAATGAGTGTGTATTACAAGATCCCTATGAAATTCTTCCTGAGATATATACTGCTAGCACAATGCACTCATCACACAAACGCACACACAAATAAGTATATTTACATGTGGTGCAAAAATAGCCATGATTAGATATGTATATGATTAAATGAGGATATAAAATATGTCTATAATCAGAATTATATAATAAATACATGTATATATTGGCATATAGCATGAAGTGAATATATATAAATATATGAATCTATAAAGAACAATACACACACAAACACACACACATGCACACTCAAATACACACACACACACACACACACACACATGCAGGGTCAGCCCTCTGTATACGTGGGTTCCCCATATGTGGATTCAACAGTCAACCTGAGATAAAAAATATTCAGGAAAAAGTAGATGCTTTGCTTTTGCACTGAACAAGTACAGGCTTTTCTTTCTTGTCATTATTGCCTAAATGATACGATATAACAGTTATTTACATAACATCTACAGCCTATTAGCTATTACAGGTAATCTAGAGATGGTTTAAAGTTTTGGGGAGGATGTGTGTAGGTTACATGCAAATACTACACCATTTTATATAAGAGACTTGAGCATCTATGGATTTTGGTATCTGTGGGGAAACAAATCCTCCATGTGTACCAAGGGAGGAGGGTATCTATGTTTAAGTATCTACGGCATTATTTGAGTATGTATACACTCATTTAATCCCCAGTTACCTGAGGAAGGAGGAGCTGTCAGCACCCTCACTTGCTGATGAGGACACTGAGGCACAGAGGAGCTTGCACAACAGCAGGTGAAGCCAGGATCCAGCCTTGAGCCCCAGGCATGAGCCCCACACTGTGCAGCTTCTAGCAGCAGTGCTGGGGAGGCATGCTCAGATCATGGGCTGGGGGTCTCAGGGGGCAGAGGAGGGCAGGTCTGCAGGGAGAGGACATCATCCCAGTGGAGGGTGCCATCGGGAGGGGTGGAAGCTGTGGGCTGTAGGATCGGTGCTTCGGGACCACAGAGTTGTACATTGGGCACTATCTTATAAACAGTCTTTAAAACAACCATATCTCAGGCAACTGTCCACGTGATTAAACATCTCTCTACAATTGTGGACTTAAACCTTACTAAAGTGAGGAAAAGTTTTGTTCAAATTAAGCCTTTCATGTCAATAAAATCAAATCAGAGTAATATCCCCAAAGTTGGTCTCCTGTGGCCCTTGAAGGGACTCCCCAGGGCAACCCAGAAGCTTTTATGGGCACAGATTAAGAATCACTAATCTGGGGCAGTAGGACATTTGTGTTTAACATGAGCACACTGTAGTTTATGTCACTAACCCTGTGTTTTTCAACAAATAGGTAGTTTCCAATGTATTTGGAAATGTATTTCCAATGTATTTTCCAACAAATAGGTAGCTTGCAATGCAAGCATTGCAGCAAACACCTGTGTGCACATTCATGGGAAATGCTCATGCAGACCCTGCAGTGAATTCTTTGACTAAATTATTACACGTGGAATTACACGGTCAAGTGTGCATCCATTTTTAAGGTGTTTGGAACGTATTGCCAAAATCATCCCACAGAAGTGCTGTATTAATTCACATTCACACCAGCTCTTTGAGACTAACAATTTCCCTGAACTTTCATACACACACACACACACACACACACACTTTTACTCATTTTAAAGGTGAAAAATCTTGTTTAATATGACTTATTCCATTATAAGTGAAATATTTTTTAGTTTTCACTGGCCATTTGTGGTTTTTATTTTCTGTATTACTTGTTCACTGCCCATTTTTCTATGAAGACATTTATATTTTTCTGAATAATTTGTTAATTTTTAAAAACATCTGTTGTCACGGAGGTAGCTCATGTTCCCCCAGGTTCTCCTTTGCTTGGAGTCTCTTTCTGGCATTGGGACGCTGTGCTCTCTGGGGGCTTTCATTTACTCAGGTCTGCCAGCCGTGTTTTTAAGGTCTCCTGCCTTCACTGTCTCATGGAAAGGCCGTCTTCACTCCTAGATCATATACGGTACTTTCCATTTAATCCCTAACCCTCATCTTGAGTTGATTTTCAAATAGTGTTTGAAAATGAGGGATAGGGGCTCCTGCGAGGTTCTGGGCTTCTCTCCCCCTTTCTGGGAGACTCTAAAGGAATCGCAGAAACATCAAGTGAGGCAGCCGTGGGGCAAACCCATTCCTTCATAGAAGGGGACTTGTAAAGATGCTTGCTTCCGTTTCCTGTGTTGGATCTCAGCTGGGAAACTTCTTATTGGAAATAGAATATAAATCACAACCAAATGCTCTTGAAATAAGGGGAACCCTTCACAGAACCAGAGGAATTAACTGCACAGAGCTTCTCTCTCTCTCTCTCTCTCTCTCTCTCTCTCTCTCCTTGTCTCTCTCTCTCTCTCTCTCTCTGTCTCTCCCAGGCTCCACAGCGGGGCAAAGGGACGCCTAAGGCAGGTGCTTTGGACACTGGAACTCCCGATGTGGGTCCCAACTGACCTGTGGACATTCCATGCTCCCGGCCAGCACCAGCAGGGCGTCCCCAGCACTACTTCCTCACTTCTCAGCAGCCTCCCCTCACACACTTATGCTTCCAGGAAATGAAGAGTTCTAGGACCCCAGCCCTCAGAGGACTAAGCATGACGCCCATGTTCAGCCACAAGCCTGCACACAGTTAGGGGAAAATACATGATCTTGGACTGAGCACACTCTTTCTCACCTCTACCCCTTCTCCTTTCTCCAAATTTAACGATGTCTACTTAATGTTTTCATAAGTGGCCTTTCTCTAAGTTGTTTTTTTTAATTGTTCTTGTTGTTGTTTTCGTTTTGTTTTGTTCTTTTGAGACAGAATCCCTGTTCTTTTGAGACAGAGTCTCACCCTGTTGCCCAGGCGGGAGTGCAGTGGCATGATCTCAGTTCACTGCAACCTCCCAGGTTCAAGCTATTCTCTTGCCTCGGCCTCCAAGTAGCTGGAACTACAGGCGCGCGCCACCATGCCAGCTAATTTTTGTATTTTTAGTAGACACAGGGTTTTACCATGTTGGCCAGGATGGTATCGATCTCCTGACTTGGTGATCCACCCGCCTCGGCCTCCCAAAGTGCTAGGATTACAGGCATGAGCCACTGCGCCCGGCCTTTCTAAGTTGCTTTTAATCCCATGATCATTTCAGACTAATATTTTTACAGCGTCCCACATAGCCTTTCAAATATTTTTTTATTTTATACCCTTTGAGTATATGCACAGCACATTGTCCAGTTTATCTCCCTTCTAAGCTGCAAATTTGCTTTCCCTCCTTACAAATGCAAATTTAAGAGCCTACGTTTTCTAGAGCTTGCATGAAAGAACTTCATTTGAAGAATATTTTCCAAGCAAAGTATCCGGCCCATTCTGACTATCGGTTTCACTCTTTCCTTCCCATTCCTCGCGTTTAAGTGAGTCCATGCCTACAAAGTCCTCCCCGGGACCCTCACCCTCCTTGACAGGCTCCCTCAAGTTAGGCAGGTTTTGCCTCTGCCAAGGGGGGCTTCAGATCCTAACTCCACTTTGCAGGGCAGTATTAGGTCCCACTCAACAGACACATGGAGATGGAACACATTTAGAGATCATTTAGGACCCCAGACCCAGGCTTGCCTTTAGAGGCTCATGCCTTGATCAGAAGTGTGCAGGTGTGCACACACTCCAAGCTCCCAATTGCCCAGAAATTTCAAGTAATTATCCCAGAGTGGAAACAGTGCTTGATGTGGCACAATGTCAATCCAACTCCTCTGGTGACAGGAAAGGTGAAACAAGTCCAAAGGGCAAATTTCTCAACCCCCTAAGCCACACACAACACCTCCTCCAACAGACACAGAGCCCAAGCTGCCTTAATTGACACCATGTCTGTGCTGCAGTCCAAAGCCATCACTATCTATTTTAGTAACTTGCCCTTTCACGGCTTCTAGCTTGTCGACCAGATCCCCAAAGTATAAACTTTCCAACGTGCCTGCTGCTCCACAGACCTGTTTCAAAGAGGTGGCCAGGCCAGGTCAAACCCATTTAGTATCAAGGTAAAAATTATTGTTCACCATTAAGATTCTATGCCTCTTCCTGTCACCAACATCAGGCAGCGGTGGTGGGAGTGGGGAGACAAACAAGACAACTTGTTTATTTCTACAAATCAGACATACAAGCTGCTATTTCTGCCCAAGCCTGTCATGGAAAGGATGTGTCCCTTGCCTGGGGAGTTCTGAGGGGAGGACAGCACACCCCACACTCTGCCAATTGGCTGCTACACGCCTGCCACTACTAGGCACCTGTAAGAGAGTGTTCAATGGTTGTGATTAGGGTATACATGGCCCCATGAAGGCTGGCACTTGTGAACACAAACACGTGTTTAATTTATGATGGGACCACTTCAGTTGGATTGTGGATACAGCCTGAATGGCGGCTGTATTTGCATACCTTGTATTTACAACTGGCAGATAAAAAACTCCTCCGAGGTCGGGACCACAGCCACATCTGTTAATAAATCACTAACATTGGACAAGAAAAACAGAAAGGGTTTTAAGCCTCATTTTGGAAATAATTACATGCAGAAAGCTGAAAGCCTGGCTGCGCAGGGAAATGACTACCAAGCGGACAGAAGGAGGCCCTGGTTCTCCACCCTGTGGGAGGCCGTGGGGGTCCCCCTTCCTTACCTCTGTGAGGAAATGATGAGCAGGAGTGGACCCTCCAGGCATTATGAGAAGGACACATTTGGATGGCAGCCTCCAAGTTGGGGACTGCATTATCCAACAGGCTGCTGGTCACACAGTGGGCACAGCCCTGTAAATGCAGGTGACACCTGCTGGCCTGACCCATCTTGGTGGATGACTTCAGGAGGATGGGATGAGAAAAAGAGATTCCCGTGGCTCAGGGGGTCCCTCATGGTCCTGCACTAAGGTACCTGGCAATGAGAACATTCCTTTTGCACCATAGTAAAGCCAACTGCATGCTTTCCTGTGGTCTCCATCCCCCCACTTGGGGCCAGGGAGCAGTGTGGCCTTGGGAATTTTGGTCCAAGTGTTCATTTCATGACATAGTGGGTCCTTGCCCATTCTTAAGTCCAGACAGGCCCCCCCCACACTCTGGTGGGGTGTGAGGGCTTGTAATAGGTGGAACAATAAAAAGCCCCTCCCACAGTAATGTCCTGTCCTTAAAATGAGTCTTGGTGGCCTTGTACTCTGAAGCTTTGGGACCAAAACCCAGAGTCAGAAGTGGAGTGCCCAACCTCAGTGCCCAGCCTCAATAATACTGCGTGCTTCCTGCCAGTCTCAGTTCTTTTCTTTGTCACTCTAGACTCTTCAGCTCCATTATTTTGGTTGAATTAGATGAGAAGAAATTATCTGGCAAAATGATAACTCATATGATTTGTCTGTGTCCCCACCCAAATCTCACCTTGAATTGTAGTTTCCATAATCCCCACGTGTGGTGAGAGGGACCCAGTGGGAGGTGATTGAATCGTGGGGCCGATTCAATCAGCACCATGCTGTTCTCATGATAGTGAGTGAGTTCTCACAAGATCTCATGGTTTTATAAGGGGCTTCCCCCTTTGCTTGGTTCTCACTCTTCTCCTTACTGCTGCCATGTGAAGAAGGATGTGTTGCTTCTCCTTCTGCCATGATTGTAAGTTTCCTGAGACCTCCCCAGCTATGCTGAACTGTAAGTCAATTAACCCTTTTTCCTTCATTAATTACCCAGTCTTGGGTATGTTTTTATTAGCAGCATGAAAACAGACTAATACAATAACCAAGTTAACAAACATTCATAAAGAGCCCTGCAGTGTCTGAGTGCAGCTCTTAGGGTTGAGCATTTCTCTGATTCTTGTGTGGACACTCCTATTCATTAAATAAGATGTTCTCTGACCCAAATTTGCAGAGTTGATGTAAGAATGTAGTAACTCAAGGGAGCTATCAGTGATAAGGTAAATCCGAAGATTCCCTAGAAAATCCAAACAGCTTTAGAAAGCCTGGGCCTGACTCTCTCAATCATTCATCTTGAAATTAGAACCCATGAAGACAAAGCAGCCCCATGAAGGGTGAAAGGTGAAAATGCTGCCTAAGAAGGTAGGAGACAGGTGGCTTGGTTTTCCTTCTTAGTTTTAAGCAAATCACTAATATTTGGAGATGATGCAGTCTCCTGGCCAGGTCTGGAACCAGAATGACAGATCTTTCACAGTTTCAGCACCTCTGTTACACAGATGGGAAATGGAGTTGCGTTACTGAGCACAAACAGTGGGCCTTGCACACCTGGGCTGTAATTATTGGGATGCCTTCTTAGTTATTATTCTCTGAAATTAAAAAGCACAACCAATAGGTCCCCAGAAGTCCCCTGAGTTCTTGTTGTCAGCTTCCTATTGCTGCAATAAGCCCAAATTCACCACGACAGTATATATTCTTCCCTCCTGGGGCCTTCAGGGTGGGAGAGTCACCCTTCAACCACGTTTTAACACTTGCCTTTTAATCTAAAGATTGGTCAAATCTTAGATCTTGCAGTTCATGCTAATATGTGGGATCCTCTCCCCACGATCCCCATCCCTGTATCGAGGGAGCATAATCGTCGTGTGTGGGCTGCCTTGCCCTCCTGCATGGGTATGCTGCTGCTGCAGAGTCTGAGTCTGCCAGGGATCTAAGTTCAGACACTGGACATGCAGAGCCATCCTTTGCTGGCCAGCCTCCAGAAAGCCGCTACAACTCAAAACTGATAGCTTTCATGGTGAGAGCAGAGCACTGTGCTGAGAAATGCCCAGGAATGCTGAGAAATGCCCAGGAAAGCCCGGGAAAAATGGTACCTATGTGGGGAGTTGTCTAAGAAATGCTTAAGGAAAGCACAGTTCTAGGCTCAGGCCCCTTTCCCTAAGATGGGGGGTTTAGATGTATGTTTGCTTCAACCTCTTTGGTATTACGGCTGGCTGAGCTGCCTCTGCAGGGGTGTGGGTGGCTGATCCCTGCTGAGTGTGTTCTGGGAGCCAAAAGGGAGCACCAGGGTGTGGAGCAGGTCAAGAAGAAGCCTCCAGAGGCCGGCCTGCCCAATCCTCCCAGGAGTTAGAAGCACCCTGGCCTGTGTTGGGAAACATGGGTGGTCATGATGCTCCCGGCACCTGAGAATGAGGATAGCAATGTCCACACACACCAAGCCATCTTGTTGCTTTGATGTAGGGTTAGTATTTTCTGGAAACTCAATTTCTTTCCTTGAATTTTACTCACAAGTCCATGTTGAAGTTGGGAAAATGAATTTAGAATTTAAAATTGATGAAGTAAAAATCTTAATAACAATAATAATAATAATAATAATAGCTCTACGCAGTCCAGATTCCATCAGGAAAACTGAGCCCCATTCTACACAGGAATCTAGTCTTAGAGGTGCCAGAAAGTCAAGGAGCCAGAGAGGGGACTGCTTGGAGCCCCCAGCACCCCTGGTGCCAGAGGGACAAAGGCAAGGAGAAGGTGATGCTGTCCCCACCAGCCACTGGGCAGGGCAGGTCTGGACCTGGAGAGAAGCCAATACTGTAGGAGATGCCAGCAGAGAAGAGCAGGAGGGTGGGGATGGAGGAATAGCCCTGCTTATGTCCTTCCAGAAGCTTCCATTGGCTGGTCCTGGCTGAAAACCAGTCAGTGAGAGAGCATAGAAATGTCGTTTACTACTGGAAAAGGCAGCAAAAGGGTCTGAGGATAATTGGGAATGATGGCCAGAACGATGGATCTGAGGATAATTGGGAATCGTGGTCAGTGTTTCATGAAATCTTCACAGTTATCCTGACAGGAATGGATATGCTGCTATTTAAGCCCAATTTCTGGAAGAAAACCCTGAGCTCTATGAAGTTTTAAGTAACTGGTTCAACTGATACATGCAGATGTTTCACCGGGGAGCTAGTCTTGCCATCATTCATCCAGAAAGAAGACAAGAGCTTAAGAAATCCAGAGAATGGGTGGCCAGCTCATCAGGTAGGCACTCTCACTCAACTAGAACCGCCTTCCCAACAGTGCTGGACAGCTGCAGGTCGGGGGTCCGTGCACAAGCTCTCAGATGAGTATTGGCCTCCAGCCTGCACGGGGAGCTTCTGTGTCCCTCTCTGAGCCAGGCATCTCCACGAGAACCTGAGCTCCAATGATCAAGGACAGAAGCAACCTCCATCGGCAGAAGGTCCCCAACATCCCTCTTCACTCTCACATGGCTCCTGACACCTAGAGACCACTACATCCAGCCCAGCCCAGGCCCTCTAGGGGAGGAGAGTGAGCAGCACGGAGATGCTCATCCTCAAAAAAGTGCCCACCAAGCAATGTGAGCACTTCACAGACAACTGCCAAAAGCCAAACTGCAGGGTGACGTCTAAGGAGTAATATTCATTCCACCAATGCTTACTGAGTTTCATTATGTACCCAGCATGGTTTTCTAGGTTGGGCATCAAGCAGAGAACGGGACAGAAATGTGGTCTTGGGTAAAACCCAGAGCCGCGTACACCACACCGTGAGATGCTCCCTCAAATCCACAGTAGCAAATAATCCATGGTTAGCACCTGCAGGAAACACTAACTCAAGCACTCCTTCTGGACATGCAAAGCTGACCCACAAGCAAGAGATGAAGAACAGTCAAAAGGAAACTGAAATTGAAAATGGATGCACCACATCAAAACTTAGGGGTGAATTCACTGAGCAGCAAAGTTGCAAGAGTCTCTTTGCCTGTAGCTAACTAAATGATCAATCCTCATCGGATGGGCTAGACCACTCCAGAAATGTCTTTATGGGATGGCATTGGAGAGACTGGGATGATGGATTTTTCTATCCCGGATTTCTCAGACCAAAGAACGACCCAGTGTCATACTGGGCAAGACATACAGATCTTCCAGTTTGGGTGTCTGAGCAAGGGCAATATTTTGGAAAGGACAGAATGACATGCAGGGTCCCCCCCGCAATGAGTGTGAGAGCACTCAGTAGACCCACCCCACTGCAGAGCTTCATAGCTCCACATAGGAGTCCTTGTGGCAGTTGTGCCTGGCAGGTTTGGAAACCATCAGCGCAACCCAGTGGCAGCGTCCCCTGGGCCTCTTTCCTTGCCCCTGCCATGTCCCCAACTTCTGGGGTTGAATCTGGAGGTTTCTATACTCGCCACTGTCCAAAGAGTGCTGGGGAAGGCAGTTGTGCTGTGCCCCTGCCATGTCCCCAACTTCTAGAAATTTCCTTGAACAGCACAACTGCCTTCACCAGCACTCTTGGGATAGTGGTGAGTATGGAAATCCCCAAAATCTACTGAGCCAATTGCCATTGTCTATGGGCTCCAGCGAGACTGGGAGTGTGTCCTTCTCTTCTCTTGTTTTGTCTGTAGCAAAAACCATTTCTTTCGTGAAGAAAATTTACTGAGAAATCTCTCTCAAGGCAGAAAATTTGTATGAAAAACACGATTTATTCATCGCTGGTTCCCTAATAGCGACTGCAGTGTTCCCGACATACAGCAGGGATTCAGAAGGTGAACGTCTCTCTGCACATCCTTCCCATACAGATGTCCTGGGATTTTAATTCTCCTAGATGTAAATGTTTTCTCTATGTTGGAAGCTCCCAAACCTGCTCCTCCTGCCCAGACTCACAACTTCCTTGCAGAGTCCACACCTCAGCAGGTGTTTCTAATAAAAGTATAGGAAACTTAACCCTAGCCTCTCTCACCCATGCCTATTCCTACCAGAGTGACCTCGTCACAGTCAGTGGGGCCACCTTGGATGCTTTTCCTCCAGCCTGGACCCTCCAACCTGAGAATATTCTGACTGCTTCCTCCCTTGCTGCCCTTAGGTCCCACCCTTCACAAAGCCTGTGTGGCCCCTCTCAGATCCATCCCCTTATCTTTATCTCCTCGGAGCCCACCCTAGCCCAAACCCCGACCTGCATCTCTCACTCAGACCATTGCAACAGTCCCTAGCAGAGCTCCCACCTTTTACTCAAGACTAACCTCTATCAAATTCTCCACTAATCTCACAAATAGTGTTGCCAGATTTAGCAAATAAAAATGCAGATGCTTGGCCAGGCATGGTGGCTCACGCCTGTAATCCCAGCACTTTGGAAGGCCGAGGCAGGTGGATCTTTTGAGGTCAGGAGTTTGAGACCAGCCTGGACAACATGGTGAAACCGCGTCTCTACTAAAAAAAAAAAAAAAAAAGAAAAAAGAAAAAAGAAAAAAAAAATTAGCCAGGCAGTAGTGGCGCATGTCTGTAATCTCAGCTACTCAGGAGGCTGAGGCCAGAGAATCACTTGAGCCTGGGAGACAGAGGTGGCAGTGAGCCAAGATCACGCCACTGCACTCCAGTCTGGGTGACTGAGTAAGACCCTGTCTCAAAAACAAAACAAAATGAAATGCAGATGCTCTGTTACCTGTGAGTTTCAGATAGACCAAGGAATAGTTTTTAGTGTAAGGATGTCTCAAACATAGGACCCAGCAGTTCCACGCATAGGTATATATCCAAGGGAAGTGAAAACACGTGTTCACATGACAACTTGTGTCTGAATGTTGTTAACAGCATTATTCATGAGAGCCAAAAGATGGAAATAACTCAAATGTTCATCAACAAATGAATGGCTAAACAAAATGCAGTCTATCCACACAATAGAATACTCTTCAGCCATCATCAATGGAATGCTGTTGCACACTCTAGCATGGGTAAACCTGGAAAGCATAATGCTAACTTAAAAAGGTCAGTTACAAAAGGTCATGTATGTTATGAATCTTGATATGATTTGGCTCTGTGTCCCCACCCAAATCTCAGGTCAAATTGTAATCCCCAGTGTTACAGAAGGGGCCTGGTGGGAGGTGACTGGATCATGGGGGTGGACTTCCTCCTTGCTGCTCTCATGATAGTGAGTTCTCACGAGATCTAGTTGTTTCAGAGTGTGTAACACCTCCCTCTCAGTCCTCTCTTCCTCCTGTTCCAGCCATGTAAGATGTGCTGGCTTCCCCTTTGCCTTCTGCCATGATTGTAAGTTTCCTGAGGCCTCCATAGCCCTGCTTCCCATACAGCCTGCAGAATCGTGAGTCAATTAAACCTCTTTCCTGCATAAATTACCCAGTTTCAGGTAGTTCTTTATAGCAATGCAAGAACAGACTAATACAATTCCATCCATATGAAAGTCCAGAATGGGGGAATCTACAGAGAAAAGGGGTAAGTGATTACTTTGGGCTGGAAGAGTGATGAGGCAGACAGGGTGGTGATAGCTAAAGGGTACGAGCTGATTTTTGTTTGTTTCTTTTTTAAAAGTGAGGAAGATGTTCTGAAATTGACTGTGGTGGTGTTACACATGTCTGTGAATACACTAAAAACCATCCAATTGTATGCTTTAAATGAGTAAACTGTATGGTATGTGAATTATATCTCAATAAAACTGTTTGAAAAAATGTTTCATGCAATGTTTGGGATACACTTATACAAAAACATTGTTTCCTCTTTTTTGTTGTTTTGTGTTTTTTGTTGTTGTTGTTGTTGTTTGTTTTGTTTTTGTTTTTGTTTTTGTTTTTTGAGACGGAGTTTCACTCTTGTTGCCCAGGCTGGAGTGTAATGGTACAATCTTGGCTCACTGCAACCTCCACCTCCCAGGTTCAAGCAATTCTCCTGCCTCAGCCTCCCGAGTAGCTGGGATTACAGGTATGCACCACCACGCCCAGCTAATTTTGTATTTTTAGTAGAGACAGGGTTTCTCCATGTTGGTCAGGCTGGTCTCGAACTCCTGACCTCAGGTGATCTGCCTGCCTTGGCCTCCCAAAGTGCTGGGATTATAGGCATGAGAAAAATTTGTTTCCTCTTTATCAGAAATTCTAATTTTACTTGGCATCTGGTGTTTTATCCGAACAGAAATCAGATCATGACACTCTTCTGCTTAAATTCCTTAAATGCTCTGCCTTACAATAAAACAAATTTTAAAACTCCAGACTCCTTGAAACCCTTCAAGATGAGGACCGAACTGGCCCTGGTTCCCCTCCTGGCCATCTCAAGCCAGCACTCCCTTGTATAATGCTTCAAAACAGACCTGCTCTTCCCCAGCCCCAGTCCTCTCTGCAAGGCACTTAGATCCCCACTCTCTGCAGTGCTGCCCCTCTCCTGCCACCATGGCAGGCTGCTTCCAACTCAATTGAACTTTAATCTGAATGGGTCTAGTGGACTAAGGCATCAAAGGTGGTTGAAAGAAACACAAATGGAATTTGAAGAAGAAACTTTTTAGCCTGGAAAAAATATCTGCAATAACCATCATTTATTTCTGATGGGTTTTCTCTCCCCCAATGCAGTTTTTGTCCGGTGTTTTCCAAATGGATTTGACACCAGTTGCTGACTTTTCTTTGTCTGGGAGTGGGGCATGGACTCTGAGAGGCCACCTCTGACCCCTGTATTGTGGGCAGGTTGCACTCCCCACTTCCACTCCAGCTGTGGTCCTTATTCTCCGTCAGGGCACCCTCCCTTCTGGTTGCCATCATTCCATTGGTCTCGCTTGCTGGGGGTCTTCTACGAAGACCGTGAGCCCCTTGGATGCAGAGCCTGCACTGGCTTGGCTGTATCAGCAGTGCCAGCTGCCCACAGGAGTCTCATCCATGAATGCTCCCACGGTGCACTCGTGCAGGGCTCGGCACAGGGCAGCACTCTGTGAGCGCTTGCTCTCAGAAGGAGGAGTCTGGGACACATTTTTTTTAACAAATGATCATGGAAAGTAGAAGGAATGTAGAGGTGACTCTCGTTGAAGACTCTGGGAAGCGGCATTAGGAAAAGTCAGGAAAAGAGCAAGACCTAGTAAACCCTCCTTGTCCGCACCGTAAGTGCCAAGGCCTTGTGTCTGTGCCTTGCCCCATGTCTCCAAAACTCTGCCAAGCTTGGCTACAGCAGACCCACCACCTGGCCTTCTCACCTGATGACACCTGCCTAAGGAAGCTAGAGGAGAGAGGATGGCTCCAGTGTCTGAACCAGTCCCAATGCAGATGCTCATCTGCCCACAGCCACATTTAGTTCTCATCTGGACCTATCCACTCCAGTGGCATCTCTAATAGTCCCAAGAAGAAGGGGACAGGGGATAACTCTCACATCAAAGGACCCAAAATGATGCTTATTCTCAGCTTTCCTACCCAAGGAAGGTTATTTCTTTAACCCTCTGTTTAAAGCACTGGCATATTTAATAAAGAGAGAGAGGAGAAAACCTTTGCTCAACAGAAAATCAATGGAATTTTTCCTCTTAAAAGGTGAGAACATATTTAAAAAAATCTGTGGACAAGTAATTTGCAAGCAGGATGAGCACAGTGTTTATATGCACCAAACCGTCTTATCAGTTTCATCTCCATACCCCACAACGGACCTGCCCCCCCAACCGATAAAAGAGAGAAGACAAGAATTCACATCTAAACCATTTGGAAAGTGTCTGATAAAAACTGTATCTGGAAAATAAACGCTTAATGTGAGAAGGAATCTGATTATTTCAGGGTTTTTTCCAGACTAGAAAATTCATCCTTGATATTCTGTTCACTTTTCTTTCAGCCACTTTTTGGCATATTGGTTCATCCAAAGCATTAACATTTTAAAAACAGACCAGGCGCGGTGGCTCACGCCTGTAATCCCAATACTTTGGGAGGCTGAGGTAGGTGGATCACGGGGTCAGGAGATGGAGACCATCCTGGCCAACAAGATGAAACCCCGTCTCTACTAAAAATACAAAAAATTAGCCAGGCATGGTGGCAGACACCTGTAGTCACCGCCACTTGGGAAACTGAGGCAGGAGAATCACTTGAACACAGGAGATGGAGGTTGCAGTGAGCCGAGATCATGCCACTGCACTCCAGCATGGGAGACAGAGCGAGACTCAGTCTCAAAAAAATTAATTAATAAATTAATTAAATAAATAAATAAATAAAATTTAAAAAATAAAAAAATGAAAAAAACTCTTCCTAAAAGGTAGATAATGATCAGATTTTACTTTCAAACAAATTCCCACTGCTTGTGCCAACCTTCCAGCACGTGGGCACTTGGCCCAGGAGAGCAAGGGTTGCTGATGTCAAATTTTCAACACTGTCTGCCAATGACTTGGGCCCTTTACCCAGGACTGAGAGTGAATGGCCCTTCCTGCCACCCCTTGCTGCCAACTGTGCCCTGGGAGTGTGCCGTGGGGTCTTTACTCCCAGCTGAGTCCTTGAACCTGTAAGAAGATGGGAACCACAGCCCCCAGCACCTCAAAGTCCAGGACAGCCAGCTGCCTCCAGCAACCCAAAGCAATGGTATCTTTACCTCGTTTTTGCCCATCAAGGTGGATGTTTTGAGCACGTATCCCCCTGGTATAAACAGAATACTTAATTTTCTTTTCTAATCATCAGGTCTGAGCCAGAGGCGGGCGCCTTTCCAAGCACTCCGTCACTGAAAGATTTTGAAGACAAGGCTTGAGGCGTTCAAGAGCTTTTCAAAATTAAGTCTCTTCATTTTCCTTCCATCATCCGTATCTGGGGTTTTCTGTCAGTGTTGATCCATGGGAAACTGGGAAATTGTTGGAGCAGATGAAACACCCCAAACACTCATCCATTCTCCCGAAGAAAGCAGGGGTTAGGGGGATGGCACAGGGCTTGTGTAATCTTCTGAGTGGCCATCTGTAGAAACTCCAGAGATAAATCTATTTTTTTAATTCATTTCATATAGTGAGTTGGAAATATTGAATATTCAAGGAGAGGGAACACCGATCGTAATAATGAACCTCGGGATGGATGCTGTGTCCGAGTCCCTGTGACAGCCACACACATTTTTCCTCCCGTCCACACCGGCCCTGCCCTCCCCCACGCATCTCCTGCCCTGTGTCTGGCCCTCCAGCTGCCCCTCATTCGTTACCCCGTAAAAGTCCCCTTAATATCTTTTATCATCTCACATCACTGGCCCGGTAACGACACCCTCAGGAGCAACCCGTCCACTCATGTGTGTTTTTAACATTGCCAGTGTCTTCTGCAATTTCGTGCAGCTTGAGATGAGCCTTGCGTGCTGGGAGAAGGGACACCCGCAGACTGCCCAGCCGTGGGCTTCCAGCCCTGCCTGGCTTTCTGTCCCTTTGTCATCTGAGCATGTCTGAACCGACCCTGGCCATGCTCTGGGCACACCCCCGGCTGCTACAGGCCGTGGGGGTCAATGCCCACCCTGGCTCTCTGTGGCTTGTGCTGGACAAGCCTGCAACGTCCTGAACTCTCACATTTTCCAAGCTGGGTCTTTCCAAGCATGGTTTCCTCCTGAAAAGTACCATGCAACGTTCATCCTGGGAAGAACACGAAAGCAAAACCTAAATTTCCAGCAGCAGTTTCCAGTCATTTCCATAGATACCCTGCCAAGGGCCTTTCGCTTTGTTTTGTTTTAAGCCAGTTTTGCTTAAGGTGACAGAAATGCTGGGGCTCCCCTGGGATGGTGACGCTAAGTGATTTTGCACCTTTGCTGTGACTCCATGAGTATCTTGTCAGCTAGTTCGTCTGGAGCATTTAACGTGAGTCGCTCATGATGCGCTCTGACACCCGTCACCTGAGGGGAGCCAGCACCCACTTATCTCCTGCTCTATAATTTTCCTTAAGTGCTGCCTTTCAGGCCACGGGGCAGGTGGCCTCGGTGTCTCTGAAGCAATTCTCTGCCCGGGTACTTCTCATTTCCTCTAGTTCTGTTTTTTTTCTTTTTTTTTTTTTCTGGCCAAAAAAAAAAAAAAAATCAGCAGGGTTAAGTGCCCCCTTGGCTCTTCAAGATCGATCTTTCTGCATCAAAAGCTCCAGCCTCCAACAGACCTCCCACCACCCAGCCTGCCCGGCCTGGTCCGCAGGGGCTGCCCACCCCACGGCTTTGTTTCAGGGAAGTGGACATGGAGGGCCACCTCCACTGTGGCCCTTGGTAAAGGAGAGGGCAGGGAGGACCAAGCCACAGCCTCTGCTGGAAAGTTAGAAGACAGAGAAGAGAGCACCGTCTGCAGGAAGGACACAGATGGAGACCATGAACCCTTATTCCTGCCAGCTTCTACACAACCATTACTGAAAATAGAAAGAAAAAATGAATGAATGGACAGCTTCTTCTACAGAAATGCTGCCAGGAGCCAGGTATTCACGTACAAGAAAAATAAACAAATGTAAGGAGAAATGAAAGAAAGAAAAAAAAAACGTGTTGTGATGAAGCGGATAGCTTGGAAACTGCATGATTCTCCCTCTCCCTTGGCCATATCCTCCCTCCAAGAACTTGCTGAACTTGCTATTTTAAAAGGGGTGAACAGGCAGGAAAAGAACGACAGAACCCAGATATAGAGAAGCACATAAAGCATGCAAGATCACAAGCACATAAAACAAATCAAAATAAATCTGTCATATTACTATATTTACTTCTTTGTCCCTCTTCTGCCGGCTGGCTGCCTTGTAAATCTCCTGTGGAGGAAGGGAAGGTGGCGAGCGCGCAGATAACATATCCTGAGATTTCAAACATAAATATGGAGTTGTAAGGGAAGGCAAGCTGCCTATAATGCGTCCGCTTCTTCGATAAGTCAATACATCCGCAGTGCATAAGGCACAGGCGAGCTTGACATTTGAATCATTTATGGCTTGGGGGGAAATGGCAGCAGCCTTATTTTTTACTGGAAAAGAACCCACATGTCTTTATAAGCAGTGAGAGTGTCATTGATGGCGCTCGGGAGCTTTTCCATTTCAGCCATAAACCATGTGTTTGGGAGCCAGACCATTTCCACCGAGGAGTTATTATTCGACAGAGTTCCAACTGGAGGGCGCCCACCAGCCCAGCAAAGAGCGCTGTGGTGGCCTCTCTGCCCATGGCACCCAGCAGATTTCAGCCCAGCACAGCCATCAGAAGATTTAATGGCATGTGCACCGTCCAATACCTTTTCTCCCATCCGCTGGTGAAGTCTTGGCAAGGCAGGGACATCACTGAGGCACCTGGGAGGTGTACACCTTACATCCAATTTTCATAGCTTGTGGTTTCAACAAAATCCACTCCGCACTGATTTCCTTCAAGGTTTCTTATATGGATTTGATTATTCCAGCCAGCCATAAAAGATTGAAATACACACAGGCTCTGGATCTAAATTGCATATTAGAGATGTGGCCAACCTCCCTGAATTGCAGCACAAAACCTCTTAACACCCACAGGCACGAGCTATTCTCTCCCCATACCCAGGACCTCAGCCATACTTACAACCTGGCTTCCCCAGACATTATTGAGTGCTTGGCCTGAGCCCAGAGGTGAAACAAGACCCCGCCTTCAGAAAGCAAACTTTTCCTCCATGCAGCCCCTGGCTGAAATGTCTGAAACTGTAGCAAAGCCAATGCAATTGCTTTCCATGTCAGGGTTGGTGAGGGCACAGGAGGTGGAAGGGAGGTGACAGCCGAGGTGGGGCCACATCCCTCCTGCCCTGCACTATTTCCCGAAGTCAGAACAAGGTCGGGCCCCAGCTTCTTGATGCCCTAAGCCATCTCTGACTTGAGATACAAAGGATGTGGAAGTGAATCAAAAACACCAGAGTGAAAATCACAAAGACCATCAACCTACTCTCTCACCTGGACTTGTTTTCTCCTCCCAACTCGGTTCCCTCAGCCCCTCACTTTCCCCAGTCCCCACCCAACTCTACCAGCAATGAGTTCACTTCTCAGTCATCTGTCTCAAGTTCCTGGTACCTCACTCCTCACCATGCCCAGATGCAGTCACCCAGTCTATGAGTTTTCTTCCAGATGTCTTAGGAAGTCATCTCCTCTCACCCTCCTTTGTCCCCACCCTCAGATTCTCACCCTAAGCTTCCGCTCACCTCAGCCACCGTTCACCAAAAGCACTTCTACCTTTTTCCACGCCCCTTCTCTTCCCATAACAGCAGCACCTTCTCTGTTGCATGGTTCGCTGGACACTTGTTCCCACTCTCCTGTCTCTGAGTGGCACTGGGACCCAGCAGTACAGCACCTTCCAAGTGTTCCTTCTCCCTTGGCATCAAGGCAGACCCCTCCTGGTAGTACCTCTCTGGTTGCTCCACCTTGGTCTCCTCCTAACAAGACCAACCCTTCAAGGCCTCACCTCTCCAAATGCAATCCAGGGCTTCAGCTGGGAGTTGTGAGAAATGCAGAATCTCAGGTCCCACTGCAGACCCACAAACCCAAGTCTGCATTTTAGTGGATCCTCTAAATGTTGAATTCTAAGGAGCTCTGTCTTAGAGCGGTGCCTTCCACTTTTAGTCGATTGCATAATTCACCTGGGGAGTGGGGTTTAGGAGGCTCCCCCTCTTCTGAGGAAGCCCATGATTCCCTCCACCTGGTGTGACGATTACTATTTCTTATTTCTACTCTCTCTGCGTAGATCACCCAGGATGAGCTCTGAAGGCCTCATCAGCCCTTCTGCTGATGCCTCTCTGGCCTGTATCTCCAGCTCAGTCAGATTTCTCTTCTAAATTCTATGGACCCACCTGTGTTAGTGTCCTGGTGCTGCCATCACAGATGACCACAAAAGGCGGGGCTCAAAGCAACAGAAATGTATAGTCTCACAGTCCCACAGACCAGAAGTCAGAAGTGAAGTGTTGGCAAGGTCAGTCCCTTCTCTCCAGCTTCTGGTTGCTGCTGGAAACCCTGGGCATCCCCCAGCTTCCAACTGCATCACTGCAACCTGCCTCTGTGCTTTCCCTGTGGCTCGGTGTTGGAATCTTCCTCTCCTTCCTCTTACAAAGACACTGTCACTGGATTATGGCCCACCAGTCACTGGGTCAGGGACGCACCTTAATCCAGTATGATCTCATCTTGACTTGACTGCATCTACAAAGACTCTGTTTCCAAATAAGGTTACCATCACTAGGAGCAGGGGTTAGAATTCGAACACATACTTCGTGGGGTAAAAAGTCAAACCCCCACACCACCCACCTCCCTGCCAGCTGCACTGGGCAGTCCGGGAGACCCTCACATGTGGTATGTCCAGACTGAACCCTGGGATCCCTTTCTCACACCTGCTCTGGTTTCCATCCTCCCATCCCAGCAAATGGACCAACATCTGGGAGCCCTTTTTGATGCCTCCCTCGCTGCAGCCCAACCACCACGTCCCACCACATCTCTCACTCTCTGTTCTTGCTGCCTCTGCTGAGTTAGATCCCCATCATCTCCTGCCTGTGTGGCTGCATTAACTTTGCCTCCAATCTCCTCACCTGCAGGCCAGCTTCCTCCAGTCCACTGCAGAGTCCTCTTCATAAGCACAAATCGGAGCTTGGCACCTCCCAAACACTGTCTTCAATGATTCTGAGTTGAAAATGAGACCAGTGGAGTTTCCTAAGCCCTGCCCACCCCATCTGCTCCAGATCTACTGTGAATGGCCCCACCTCCTCTTCCTCTAGTCCCCAGCCACAGCCTGGCACCGCCTTCTCAGGACTCACTCTCTTGTCTGCCAGGTTTCAGCTGAAGCATCGCCTCCTCCAGGAATCTGTCTGAGACCCCGCAGCAGCTTGGGTATGGCTCTCCTTTCTTTCAAGGTGCCAGGTATTCCCTCCCAACACAGGGCTTGGCCTGCAGTATTGGAGTTGCCTGTTTACTGGTCCCAGCATCCCGTGATGATGCAAGCTGCCAATGATGGGAAGTGGCTATCAATCACCACGGCCGTGCCTCCACTGCACCAGGCATGGATGGGGTGCTCAGGAGATGTTTGTAAACTAAATTGAATAGAGGGAAACTGAGGCCTCTCTCCTTGTTCAGAGTCAGGGCTCAGACTCAAGACTTTCCAGGACGATGAGCCTTCTCAGGGGATATGGACTTCCTGACAGTTAATTGTCCTGTAAACTGTTTTCTGAAGCTTGTAGCTTGGGAGATGTGCTTAACTATCCTGTTCATCATTTGCCCATCAACCCCAGTAGAAAGGCAATAAAGGACCATCACAATAAAATACACTGAAAATCTGGATTATGTTAACCTTTGTTTTGTTATTTTTTCATGAAGCAAATTATTGGATCTGATCTTTGGCCTTCTGAAGTCTGAAAAGGTAAACCAGTCAGTATCTCATAGATTCCTCTTCAAATTATTTAAGAGAAAGGAGAGAACGTGTTTTCGGATTGGCTCTACCCCTAAGGAGCCCTTTACCTAATTAATTCCCATAAAACCACTGCGTGTTAGGTGAAATGAGTTAAAAGTCAGACCTAATTCACTAGAAACCAGGGGACCACATCATGAAAATCACCCTCCCAAATGGAATCAAATCCAGGTCTCCACAGAGAGCTTCGTTCCTGAATGGGGCATGGAGGGATAATTCCTCCACATCCGCCAGTGGACCTGCCGAGGCACCGTCACAGCCACTGTGCTGATCTGTCTTCACATCTCTCTCCTCCCCTGGGCCACTGCCCTGGTGTCCCTACAGCCTCACACTATGCCTGGGCCCAGAACAGAGGCCCCAAAACTCACTGCATGGGTGAACATAGTAGCAGGATAGGCTGTAGTCATCCACTGATGAAGCCAGTAGACTCCTCCATTTTAGAAGTTGCCCTGTAAGCCGGCACCTCTGTTCTACACCTCTGCAGGTTTTTCGATGTGCATACCGAAGCCAATTACCCTTGGAACTGAGAGAAAGGAGACCTGTCCCTTCCCATCTTGCGATGCTCCTGTTCCCAGTATTAGGAATCCAAGTGGGATCACATCTAGATAGCAAACTTTTCTCTTTATAACCAGCCACAAACAGATGATTCTAGTAATAAGTGCAGCCTACAACTCATAAAATGCAAAGCTGAGCATCGCACACACCCACAAAGATGTGTATAAATGAGTTGTGAGTAGCAAAGCAAGCACAAGACAGCAATACAGGAAGGAAAAGCAGATTTGAAAGATGGAGAGAAATTCTTTAAAGTGCAGAGTTGCAATGTGGTTCTCCAGACTGTGGGTTCCAGAAGGAAAGAGAACCACCTGAAGTCCAACAGGGAAGTGGCCTGGCCCTGCCATGCAAGGCCTCCTTGAGATGACAGAACTCCACATTTCTCCAGTGGAGACAGAGGACGCTGGCATGCACAACTCTGGCCTGCAGCAGGCCCACCATGCTCTGAGGCCTATCTCTAGGCCCTTCCTGGGGCTGTCCAAACCCCCAATCCCTGCAAGGAGCATATAGCAGAAGCAGGGAAGTAAGAGGAATGCCACACCAAGGATAGCCTTGAACCGTTGATGATGATCAGCAATTGTAGTAACAAACACCTTGTGGTGTCCCCACCATGACAATGGTATTGCAACGTACCATGGTGACATGATGCCATGGGCCAGGGTGGCTGCACCCCAGAGTCTGGCACCTGTTATAGCAGCTGGCAAAGAGCAGGATGGAAAATGGAATAGCAAGGCACTACTCAGGGAAAGGAAATGCCCCATCCCCACAGTAACAGGAAACAAACAAGAAAAGCAACCAGCACATCTTCCACATCCCCTGACTCTTCATTTTAGAATTTTCACCAGATGCAACCAAAAGGTCTGGCCTTATTGCATACATGGATTTGTACTGCTCAGACCTTCCTTCAAGAAAGGTCTCTCTGTCCTACTGAAGGAAGGAGGTCTCCAGTTATTAACCTCTGCCCATCTACCTCAGCTTTGGAGCCAAGGTCAAGTTCTCTTTGGTCTGCAGCCAGGGACTGAGTAATGAGGTGGTAGCTAGAGTCAGTCTTTTCCTGGGGTGGCCCCCAGTTAGGGCCTGAGTGAGGCAGTCATTGCAGGGCAGGGCATTTCCGTCCAACATGGGCCTCCTTTCGCAGCATCTTTGCTTCGGCTCAGGTGACGTGCATGTTGTTCTGGCATGCATGTTGCTGACTGCATCACAATCCAACAGCTTCATGCCCAGTTCTGCAGTTCTGCTTGGCCCCATCACAGGTGTTTCTTCCTGACAAGACTTTTATACTCCTAACTCCATCTCAGTGTCTCTTTCACTGGGAACAAGTTTCACTGCAATATCCTGCTCCCCCTATCTATGTCTAATGTTCACTCTTCTGTCTTCATTCGACTTAGCAAACTAAGAAACGATGAGCTGGGCTAATCCTGACCAAACTACTGTATGACACGGTGATTACAGAGAAAATCATCATGAAGCACACATCATGCCTCAAAGCTTAACCCATTAAAGTAGTGACAATGGTTTTATCAACTCTTACCTTCTTGGGATGCTAGCATAGGTAGACACAGTACTCTAGTTACCATCCAAGGTAGCATTTTCCAAATCAGCTCCACCAAGGGATAGTAAGAAGAGGTCCTTGAATGAAGAATTCAGTACAGAAATTCAATGGGAAAATACTGTGCTTTTGACTTTTTTAGAGATTCGTGATGTGCATACAATAGAATGTTACTGAGAAATCCTGCAGTTAAGAAGTCTTTTTTGGCCTTAATACATCATTTTCCAAAACAACTGTCTATGGAAACCTGTTTCCGTGCCGATACCTCTTAACATCTCAGTCATCACTAGAGTTCCACAAAATACAGCTCAGAAACTGTTAGATATGTTTCTCCCTTCTTTTTTAAGAAAATTACCATTTTAAAAAAATGTATGTAAGAATATACCATCAATTAGAGACAGGGAAGAAATAAAACTAGGATCGTAATTCCACTGCCCAAGCATAACCACTGTGAGTATTTCAATGTATTTTCATTCATGCTTTTCTCTCAATTAAAAAAAAATAGCTGGAGGTATTTGACTGTATCAGAGCTTCTTCAGTGCCCTACCCCTACCCCAATGTCTTCTAGCACACCAACTGCCTCTGCCTTCACTCATTCACCCATCTGGGCTCCACCTCTTGGGCACCCCCCACTCCATCAACTCTCTCTTACCATCTCCTTGGATCTTCCCCTTGTTGTCATTCTGCCATACCCACCATGCAAATCCTTCCTGGATCAGCTCATCCCTGTGGTCTTATTCACAAAGCCTGGGCTACTGAGGCTGGCTGGGGAACAGGCTGTTGACACAATGACCCCAGTCAGCTACTTCGCAATTCTTCTTTTTAAAAAAATTTAGTTTAATTTAAGTTCTGGTATACATGTCCAGGACATGCAGATTTGTTACATAGGTAAACATGTGCCATGGTAGTTTGCTTCACCCATTACCTAAGTATTAAGCCCCACACGCATTTACTATTTATCCTGACGCTCTCCTTATCCCCACCTCCCCCAATAGGCCCCAGTGTGTGTTGTTCCCTTCCCTGTGTCCACACGTTCTCGTTGTTCAGCTCCCACTCACAAGCGAGAACATGCAGTATTTGGTTTTCAGTTCCTATGTTAGTTTGCTAAAGATAATGGCTTCCAGCTCCATCTATGTCCCTGCAAAGGATGTGATCTTGTTCGTTTTTATGGCTGCATAGTACTCCATGGTGTATACGTACCACATTTTCTTTAACCAGTCTATCATTTATGGGCATTTGGGTTGATTCCATATATTTGCTATTGTGAATAGTGCTGCAGTGAACATACACACGTATGTAACTTTATAATAGAATGATTTATATTCCTTTGGGTATATACCCAGTAATGGGATTGCTGGGTCAAATGGTATTTCTGGTTCTAGGTCTTTGAGGAATTGCCACACTGTCTTCCACAATGGTTGAACTAATTTACCTTCCCACCAACAGTGTAAAAGCGTTCCTATTTCTCCACAGCCTCGCCAACATCTTTTGTTTCTTGACTTTTTTTTCTTTTTCTTTCTTTCTTTTTTTTTTTTTAGACAGAGTGTCGCTCTGTCGCCCAGGCTGGAGTGCAGTGGCGTGATCTCAGCTCACTGCAAGCTCCGCCTCCTGGGTTCACGCCATTCTCCTGCCTCAGCCACCCAAGTAGCTGGGACTACAGACACCCGCCACCATGCCCTGCTAATTTTTTGTATTTTTTTTAGTAGAGACGGGGTTTCACCATGTTGGCCAGGATGGTCTGGATCTCCTGACCTTGTGATCTGCCCGCCTCAGCCTCCCAAAGTGCTGGGATTACAGGTGTGAGCCACCACACCTGGCCTGTTTCTTGACTTTTTAATAATTGCCATTCTGACTGGTGTGAGATGGTATCTCATTGTGGTTTTGATCGGCATTTCTCTAATGATCAGTGGTGCTGAGTTTTTTAATATGTTTGTTGACTGCATGTCTTCTTTTGAGAAGTGTCTGTTAATGTCCTTTGCCCACTTTTTAATGGGGTTGTTTTTTTTCTTGTAAATTTGCTTAAGTTCCTTGTAGATTCTGGATATTAGACCTTTGTCAGATTGATAGATTGCAAAAATTTTCTCTTACTCCATAGGTTGTCTGTTTGCGCTGATGATAGTTTCTTTTGCTGTGCAGAAGCTCTTTGGTTTAGATCCCATTTGTCAATTTTCGGTTTTTTTGCAATTGCTTTTGATGTTTTTGTCATGAAATCTTTGCCTTTGCCTATGTCCTGAATGGTATTTCCTAGATTTCCTTCTAGAGTTTTTACAATTTGGGGTTTTACACTTAATTATTTAATCCATCTTGAGTTAATTTTTGTGTAAGGTGTAAGAAAGGGGTTCAGTTTCAATATTCCCCGTATGGCTAGCCAGTTTTCCCAGCACCATTTATTAAATAGGCAATCCTTTCTCCATTGCTTATTTTTGTCAGGTTTGTCAAAGATCACATGGTTGTAGACGTGTGGTCTTATTTCTGAGATCTCTATTCTGTTCCACTGGTCTATGTGTCTCATCCCCAAACGCAAGCCTGGTTCAACATACACAAATCAATAAACGTAATTCATCACATAAACAGAACTAAAGACAAAAACCATGATTATCTCAATAGATGCAGAAAAGGCCTTTGATAAAATTCAACATCCCTTCATGTTAAAAACTCTCAATAAACTAGGTATATTGATGGAACACATCTCAAAATAATAAGACAAACCCACAACCAGTATCTTACTGAATGATCAGAAGCTAGAAGCATTCCCCTTGAAAACTGGCACAAGACAAAAATGCCCTCTCTCATCACTCCTATTTAACATAGTATTGGAAATTCTGGCCAGGGCAATTGGGCAAGAAAAAGAAATAAAGCATATTAAAATAGAAAGAGAGGAAGTCGAACTGTCTCTGTTTGCAGATGACATGGTCCTATATCCAGAAAACTCCATCATTTTGGCCCAAAAGCTCCTTAAGCTGATAAGCAACTTCAGCAAAGTCTCAGGATACAAAATCAACGTACAAAAATTACAATCATTCCTATACACCAACAATAGACAACAGAGAGCCAAATCATGAATGAACTCCCATTCACAATTGCCACAAAGAGAAACATAAGAATATAGCTAGCAAGGGAAGTGAAGGACCTCTTCAAGGAGAACTACAAACCGCTGCTCAAGGAAATAAGAGAGGACACAAACAAATGGAAAAACATTCCATGCTCATGGATAGGAAGACTCAATATTTTGAAAATGGCCATACTGCCCAAAGTAATTTATAGAGTCAATTCTATTCCCATTCAACTACCATTGACATTCTTCACAGAATTAGAAAAAACTACTTTAAAATTCATATGGAACCAAAAAAGAGCCCATATAGCCAAGACAACCCTAAGCAAAAAGAAAAAAGCTGGAGGCATCATGCTACCTGACTTCAAACTATACTACAAGGCTACAGTAACCAAAATAACATGGTACTGGTGCAATTCTTCTGATTCTTGGCTTATAAGCTCACAGACCAGGGTTGAATTCCTTGACCAGTACTCTGGGCATATCCCTTTCTTTCTCCTCTTAGACATCATCCCATCATCTGGTCCCTTTCTTTGTATGTTCAGTCTCTGCTCTCCCTTACTTCTTCTCTTTAGTCCATAATGATATTCACATCTCTCCCACATTAAAAAGTCTATCCTGGACCACTTGCCATCTTTAACAACTATCCAACCTTTCTTCCTCTCCTTCTAACTGAAGACTGTAACAATGGAAGTCAGTGTCTACAGCCATGGCCTCCCTTTCCACCACGCTTTTCCCCATCCATTCACTCACACATTCTGCCATCCCTTACAGAGCACCCAGTATCTCTCAGGCATGATGCTTGGCACAGAGGACAGATCAGGCAGAAAACAAGCCCAGCCTTCAAGGGCCTCATGGGCTGCTTATAGAAGAACAAGCACATTATCACAGAATGGTTAACAATCTCTAAACAAATTGTCACTGTATGGTAAGAGCTTCCTGAGAGAAATACAATGTGCTCTGGGAAGACTCATTCCGAAAACCCCCATGATCTGGGTTACATCTTCATGCTCTTTTGAAACCCTTCTCTCTTCTCACCTAGATAAGCAATCTTCTCAATGCCAAGTCCAATAACTCTTCCTGCTACTTCTGCTCCCACTTTCAGCCCCATATTACACTGAAAACTAACTGCACTCTCACTCTGCTGGACCATTCACTATTCTACGTTTTGCAGCTTCCCTAACATACTGGATGTTACCCTGTCTCCCTCAACCACTGTCGGTGTGAAGACTCTCAGGTCTGCAAGTCTAACCCAGTCCCTCCTGTTGAGCTCAAGGCTCACTTTCAACTACAACCAACACAGGCATGGCCAATTGGCCCCTCAAACTCAGGGTGCCCAAAAGCAAATTACTTTTGGGCTAGTTTCCCCAGTGTGGCTGAAAGCCACAGAAATGATCTTATATCCTTCTCTCCTCCTCACCTACTCTATCCCCATTACCACTAATTAATACTATTATGGATAACTCCAAAATGTCCCTCAAATGTGACTATTTTCCATTTCTGCTCCCCTAGTTTGGAGGTAATGAATGCTGGTTGACATGGTTTGGATGGATTCCATTATCCTTCATGCAATCCATCCTACCACCAATTCGTGTTCTCCAAATACCACTCACCTCAATCCTCAGTGAAGATGGTAACTTCCCACTGCATGAAGAGTGAAGCCCAAGCTCAGTCTAGTGGAAATCAACATGATACACAATTTGACCCACTTTCCTCTCAAACTATGAAGCCTCCACCTGGCTCATGGTAGCATCCAATATGTGTTATCTAGTGATTATTGTTATTATTGTTGTCATTGTAATTATTATTGCTATTATTCTTATTACCCTCACAAACACAGTAGTTGGGCAAAATCCATCCATCCACCCCTTCATTTATTCCATAAGGTGATTGAGCATGGTCTGCATGCCAGATGCCACTCAGGCCCTGCAGATCCATTAGCAAACAGTACAGGATAGGACCCTGTCCAAGTAGAGCTGGTGTTCTAGTTACAGGAGACAATCAATAATATTAGGTTGGTGCAAAAGTAATTGTAGTTTTTGCCATTACTTTTAATAAATTAAAGGTAAGTATATATTATTTCAAAAGGAAGGCCAAAAGGCAAGGGAAAAAGAAAGAAGATTAGAGAGTTACTTTTTTATGCAGCGTTATGGGAGAAGTTGTTTCTTTTGAGGAGACGTATAAAGGGAGCGAGACAGCAGGTCATACAGCTATCAAAGGGAAGAGCATTCCAGAAAGGAGACACAGCTGCCACAAAATCCCTGAGATGGGAATGTGCTGGGTGCTTCTAATGAACAGCAAAGAGGCCATGGGGTTGGAATTGGCAATGGTAGAGGGCATGGGTGGAAGACAAAGTTAGGAAGGATCAGCAGACCAGATTGCTCAGGACCCTATAGGTCATATAAGGACCATAGGTTTTTATCAAATTGTCTTCTGGGAAAATATTCCATTGTCAAATATATTTGGAGAAAGCTAAGTAAACTAATGCATTTCTTAGTGTCTCTAATATGTTAATATTAAAGGTGGAAGTTTACACTGTTTCCAAATCTGTTTTCCTCAGAGAACTCTTTGGTCAAATGAACCTTTACTCACATCTTTATGTGGAAA
Source organism: Homo sapiens (assembly GCF_000001405.40). Lineage (NCBI taxonomy): Eukaryota > Metazoa > Chordata > Mammalia > Primates > Hominidae > Homo > Homo sapiens. The sequence goes on along the minus strand of NC_000010.11, from coordinate 128,354,248 downwards.
CCACTTTAGGAATGTGGCCTTAAGTGTGAAATATAGAAATGTTATTGACTCTTCTGATAACAATGGAAATTGTTAAAAACAAAACAATTCTATGTTAAAATTATGCATGGAAATGCTTTTGATTTTAAATTTAGCTTTTTTAATTTAACATTTCCTCTCAACAATGGATTAGGAGCTTATAAACTGAAAGCGAGATTAACATATGAATGCATGTGTTATTGTTTAACCAAATAAGCCTTTTTAAATTTTCTGAAAGTCAGGAGTCTGTGTAGGCAGTGGGGTCTCCCCAGTTTTCTTATGTCTGCCCACCTGAGATCATTTAGGCCTCAAAAACCCTTCCAGTGTTTCTCAGAAATTTTCCATTTCAAGGTTATAAGCATTCTGCATACTACTACTACACAGCAAAATCTGCAAAACCCACAACAGTTCAATATTTCCTAAGACAAAAATTAGCAAAGAAAAATAAATTATTTTCTTAATTCATGGTAATTTTTTATTATAATACAATGATAAAATACTTTGGACAGCAAAGAATATGCAAAATACTTATTGAAATTATTTGCTAATAATGAATACAAAACAAGAATCTCCAGACTTTACTGAGTTGAATTGATTTCCATACCTCTCATTAGGTAAGATTTGGGACATCACATATTTTTTAATGTGCTCATGACTGATCACCTAAGAGTCAACATGGCCTTGATCAGCACTCTGGGGTTCAGTTCACATATGATAATAGCAATTTCTAGCAACCCTTCCCTCACAGCCGTCATAATTAGGTCAAATAACCAATATGGAAAGAACAAGCTGAATTTCCTTAAACATGCTAGTAGGCAATTATTATCCCTTTGTTTTCAAAATAGCTGATAAGTAAAGTAAATTAAGCCTAGTATTTTTAAATAAATTTGATGTCCACAGAGAACTGTCATGAACAAATGCATGTTTTAAAATTTTTCAAAAAATTACAGCATATAGTTCCTAGACAGAATGAAATGGCCTGCTAGAGAAAACAAAGAGACTATTTTCAATTTTTTTTCTTGGTTTGCAAAATAGTTAAAATAGCCAACAAGCTGTTTGAATTTGTCATTTTTGACTCAAGAAAACTGAATTAATTAACATACCATAAAGAAATTATAATTCCCTGTTTTAGACTTAAGTAAAATTACTTAGATTGTGAAGAGGTATAATATCAAGTGTGTAGTATTTAAGTATTTTACACTAAAGCAGGGTGAACAATTAATGCTTTTTTTCTATTTTCCCTCTAATTTTCAAGATATTAGGAAAATAAAAACAAAAGCAAAATTTAAAAAAAAATTGTGATTCTAGATATTTGCAGATATGAATAAAAGTCTTACAAGTACTAGTGAAGAAAAGTCAATAATTTTTTCTGTTTGTTGGTTGGTTTGTTTTGAGACAGAGTCTCTGTGTTGCCCAGGCTGGAGTACAGTGGCACTATCTTGGCTCACTGCAAACTCTGCCTCCTGGGTTCAAGTGATTCTCCTGCTTCAGCCTCTTGAGTAGCTGGGGTTACAGGCACCTGCCACCACTGCCCGGCTAATTTTTGTATTTTTAGTAAAGGTGTGGTTTCGCTATGTTGGCCAGGCTGGTCTCAAACTTCTGTCCTCAAGTGGTCTGCCTGCCTCAGCCTCCCAAAGTGTTGGGATTACAGGCGTGAGCCACTGTGCCCAGCCAATAGTATTTTAAAATATTAGAATACTACAACTTAAGAAGTTTTATTCAAGAAAGTAAGGGAAAGCATGCATAGGATGCATCATAAATAATTCGCCCAATATATCCTAAAATTGTTTCTATAAAAACTCTAATTAAGAACACATTACAAAAGCATTCTTGCTTAACATGATAGAAAATAGTAATCTCAAACTAACATTAAACATTCTAATTACCCTGAAATACTAGAGTTGTTCTCATTAACACTAGGAAAAAAGTTCTGATATTCATTATCAACCTTATTAATTATTGTTCTGGAAGTCCAGGACATGCAAATAAGATAAAAAAGAAAATTAGTTATGTAACTATTAGAAAAGTGTGGTGGAAAATAATCATTATACAGATGATAATTACTTAGAAAATGAAATAAAATGAATTAGAAAATACATTATGATTAAGAGTTAATAAATTAGCTAGATTCTAAATAAACACATTAACAATCAAAATTATACCTAAATACTCCCCAACAAAACATTTATAAATGAAACTTTTTAAAATATATCATGATTTCCACTTTCAACCAAAACAAAATAATAGGACCAGATTTATCCTCATCTGGAAACAATCAAAAACTGAAATATTTGAAAAAATTTGTTTTCAAGACACTGGACATCAGAAAATGAAGGATGGGGACTCAAGGGATAGGAAATAAATTTTTTGAACCATACAATTGCTCCATCTTTCCACCTTGATGAAATTTCCAAGAAGAGGAACTCAGGTGGAAACCTTGCAGTTAACCTGAGTTAAGAATATGAAGCCGAGAATCCAGGGGAAGTGAAGACAGAGCCAGGTGCAGTGGTGCACCTGTAATCCCAGCTACCTTACTAAGGCAGCTGAGGCAGGAAGATAGCTTGAGCCAAGGAGTTTCAGGATCCAGTGAGCTATGATCATGCCATTGCATTCCAGCTTCGGTGACAGAGCAAGACCCTATCTCTAAAATTAATTCGTACCTAACTCTTCTAGTCAGACTAGAAAACCTTATAATTCACAATCACTGGGTTGAGTGCTCAGAAGGTCTTGCCTTAATAGTGGAGAGTAACTGCATCAACACTAAATATTTCTCTGGTGTCACCTAAAAAGCTTAATACCAGGATATTAAAATGTTTTTAAGTAACTTTACTGCATCTCAGAACAAAACTCAACAATATGTGTAAAAATGTGAAAATATTCAGCCCCTATTTAGGTAAAATTCACAATGTCTGGCACACACTTAAAAATTACCAGGCATGTAAAAAAGCAGAAATATACAACCCACAATCGGGAGGAAAAACAATCAATCTAAACTGACCCAGAGCTGACACACATGTTAGAATTAGCAAACCAAGACATTAAGCACTTATTACAACTGTATTCCATATGTTGAAAAAGTTTAGTAAATATGTAAAAGACACAAGTTAAGATGCAAATTACAATGTGTGAGAGTATGTGAGATAACCTGGATGGGATTAAAAGCAAATTAAACAATGTAGAAGAAAAGATTGGTGAACTAGACATAGCAATGGAATTCATTCAAAATTAAATAGAGTGAGTAAAAAAAGCAGGTCAAAAATAAACAGAACATTGGTGATCTCTGGGACAACTTCAAGTGATATAACCTGTATAATTGGAGTGCCCAAAGGAAAGGAGAGAGATGAGAAGATAAATATTTGAAAAAAAATCAAATTTATTGGAAACTATAAAGATACAGATTCAAAAAGCTCAATGAACTCCAAGCCCAAGAAATGTAAAGAAAAACTGCCTACATTGAGGCACATTATAACCAAATTGGTCAAAGTTAGTTCTAAAGAAAATAGAGAAAAAAGGCATATTGCACACAGATAAAGATAAGGATGGCAACAGATATCTCACTGGAAAAAATACAAGTCAGAATATAGGGCAGCAACATCTTTAAAGTACTTTTTGTAAAAACAGTCAACCTAAAATTACATAAGCATTTTATTTTAAGTAACTTTTTTTCAGATGAACAAAAACTGAAATAAAAAAATCACCAACAGACTTGCACTAGAATAAATATACTGTCTTTCAGGCAGAAGGAACATGATACTAGAAGGAAGTAACAATCTACAAAAAAAAAATGAAGAATATCAGAAATGGTAACTGCATGACCAAATATGGAAGTTTTTTGTTATTACATTAAGTTATTTATGATTGATTGCATCAACAAAAATAAGGACAATGTAATGTAGACTTTATAAAACAAGTAACACTAATTTGTGGAACAATAGCACAAACACTAGGGAAGAAAAAATGTAAGTATACTATTGTAAGATTTTTGTGCTATAGGTGAAGTGATACATCACTTGAAAGTAGATTGTGACAAGTTAAAGAAGTTCAGTGCAGACATTAAAGCAACCATTAAAATAACAAAGCATAAAGTTACAACTAATACATCAACAAAAGGATGAAATAGAATCGTAAGAAATATTTTTAATAAATCCAAAAGAAAAAAAGGAGAAAGGAACAGATAGAACAAAAAGAAAACAAATAGTAAATGAAATATTTACACATAACTATGTCAGTAAGAACATTATTTCAGTGTCCTAAATGCCCCAATTAAAAGGCAGAAGTTATCAGATGATGGGGGAAAAAAGCCAATCATATGCCACTTTCAAGAAATCCACTTTAAATATAATGACATAATTTGGTTCAAGTAAAAAGGTGGATATATGTATATATATATAATGCTAAAGCAAATTTAGCAAAAGGAGGAATGACCATATTAATATCAGACCAAGTTTCAGAGCAAACAGTACTACCATGAATAAAGATGGTCAAAAATGATGAAATGACCAGTTCATCAGGAGGATATAACAATTCTCAACATTTATGTATCTAATAACAGAGCTTCAAAACCTATGAAACAAACACTAGTAGAACTCCAAGGAGATACAGACCAATTCACACTTATCATGAGGAATTTCAATACTCTTTTTAAAATAACAGATGGAACAAATAGAAGTTAGTAGACTTGTGCCACAAAATCAACCTATTTGACCTAATTGACTGCTATAGAAAATTCCACCAAAGAATAGTAAATTATGCATTCTTTTCAGGTGCACGAAGAACATTTAACAAGATAGTCCATACTCTGGGACATAAAACAAGACTCAACATATTTAATAGGATTAGAGATAAAGTAATTTCTCAGACTACATGGAATTAAATTAGAAATCAATAACAGAAATATATTTGTAAAATCACAAAATTTTTGGAAACTAAATAACACATTTGTAAATATCCCATAGATGAAACAAAATATCAAAAGAGACATTAAAATTCTTTTGACTTTAATGAAAATTAAAACTCAATATATTAAAATTTGTTTGTTGCTGCTAAAGCAGTACTTAGGGAGAAATTTATAGCACTAAATGCCAATGTTGGAAATGAAGAAATGCCTAAAAGTAATGGCCTCAGCTTCCAACTGAAGAAACTATAAAAAGGAGAGCAAATTTAAACCAAAATAAGTAGAAGAAAAGAAGCAATAAGAACCAGGAAAAAAAAAATCAATGAGATAGAAAAAAAGAAAAAAGAAAATCCATGAAACCCAAATCTGGTTATTTGAGAAGATCAATAAAATTGATAAACCTGTAGCCAGATTGATGTAAAATATAAAAATAAAAAAGACAGAAGAAACAAATTATCACTATCAGGAATGAAAGGTAACATCGCTGCAGATCCTAAACGTAAATAACATCGCTGCAGATCCTAAACATATTAAAAGAATAATATCAGAATATTATACGTATGTCAATAAATTTGCCAACTTAAGGTGAAGTGGACAAATTCCTTGAAAGATATAAACTCCCAATTCTCACTCAATAAGAAATAGATAACAATCCGAACTTTAAAAACCTTTCCACAATGAAAATTCCAGCTCCAGCCGTCTTTACTGGTGAGTTCTGTCAAGTATTAAGGAAAGGAATAATGCCCATTCCACGCATACTCTTCTGAAAAATAGGAGAAAAGTAACAATTCCAACAAGGTCAGTATTAATCTGATGCAAAAACAAGAGTAGACCACATCTTTCCAAATTGATCTATAGTTCCAATGTTGTTGGAATCAAAATCTCAGCAGGACTTTCTTTTGTAGAAATTAGAAAGCTGATTCTAAGTTAAATGAAAGGATTCAGAATAGCCTAAATAAATTAGAAAAATATTAAACTCACAGAACCTACGCTACTGCTTTTGAGACTTAATATAAAACTACAGTGAAAAAGACAGTGTGGTACCGGTATTGGTATAGGCATAGACACAGATGAATCAAAAGATTACAGAGTTTAGGAATTGCCCAACACATATGTGATCAGTGGATTTTGACAAAGACTCACAAGGCAATTCAATGGTTATCCACATTAGATAAAATGAACCTCAATTCTTACATCACATACTATATAAAACAATCACTCAAACTGATTATAGAACTATGCATAAAACTAAGACCATAACATCTCCATCTTTTAAATAGGAGAAAGTATTTGTGACATTGGGATAGATAAATATTTTCTAAATAGAAAAAGGCATGGATATAAGCAAAATGTGATTAATTAGACTCCAGCAAAATTAAAACCTTTCAACACTGTTTTGTAGTTTTCAGAATATAAGTTTTGTGTTTATAAAATGTATAACTAATCATTTTTATTCTATTATAAATGGAATTGTTTTCTTAATTTCATTCTTGGGTCCTTTATTTTCAGTGTATAGAAACATTTGATTTTAGTATATTGATCTTGTATCCTGCAACCTTACCAAATTTATCAGTCCTAACAGTTTTTTAGCTGATTCCTTGGGACTTTTTATATATAAGATCATATCATTTGTGAATACAGAGTTTACTTATTCCTTTTTGACCTTGATGCCTTTTACTTCTTTTTCTTGCCAAATTGCCGTGGCTAGACCTCTAATACAATACTAAATAGAAGCAGCTTGAGTGAACATCTTTGTCTTGTTTCTGGTCTTAGGGGGAAAGGATCCAGTTTTTTGCCAGTAAGTATGTTAGTTGTGGAATTTTCATTGGTGAACTTTATCAGGTTGAGGAAATTCCCTTCCATTGTAAATAAATGAAAAACATCTCATGTTCATGGATGAAAAAACTTAATATTGTTGTAATGGCAATACTCTCCAGGATGATGTAGAGATTTAAGGCAATCCCTACCAAAATCATAGCTGGCTCCTTTGTAGAAACTGACAAGCTGATCCTAAAATTCATATGGAATTGCAGAAGACCCCAAATATCTACAACAATCTTGAAAAAGAAAAACTTTAAAGAACTCGTGATTCCCAATTTCAAAACTTACTATAAGCAACAGTAATCAAGACAGCATGGTACTGGCATGGATAGACATGCAGATCCATAGAATACAAAAAAAATACATTTGTGGTAAATTTATTTTTGACAAGGATACCAAGACCATTGAATGGGGAAAGAATAGTCTTTTCAACGACTGGTGCAAGGACAACTGGATAGCCACAAGCAAAAGAAGAGAGATGGACTCATCTCCTATCATACACAAAAATTCATTCACAATGGGTCAAAAGCCAAAATGGAAGCACTGACACTATCAAACTCTTAGAAGATACTTCAAGAAAGTGAAAACACCACCCACATAATGGGAAAAAATATTTGCAAACCTCCTATCTCATAAGGGCCTGTATCTAGAATATACTTTTTAAAACTTAAAATTCAACAGTTTTTAAAAATAATTTTAAATGAGCATATAAAATGAATAAACATTTTTCCATAAACAATTTTAAAATGGGCCGGGCATGGTGGCTCATGCCTGTAATCCTAGTATTTTGGGAAGCAAAGGCAGATGGATCACGAGGTCAGGAGTTTAAGACCAGCCTGACCAACATGGTGAAACTCTGTCTCTACTAAAAATGCAAAAATTAGCTGGGCATGGTGGCACGCACCTGTAATCCCAGCTACTCAGGAGGCTGAGGCAGGAGAATCACTTGAACTCAGGAGGTGGAGGTTGCAGTGAGCCAAGGTTGCACCACTGCACTCCAGCCTGGGCAACAGAGCGAGGCTCTGTCTCAAAAAAATAATTTTTTTTAAGTGGTTAGTAAGCACATGAAAAGATGTTCCACAAACAACTATTAGCCAGCTGCAGTGGTGCATGCCTGTAATCCCAGCCACTCAGGAGGCTAAGGCAGAAGGATTGCTTGAGCCCAAGAGATTGAGGCTACAGGAAGCCATGATCGTGCCACTGCACTCCAGCCTGGATGACAGAGAAAGACCCTGTCTCAACAACAACAAAATAATAGTTTTTAAAGTAGCAAGCAGATTACTCTTTTAAAAATATCTTAAGATGTATCTATTCCAAGTAACCACACACACACACAAATGTTCTGAGAGAAAACAAAAGATGATAAAGTCGACAGAGAGTGAAAGACAAAAAAAGAGAAGAAAGCAGAAGAGAATTTTTGAATCAGGGGTTGAAAGAGAGGAGGGAAAAAGATCAGCCTACTTAGCCTCCCAGGAAGTTAGCTAACACTTAGCAAGGGCCTGACAAGTGCCAGAGCAACTCGTTTGATTTTGTCTTTAATTATTTTTAATCGACATGCAATAATTTTACATATTTATGGGCTACAGAGCGATATTTCAATATCTATATCCAGTGCTTAATGATCTAATCAGGGTAAACAATGTATTTATCGCCTCAAACATTTATCATTTCTTTATCTTAGAAACATTCAAAATCCTCTCTCCTCACTCCTTAAACATATACAATAAATTACTGTTAACTATAGTCAACTGTCAACCTACAGCGCTATAGAACACTAGAACTCATTCTTTTTAATCTACCTGTAATCTTGTATCCGTTAACCAACCTTTTCTGATCTTACCCTTTTTCCTAGCCTTCCCAGCCTCTCATAACCATGATTCTACTCTCTACTTAGATGCATTCAACTTTTTTAGCTCCCACATATGAGTAAGAACATGTGGCAATGATCTTTCTGCGCCTGACTTATTTCACTTAACATAATGCCCTCCAGGCTCATCCACATTGCTGGGAATGACAGGATTTCATCTTTCTGTGGCTGAATAGCATTCCAATGTGTATATATACCATATTTTCTTTATTTTTTCATCTAGTGATAGACATTTAGGTTTATTCCGTATCTTGGCTATTGTGGGTAATGCTGCAGTCAACACGGGAGTGCAGGAATCTCTTCAATATACTGATTTCCTTTCCATTAGATAAATACCCAGTATTGGTATGGCTGGATCATATGGTAGTTCTCTTTTTAGTTTTTCTGAGAAAACACCACATTGTTTTCCATAATGGCTTACTAATATACATTCCCACCAAAAGTGTATCAGAGTCTCCTTGTCCGTGCATCCTCACCTGCACTTGCTAATTTTTGTCTTTTTGATAGTAGCCTTTCTACCTGGGATGAATGACATCTCATTATGATTCTGATTTCCATTTTTCTGAGGATTAGTGATTGTATTATTTTTATTGTAATATTGTTATTTTTATTGTGTGTGTTTTTTAAATCTGCAGTTAGTTGAAGCTATGAATGCAGGAACCATGTTAGAGAAGTCCAGCTGTACATTCTAGCACAAAGGAAGGAGAAGGGAAAGGAGCTATATAGGAAAAAAGTTTTTGAATAATGTTTAAATTAGTTGTTATTACTGTGAACTAGAATTGTTATAAATTAAAATGTGTGTTGTAATCCCTAGAGTCACCCCTAAGAAAATAACTCAAAAAATAGAAAAAAAAACAAAACAAAAGAAAATGGTACACTAAAAAGTATCTACTTAACACAAAAGAAGGCAATAATCAAATAACAGAGGAACAAAAAAGACATAAAGTATGTAGGAAACAAATATCAAAATGGCAGGCATAAATCATATCTTATCAGTAATTTTATTAAAAGTTAGTGGATTAAAATCTCCAATTAAAAGGCAGATATTGGTATAACAAAAATTTTTAAATGAGCCAACCATATGCTGTCTTCAAGAGACACACTTTAAATTCAAAGACACAAATAAGCTGAAAATAAAAGGATGAAAAAGATATACTAAAAATAGTAAACAAAAGAGAGCTGGAGTAGCTATGCTAATAGACAAAATAAACCTTAAGGCCAAAATTGTTACTATAAACAAATGATTACATTTTATAATGAAAAAGGATAAATACATCGATTATTATAAACATATATGCATCTAAAAACAGATAAAGTATATGAAGCAAAAACTGACAGACTTGAAGAGAGAAATAGACAACTCAACAATAGATTTGGAGACTTGAATGCCCTCTCAGCAAAAATAAATAAAACAACTAGACAGAAAATAAATAGAAAACTTGAACAGCACTGTCAAACAACTAGACCTAAAAGACACCTGTAGAATATTCCATCCAACGACAGCAGAATATACATTCTTCTCACATGTACATGGAACATTCTCCAGAATAGATCATGTGGTAGGTCATATAGAAAGTATCAATAAATTTAAAATTGTTGAAATCATACAATAGAATGAAGTTCATAAGCAATAACAGAAGAAAATGTGAGAAATTTACAAATATATGGAAATTAAGCAACGCGTTCCTAAACAATGAGTCAAAGAAAAAATAACAAGGGAAATTTAAAAATACTTTGAGGTAATAAAAATAAAATCACAACATGCTAAAACTTTTTGTGGTGCAGATAAAGCATCACTTGAATGAAAATCTATAGCTGTAAATGTCTATATTAAAAAGGAAGATAGCTCTCAAATCAATAACCTAACCTTCTGACCTAAGATAATAGAAAAAGAAGAGCAAACAAAGCCCAATGCAAGCAGGGAAATAAAATAATAAAGATTAAAGCAGAAATAAATGAAATAGAGAGTAAAAACAATAGAGAAAATCAACAATCCCAGAAGCTGATTCTTTGAAAAATATCAACAAGATTGACAAACCTTTAGCTAGACTGGCCAAGATAAAAAAAAAAAAGAGAATGCTCCAATTAGTAGAGTCAAGAATAAAGAGACAACATTACTACCAACCACACAGAAATATAAATGATTATAAGGTAATACTATTAACATTATATGCCAACAAATGAGAAAACCTAGATGAAATGAACAAATTCCTAGAAAGATACCAAAAGGGCTAACGAACAAGAAAAAAAAAAAACCTGTATAGACTCATGAGGAGTCTGTCTGATTCTTGTACATAGAATTGGTGGCCATGGGACTAGGGTGCAGGTAGAACCCCCAATTACACCTACACATCCTTCTCCAGTACACTGAGACAGCTAGATATCAACATGCAAAATAATAAAGTTGGGCCTATACTTCATACTATACACAAAACATAACTCAAAATGGATACAAGACCTAAATATAAGAGCTAAAACTATAAAACTCTTAGAGGAAAGTATAGAAGTACATCTTCATGACCATGGATTATGCAATAGTTTCTGAGATGTGACACCATACAACAAAAGATAAAAGTAGATAAATTGGAATTCATCACAGATTTAAAATATTTGCATTTCAAAAGACACCACTAAGAAAGTGAAAACACAACCCACAGAATGGCTCACTCATACAGTGGGCAGTTGATACTGGCTGTTGGTTTGCAGCTCAACAGAACACACACTTCACCTCTTTGGTTAACTTGGATTTCTCACAGCGTGATAGCTGGGTTTCCAGAGGTATGTCCCAAGAGCATCCAAGAAGCTCAGGGGGAAGCTGCAAGGCTTCTTAGGACTTCAACTAGCAAGCCACATAGCATCTCTTTCACAGTATTCTACTGGTCAAAAGCAAGTGACAAAGTCATTTCAGATCCAAGATGAGGGGACTACACAAAGGTATAAATGCTAGAAGGCAAGGTTAATCGTGGGGAAGAAGAAAGATGTATTTGGAGAAACTGTACCTTGAGAAAACAACTGAATTTTATCTGTACTATATTGTTTTAATCTTTAAAATGAAGAGATGGGTCTAAGTAAATGGATTTTCAATCCTTTAACAATTTCACTGAGGTACAATTTGCATGCTACATAATTCATCCATTTAAAACATACAATTCAACGGTTTTTAGTATATTCACAGGCATATGCAACTATCAACACAATCAATTTTAGGACACTTTCTAAACGTTATCTCAAAAAGAAAACCCATGCCGTCAGCCATCAACCTCTTTTTGTCCAAATACAATATTTGATGAAATTCTTTTACACAGAATGGAGGGCCATGGAGCTGCCATGACTGGGGTGCAGGTAGAACCCCCAAGTTGTGCCTACACATCCTTCCCCAGTGCACCACGAGCAATCTCCAGCTCCTCCTTGGAGTCCTCCAGCTCCACGGAAGGCAATTTGAAAACCACTCATGAGGGCCAAGTCCATTCTTATTCCCTATGATTCTATTCTTTCAATAACAGAATAATCACGAAGAAGTTTAATGTTTAGGATAGTAGTGATCAAAGAGGTTTTGAATGTTCTTGCATTTGTCATGATTAGGGGTTTGACATAAAGAGATGTAGGAAAGGCAGCATGGTTTGTCAAAGCCTAGTGCATCATGTCAGGATGATTCATCTCCAAGAAGCAAAGGATAATGTTGTAGCATCCAAGCCTTTGACACTGTAAAACCTCAAACAAAGAACCAAGCTTTGTGAAGACCAGAAGGTAGAGTTATAGGATCCCCAGGCATGCGGGTGGGGACAGGGAGGGACATTGAATCCCAAAATCTCAAAAATTACAGGAAGGTAGCCAAGTGAAGAGGGAACACCACAATGTTGAGATGAAGATTCAAATATCTAAAATGGATTCAAAAATAAAGCAAATTCCTAGGAAGAATTAATATCCCTGGAACACTGGCATGCAGGCTCCGGTCAGACACCTTCCATCTCTCCCTCCCCAAACATTCTCCCTTCCATCTACTGAGAAGGTGTTTTGCCAAAGCAACATTTAATCCTAAAATAGTTGCCAATGGGGCTCGGCAAAGTGGCTCACACCTGTAATCCCAGCACTTTGGGAGGTTGAGGGAGGCAGATCACTTGAGGTCAGGAGTTCGAGACCAGCCTGGCCAACATGGTGAAACCCTGTCTCTACTAAAAATACAAAAATTAGCCGGGCATGGTGGTGCACATCTGTGGTACCGGCTACTTGAGAGGCTGACACAGAAGAATCGCTTGAACCCAGGAGGCAGAGGTTGCAGTGAGCTGAGGTCATGCCAATGTACTGCAGCCTGGGCAACAGAGCAAGACACCTTCTTTAAAAAAAAAAGAAAAGAAGAAGGAGGAGGAGGAGGAGAAGGGAAGAAAAAAGAAAAGAAGAGAAGAGAAAAGAAAAGAAAAAGAAAAGAAAAGACATAGATGTCAATGGGATGATATCATTGACTTTACACCCCCCATCTCAGCAAGGGGCAAGTACCAGTAATGTCATATTGAATGATATTCTTTGTTTTTAACACCTTGAATTTATAACCAACAGTGGTGGTCAACCTATTCTTCATTCTGAGCTGAAGATTAGAAAGGGACTTCAGAGAGATACCAAGAATCCATGAATTATTCAAAATAAAATTTATGTACACATGCATATTCTTTCCAGTAATTATGATATTGAAAAATATTGCATGGATACTTAATTGTTATATTATGTTCTTCTCAAAAATGTGGAGAAATTCTCCCTCTCACTAGTCCAACATCCCATAGTTTTCTTTTACTAATGTATTTTTTTAATTAACTGTGAACATCCAATGAAATTCCCTTTCTCTGAAAGAAATAACTGAATAATCACTTTCTATTCATAAAAATCAACTCATATAAGAGTTGGACAAAAGGTGTTGGATTTGTGGCATAGTGTACCAGCGAGGGGCTCTGTTGTGGTGGCTTTTCCTCCAGCACCTGGGAGCTGAGTGTGCTCTGGAAGGAGGAACAGGAGGGAGCCAGTGGCTGCCTCTTGACCCGGCCTCTTGGCCACCTTTCTGCCTCATGCTGTCTAAAGCTACAGGACTTGACAATTTGATTGGAGCCTCCATGTTCCTTGTTCAGATTTCCTGATGTTTATTCCCTCTCAGTGGCCTTTGTGAAGCTGTCAGTGTCTACCTCTCATAAAAATGGTGGCAATTCTTGAGACAGCGTGTTTCCTCATGACCTGCAGCTCTGATTCAAACCATGGGTTCCCTCAAACTTGCTTCCATCTCATTCCTCCACTGGCTGTTACCTGCTGTGTCTCAGTCACACCTCATTGCTCCCGTGTTGGGTGCGCAGTGAAAGGTGTGTCCCATTCCCCACACTCCTCGCACAGGCACCTAATGAGATTTGCTTCTCCTTAAGCTAAGTGGAAAAGGAGATGCTCATTTGGACCACAGATTTTCACCCGGTTTTTACAAAATCTTCAAGTCATTTTTTCCCTGGGACATGAAATCTACTTCCCTACATAGCCAAAACACTTCTAATAAACATATATTCCTTCTTATTTCTTGGAAGCAAATTAAGCCATTCCAGTACATCAGCGAGGATCAGTATGGTGCCAAGTACCTCACACAGCCACAGAGAGGCGAGCCGTGTCTCAGGAACACTGTGCAGATCTCCTGAAGACTTTGCCTTTGGCTATGGAAAAAGAGCATGTCATCTACTTACACAATATATGCTTGCTTCTTGACTGATAACTAGTTTTCTGTGGCAACTTTCCAGGTTGAACTCATGGGTTTTTGATCTATAAATGCAGAAGACATGTTTCAGAATTCCAATTCTTTGAGAAGTCGGAGGCCTGAAGAGGATCATGTGATTATGCACACTCCTCTCCATCTGCCTATCTGGGGCATTGTCTCAACCCAAACCCCCATTGTCCAGATGCCCCTTACCACATTTCAGGTAAGCCCGTCACCCCAGTGCCTGTCAGGACCTGGTGCCTGGACAGGGCTGCTTCTGCTGTGTCCTGCAGGCCTGAGGAATGCACATGTCTGGAATTCTTCTCCATCTTGGGATATTTCTATCCACCCATTAATTCCAGCTTCCTGTTACTACCTGGGATTAAGCCACAGTGGGAAGCAACTCTTTTGGCAGCTTGATTTTCAACTTCAGTTCAGTTTCCCCAAGTTCCTGATGTACATTAACCAATATCACACTTGACATTCATCTATTTTGGAACAATGATTTGAATTGAAAGCTCTCATCTCAAACATAAACAACTGTAGAATATGTTTCCGTGTAAGTCTTCTGAGAAATTATCTGATTTTGCTGCAGCAGTCCTTGATTTAAAATAATACTGGTGCGAGACAGAACCAATCAGTAGACTCTCCTGACATAAGCTAAACATCTTTACTCCCTAAAATAGAATTATGTATGATGTGGAAATGTATTGGAGCGAAATTATTCCTGAGTATAACAATGACAATGCAATTTCCTGGATTTATGATGGGTGCTTTGGGAATTGTATAAGTGGCCTAAAAGAGTTAATGTCCCTCCCAAAGTGCTTTATTTTAATGTTTGGGAAGTTTATAATCTAGTATACTACATTGCTTTCCAGAAATACCTCATCATTACAAGCCTCCATCCATAAAAAATATTTGCCTTTATGGATGAAGATGCTCTCTCAACCAAAATATTAAATACGGCAAGTTTGCAACTTCCTAAATCCAATCACTAAAAATTTACAGTTCTCACATTAGCACAATAATAAAAACAACATATGTGGATATCCACCACCATTCTGGCCAAACGGCCATTTCAATGGTTGGTTGAACAAGGAGAAATTGCATTTTTCTTCCACCCAAGCTGCCTTCTCTGCCATTCGCAGCCTGTCTCTGTATAGTGTCACTATCAACCCACCATCAGCAAGGTGCAAGGAAACTGGGAAAGTGACAGAAAGATGACAAATTGCCCATGAAAATTACTAGGACAAAAGATCAGGTCTTCACTAAGGATGAACACAGCTTTGTGGGAGTGTTTAGCCGTCAGATCAGAAATTTGGAATTGGACAGGTCAGGAGAGAAGAAAAAAAGATTACTGCAATAATTTGGGGAAACCTTCTTGAGGGAGCAAAGACGACTTAAATTGGATATGCTAAACAGAATTTTCGCTACTAATTTCTGAATGAAAAGATGCTACTTTTCCAGAAGAAAGACAAATATTTGTGTTCAAATGATACTCATAAACTGTTCCCTGAACATGCTTCCATAAATCATCTCCTGCCCATGCATCACAGCCTTTGAAACCATTGAAGGTATTCTGGGAGCAACATGCCTCCACCCTCCCCTCGGGCACCATAAATATAGTCCATTATCAGCCAGCAACAGCGATTCCAAATCTGAGGCCCCAGAAGTTGGAGACCGGACTAAGTGCAGAATAGGATCCAAGCTCAGACGTTCCTTGAAAAGTTTTGACTCCAGCTCTTCTGACTTCTTGAGCCTGCCAACTTGGAATGGAAACCTCTTGAGAACATGTTTTCTTACAAAATTCAAAAAGAGCTTTGCTATGAGCCAACAGCTGCAAATGCCGTGAGAGCAGGCACTCTTGGAGATCTGATTTCTTACAGCATTTTGGCACCTCTGGTTCGGCTCCTGGCAGGCAACCAGAAGCTGGAGAGGTAATAAAACATGGTATGCTCCCAGGACAGCTCTGGGCTAGGCTCCTTTCCGGAGAGAGGATGGTTCATGCCAGGAGAAGGGCTGGGCCCCATGCTTTTGCTGCTCTCAGTGGAAGGGACACAAGCACCATCTCTGGAGGGGTGCACTGACACCAACACAGTGTTTTTCCTGGTGACAGGCACCAGGGCAGCTTCCTTTGTTAGGTCAGTCAGTGCACACTGGGTTTCTGGATAGCCCTGGCCCTGAACAAATTTAGGAACACAAGTGATTGTAGAGGCAGCCACTGCAAACAAGAGCTTAATATACTAGCTTCAATCCTAAAGCAATTTTTAAGCAGTAGTAGTCTATTCCCCAGTCATTTCTAAAATAACTGGAAATAACTAGGCCAATTAGATTTCAGTACCTATGGTTCTTGGTGTGTTTATATTTCCCTTCTTTTTACC
Organism: Homo sapiens; assembly: GCF_000001405.40. Lineage (NCBI taxonomy): Eukaryota > Metazoa > Chordata > Mammalia > Primates > Hominidae > Homo > Homo sapiens. The sequence continues at coordinate 128,337,551 of NC_000010.11, read as the reverse complement.
AGCTTCGTTCTAATACTCCTTCTTCATCATTTTCTCTTAGTAGAACAAAGGGACAAGATGCTAAGGAGCCAAGTTTACAAATGTGGAAGAGGTGATTCTATTCCCACTGCCGGTACAGACTCTATTTCTGCCCCTCAAGTGTGTGTCCAGAAGGCATAGAGTATTGGAATGTCCTTCAAGAAGGAAACAAAGCAAATGGCATCTGCAACACTAACTCCAGTGGAGGAAAAGAATCTCACTACTCAGGCCAGTATATTTTCCTCCCTGTCAAAACAACTACACCTCAACTATCATCCATCAACTTCTCTATTATCCTCCCTGGTTATGAAAATTAGTGCCTGTTAAACTCTAGATTACAGACAGAAATAGCCAAGCTCAAATTTTCTGACAGCCAATGTATGACTACCCACCAGAAGGACCCACGCAGATCCAGGGGACGACGGTGTGTGATCAAACACCATGGTCCTGCAAAGTGCCCCAATCCACGTGAGAGTGCATTATGAAGACTTTACTGTGGACAAAGCAACTTGGGCCAAGTTAAGGCGTGAAGCCACACTGGCACTTGGCCCATTGAAGGCACTTGGAGTGGCCAGATAAAATGCAGGATGACCAGTGAAATTAGAATTTCAGAAAAACAATGCATCATTTTTAGAATGAGTATATCGCATGCAATATTTGGGACATATACTAAAAAGTTAGTTGTTCTTCTGAAATCAAATATAACTGGGCATTCTGTATTTTATTTGTGGAATCCGGTCATCCTAATTTGGAGTTTCTGTTGCTGGTGAAGCAGCCAATTGCATTCACTCCCAGACCCATGAAACCACGTTGGGAGCCAAAGCAAGCCCCTAGGACTGAGCAGGGTGCTAGAGAGACGCAGCAGGAATTTCTCTTCCAACGCCTCCTCACCCACATCCACTCCCAAGGACCTCAGTGAGATGCTCCATGACTTGCAAGCAGCTTTCTCAGGAAATTAAGCCAAGATGCCTGAAGACTGAGAAGGAAAATAGATCCAGCTTGAAAAGAACAAGTTAGACTTTAAATAAGGAAATGTTATTAACTGAAAGCCGAGAGACTGGAAACCACCACCTTTTCGGAATGACTAGAGGGAAAGAAGTATCTCATAACAGAAAAAAATAAAGAGCAAGAGGCAGAGGGAGACGAAGACATCGAGCCTTCCTGGAGCCCTTGCTTTGATCCCTCCACTTCTCCACGGCTTAGAAAGACCCTTCAGATGGGCATTGTGTAGCAAGGCCTGTACCCTTCCCTTATAGAGCTTTTAAAACTCTTTTATTATGATTATTACTATGATTTGTATATAAGGAACACAGTGTCATTGCATAAACTTAGAGAACTTCAAAAAGAAGAAAATAAAAATTACTCACATTCCTGAGATTAAAAGATAACCGCTGTATATCCTTCCATCATTTATCTCGGCATATATACAATTTTTACAGCATTGGAATTATAAAGCATATAACATTTTGTAACCTACTTTTATCACTTAATATATTGTGAATGTTATTGCATATGCTTAAATAGTTTCTGAGAATATAATTTTTAATGACTACTTAGTATTCCATTGCTTTTAATGGACCACAATTTATTTAACCCATTTTCTCTCATTGGATATTACTGCTATTGCCCATTTTTCACCATTAGAGAGAGCACCACACAGTCTCCTCATACGTATAGCTCTTTAGGATTCTCTAATTATTTACTTGAGAAAAATACCTGGAAGTGAGACTCTTGGGTCATAAGGTGTGAATATTGTTAAGGTTTTAATTCATACTGCCAATGTATCCTCCAGAAAATCTTATACACAATATATAAGAGTTGCTGTTTTCCCATAACCTTGCCAACACTGGGCATTGCCTCTTTCAAAAATCTTTACTATATTGATCAGCCAAAAATCTTTCTCATTATTTAAAATTTCATTTGCTCAGTTCTAATGGAAAGAACATTTCTTCAAATGTTAGCTGAGCGTTTGTGGTTCTTATTTAATGAATGCTTTTTTCACATTCTTTAGGCATTTTTCAAAACTTTTGCCAAATTATAATGGTTTTTATGTATTACAGATAATAATCGTTTACATATGCTACAATGTGTTCCCATTGTTGGAACTGTTAGGATCAGTTAGGGTGTAATTTGGTGTTAAGAATTTTCAAATGTTTATGTAGACAAGTTTTTATCATTTTTCTTTGTGATATCCTTGAGCTTCCTCCCCTGCCTTGATGCCAGATAAACATGCACCTGTTACTGTTGAGTTCTTCCAGGTCTCTTACACGTGCCCCTTTTGTCTGCTGAAATGAATTTTCATCTAGGACTGATAATGGGATTTTTTTCCAAATAATTAACCTGCTTTTTTTGTTTTCTTTTGAGACAGAGTTTCACTCTGTTGCCCAGGCTGGAGTACAGTGGCACAATCTCTTCTCACTGCAACCTCTGCCTCCTGGGTTCAAGCAATTTTCTTGCCTCAGCCTCCCAAGTAGCTGAGATTACAGGTGCCCACCATCACGCCTGGCTAATTTGTTTTATTTTTTTCTTTTTAGTAGAGACACGGTTTCACCATGTTGGCCAGGCTGGTCTCGAACTCCTGACCTCAAGTGATCCACCCGTCTTGGCATCCCAAAGTGCTGGGATTACAGGCATGAGCCACTGCACCCTATCAAACCTGCTATCTTAAAATCATCCACTGAAGAACTATTTTCTCCATGGATTTAAAATGCCACATTTATCATAGCCGAGTGGGGCATCAGGTGCCTCTGACACTCTCCATGTTCCCCCTCATCTGCCTGTCTAATCTCGCACCTACACCCCATCCTGTAACCATTAAAGCTGTGGAACTCTTCTTAGTAACAGGCATACCTTGGAGATGTTGTGGGTTCCATTCCAGACAATTGCAACAAAGCGAATGTCTCAGTACAGTGAGAATAGAAGGGGAGGGAAGAGGAGGGGATGTAAATCTTTTGGTTTCCCAGTGCCTCACGAAAGCTATTTTTATACCATGCATACTATTAAGTGTGCATGAGAATTGTATATAAAAAAATGTAATGTACATAGCTTAATTTTAAAATACTTTATTGCTAAAAAGTGTTAAGGATCACCTGATCTTTCCTGAGTCATCATCTTGTTGCTGGTGGAGGGTGTTGCCTTGATGTGCATGACTGTGAAGTCATCAGGGTGGTGGTTACTGAAGGTTGGGGTGGCTGTGGCAATTTCTTAAAATAAGACAACAACGAAATTTGCCACATTGATCGACTCTTCCTTTTATGAAAAATCTCTCTGTAACATTTGATGCTTTTTGATGGCATTTACCCACAGTAGAACTTCTTTTAAAAACAGAATTGGCCAGGCACAGGGGCTCACACCTGTAATCCCAGCACTTTGGGAGGCCAAGGCAGGCGGATCATGAGGTCAGGAGATCAAGACCATCCTGGCCAACATGGTAAAACCCTGTCTCTACTAAGAATACAAAAATTAACTGGGTGTGGTGGCGCACGCCTGTAGTCCCAGCTACTTGGGAGGCTGAGGCACAGAATTGCTTGAATCCAGGAGGCAGAGGTTGCAGCGAGCCAAGACTGCACCTCTGCACTCACTCCAGTGTGGTGACAGAGCAAGACTCTGTCAAAAACAAAACAAAACAAAACAAAAAAACCCTCTTATAACCTGCCATTGCTTTATCAACTCATTTTATGTGATAGTCTATATCCTTTGTTTTCATTTCAATAGTGTTCATAGCATCTTCACCAGGAGTATATTCTATCCCAAGAAACCACTTCCTTTGCTCTTCCATAAGAAGCAACTCCTCATCCACTCAAGTGTATCTTGAGATTGCAGCAATTCAGTCACATCTTCAGGCTCAACTTTCTAATTCTAGTTCTTCTTCTATTTCCACCACATCTGCAATTACTTCCCCCAGTGAAGTCTTGAACTCCTCAAAGTCATCCATGAGGGTTGGAATCAACTTCTTCTAAACTCCTGATAATATTGATATTTTAATCTTCTGAATTATGAATGTTCTTGATGGCATCTAGAATGGTAAATCCTTTCTAAGTTTTCAATTTACTTTGCCCAGATCCATCATAAGAATCACTATCTGTGGCAGCTACAGCCTTATGAAATGTATTTCCTAAATAATAAGACTTGAAAGTCAAAATTACTCCTTGATACATTGGCTGCAGAATGGATCTTGTGTTAGCAGGCAGGGAACCAACATTCATGTCCTTGTACATTTCCAACAGAGCTTTAGGGTGGCCAGACGCATTGTCAATGAGCAGTAATATTTTGAAAGGAATCTTTTGTGTGTGTGTGTACAGTAGATCTCAAAAATGGGCTTTAAATATTCAGCAAACCATGCTGTAAACAGATGTGCTGTCATCTAGGCTTTGTTGTCCTATTTATAGAGCACAGACAGAATAGATTCAGCTTAATTCTTAAGGGCTCTAGGATTTTTAGAATGGTAAAGGATCATTGGCTTCAACTTAAAGTCACCAGATACATTAGCCCCTATTAAAAGAGTCAGCCTGCCCTTTGAAGCTTTGAAGCCAGCCATTGACTTCTCTGTAGCTATGGAAGTCCTAGAGGGCACCTTCTAAAGGCTGTTATGTCTATATTGAAAACCTGTTATTTAAAGCAGCCACCCCAGCAATCTTAGCTAGATCTTCCAGATAACTTGTTGCAGCTTCTCCATCAGCACTTGCTGTTTTGCCTTGCACTTTTATGTTATGGCGATGGCTTCTTTTCTTAAATCTCATGAACCAACCTTTCCTACAGGCTTCAAACTTTTCTTCTGCAGCTTCTTTACCCTCTCAACCTTCATAGAATTGAAGAGAGTTAGGGTCTAATGGTGCATTAGGCTTTGACTTAAGAGAATGTTGTGGCTGGATTGATCTTCTATCCAGACCACTCAAACTTTCTCCATATCAGCAATAAGGTTGTTTCACTTTCTTATCATGTGTGTGTTCACTGGAGTAGCACTTTTAATTTCCTTCAACTTATATTTTCCTTTGCATTGACAATTTGGCTAAGTTTAGCACAAGAGGCCTGACTTTCAGCCTAAGTGATCTTTTAACACATCTTACTCATTTCTAACTTTTGATTTAAAATGTGAGATATTCAACTCTTCCTTTCACTTGAACACTTACAGGCCATTGTAGGATTATCATTTAGTCTAATTTCAATCTAATTGCATGTTAGGGAAGCCCAAAAGGAGGGAGAGACAAAAGAATGGCTGATCAATGGAGCAGTCACAACACATACAACATTTATCAATTAAGTTCTTTGCTTTACATGGGTGCAGTTCATGACACCCCAGAATAATTATAAGAGTTTCATTAAAGATCACTGATCACAAGTCATCATAACAGATTTAATAGCAATGAAAAAGTTTGAAATATTGCAAGCATCACCAAAACGTAACACAGAGATAGGAAGCGAGCACATGCTGTTGGAAAAAAATGGCACCAATAGACTTGCTCCATGCAGGGTGGCCACAAACCTTCCATTTGTTAAAAAAAAAAAAAAAAAAGCAATATCTGCAAAGCCCAGTAAAATGAGATTTCCTTGCCCTCTCCACTGTTCTCCTCCTCTGTTAGGAATCAACCTTTTTGCTATTCTTCTACAGCAGGCTGAAGTCAATCCCAAATCTGAATTGTGATTGGAATTGCCCTGATACAAGTTACATTGCGCATATTTGACCTCTGTGCATTATTCGGAACCAAGGGCTATATCTCTATTTATTCAATACTTCCTTGACACCTCTCAAGACCTGCTGTTCTTTTCTTCACATGGGTCCCTGGTATATCTTACTGGGTTTACTCCTAGAATTTAGTGTCCTACATTGATCTTGTGGATTGAAAATCTTTTATCTTCTCATTTTCCAGCTAATTATTAATGGAAGATAAGAAAATTTTTGATTTGTGCATGCTACTTTTCTTTAAAAAGTAACTGTTAACTACTTTCTTTAAAATATTCTCTTAGAATTTATAGATATAGTTGCAGTTTTTTTTATCTATTCCTTAATTTTATTTCTCCTTCCTACCTTACCACACTTGCTAGAACTTTCAGAACAATGATCATAATGATGGCGATTGTAGCATCCTTACCCCGATCTTGATATTAACTGCAGAGCCTTTGGAGGATCTTCATTAAATGCGATGTAGCTGCTGATTTTCTATTGTTGTTGTTTTTTTTTTTTTATGTCAAGGAACTGTTCTCCTATTCCTAACTTATTAAGTTTTTATTAGAAATTGATGTTGAATTTTATCAGATGCCTTCTGGAAATCTATTGAGGTTTTCTTTCTTTTAATCTATGGATGTGATATATTTTATTAATAGATTTCTGAATATTAAAACATTATTATATTCCTAGAATAGACCTATATGGTATATGAAAATGTTGTTTTCTACTTGGTATTTGCTATATATTATTTAGGACTTTTCGGTTTTTGATTCAACAGCTGTGGACACATCTCACCAGGAGCCAGTGCCACCCACTAGTCTTACTTCATCCTCCAGGGAGCTGGGTCTGGAGTTTTCCTACACTTTTTCAAATTGTAGATTCAAGCCTCAGATCGTTCTGTGAAATGTACCAGGAAGCATTCTCTCTCAGTGGTTTGCAGTCATTCATATAGCAGGGTAATTATAAGTTCTTACAAGAGAAATCCTTCACTTCCAAACTCTGAAGGATTCTAAAATTAATCTGGAAGACCAAAATACTGAACATAGAGGGATTGACACAAGAGATTAATATGAAACTATTGCAAAACTATAACTATTAAACCTAAGACAACTTTTGAAATTTTTCTCCATGGTTATTACCCTGTAGAAATACGTGAAAATTTACATTTCCTTCGGAAAAATATTCAATTTCATTGATAGTTTATTACCACTAAGTTTTAATATACAGCATTTCTTTATAGTTTTTATCACCATTATTTATAGTTTTATTAATTATATTCTCTTCTTTTCCTTTATTTCCTCAATCATGGTTATTAAATTCCTCATTTCTCCATATTTACAGTTTTTTCTTTTTTTCCCAAATGGATCTTTCATTGGTTAAATTTTTAAGGTGTATTTGTTTGTTTTTAAAGTTCTTGAATTTATCAAGTTTACTGTTTCCATGTTTTGGTTCATAAATTTCTCTTTTGTAGTCTTTATTATTTTTTAAATATCCTTGAACTTAATATCTTGGATTTTCTAAAACTATAAAAATAAGTGGTTATTAGAGGTTTTTATTGTTGTTTATTCTTATTTATTAACAAATATATTTAATCTGATGTGTTTGACTCTGAAATGACTTTGGGCTTCATCTTTAAATTTTATATGTCTTTGTTTTTTAAGTAGCCTTGAATTAGAGACTTTATTTAATCTAATACTAGGGGAGTATTATTTTAATTTTTAAGCATATTACAGTTGGTGGTACATTTTTGTTACTAAAATGTGTGTCCATTTTGTAGCTACAAATATGGTCTGTACAGTTTGTTACTTAAGAGATTTCATTACGTTTTTCTTTATCATTAAGACATTTTGATCATCAATTTTTACAAACATATTATGGACATTATCCCCATTCTTTGGATGGTACAAAGTTCACTACCCCTTATTAAACACAAATCAGCTCTATTTATTATATTTTGTTCAGTTTTTTATCTCTCTGTTTAATTTTGTTAATTCATCTTGTCCTGTACTGACTGTGGCATATGAAAATTACTCACTGGATTAATCACGTTTTTGTCAATTTCTTCTTATATTTTTACTTTTACTTTACATATTCCTATAATTATATTTCACACATAGGGGTTTATTATTCATATATATATTCGTGGTGCATTTTGCTTTTTGTCTATATGAAAATCATTGAAACTGTTTCAACTCTTAATTTGATATTTCTTCTACTTTTCAGTTACTTGTATTTACTTGACATGTCTTTGTCCAACCCCTATTTTCCAATCTTTCTTTTTATTTTATATGCATGTCTTTTTATTTTATATGCATGTCTTTTTATCTTATATGCATCTTTTGTCAACAGACTTTAATTCAACTCTGCTTTTCAATCAAGCCTGCAAGTCTGTCATTTGAGGAATTTGGCCTCTTCACATTTATCACTGGACTTACTTCTATTGTCCCTTATTTTTTAATACGTTCTTGTTGCTTCCCTTTATTCATCTTTTATTAAAGAATTGTTTCCTTAGCTCTTTTTTCTTTTGGTAATTTTCAAAGAGTAACTCCTGTTTTTATTCCACATGTGGTTATTTTTACATCCCTTTTTATAACCACATTTTTTTTTAGTTACCATTAACACTGTGATATTACCCAATGTCTCTTCCCAAGGAAAACAAAAGTTTAACGCACATTTACTTTTTATTTCCCTATCTCATTTGCCAACTTTTGTTTTTATTATCTAATAGCTAGAGTAGATAATTAATACTGAATTATTTGCATAACTTAAGCATTTAGATCTTAATAATTATATTTTGTACTTGGGTTGTTTTTTAATTACATAAGCTAAAGTTACTTCAACTCTACATACTTTGCTGGTTTTGCTGTTTACCTCTTTTTTTTTATGCTATGACTTCCCCATCCTTCCATAGCTGGCTGCAGGGTGTCTTCAATAAATTTTTAAAGAAGGGTACACGAGTGTCATATTTTTGAGGTTCTTTGCATATCTGAGAATGTCCTTTGCTGTAGCCAATTCTAATCAATATACACATAATGTGCACCTTCCATATGTCTGGCACCTTGCTAGATCCAAGGAAGAGAGAATTAATGAGACAGCACAAATCTTTGCAGTCCTTACCTTATGGAGTTTGCAGACTAACTGGATGCTACCTAAAAATGGCACATTGTCAGGGTAGAGAAGACTTGCATCAAAATATCGTTCTAAAAAAAACTCTGGAAACACTTATTCATTGTTGTCTAGTCTTTATTATTGCAGAAAAATCTACCCACTATCCAATTTGTCTCAAGGTACAGATGATCGCGGGAGATGGGGGAATACTGGAATTGAATTTTTTTTCAGGTACAATGTTCAGGTAAATAACAAAGTAAACAAAACCATTCATAATCTCAAGCAGAACAGACTACGAGCTCTGTGTTCCAATAAAAGTGAAAATGGATTTGGTCTTTTTGTAGGTAGAAGAAACTCATAACGGTTTGAGTTTTACTTCTTTTTAGGTTGATTGTTTTTTAGCCTACATGCATACTTCTTTTCAACATTAAAATTCAACTTCCATTGATTGTGTTTGGTACTCATAAAGCCCTTTTTATTCCTTGGAGATAACATTGGCTTCTCCGTTCACTGCACTCTCTTCTTCAGGAATTCCCATTATACATATATTGGATCTCTTGACCTTCCAGGTCTCCTGCTTTTTTTTTTTTTATCATTTTATTTATTTGTCCCTTTTCTCTGAGCTTCTCTATATTCTCAGGTTTATCTTCCATGTCAATGAATCAATTGTCTACAATTAACTGCCCACATTGCAGTTTAAATTTATTAATTATTTGTAAATAGCCTTTGAGGGTCTTGCTTTTTCCCCTGCAAAAAACAAAAACGAAACAACAACAACAAAAAAAAAACCCAGTTCTGATTTCATAGGTGCAGTGTCACCCTAAATTTTGTGAAAAATAGAAAAGAGGAACTTTCTAGAATTTTCTATTTCTTGCTACTACCTCATTTCATAGACAGACATTTGTTCTGAGTCCTTAAAACTTCTGATTGTCATAAGTCATAAGTCACCATTCTTTGCTTATCTTTATAAAGAAAGGTTTCTTTTGCCCGGTTTTTGAGTTATCATGGTTTCTGTAACTAGATCAATATTTCAGGCAGAGACTAAAGGATATAGGAAAAGTTCAGAGCTCTGCACTTGCTCTGTGAGATTGATTGCCCAGCAATGTGGCTGGGGAGGAAGCAGGGTCAGGGCCCTTCTGTGGAGGTGCTCTCCTCTGTCTGAGAGTGTCTCTCCACACTTCTGGGAGCAGAGTTTCCTTTCTCTGCAAGGTATGGCTGCTGGCAGGGTCGAGATGTGCTCTCCTGCCACCTCGGTCCCCGACCCAGCCCTTCTAGCTAGGGAACAACACTGCAGGTCTATGGGGTCTTTCCTAGAGAGTTCTCAAATGCACTTTCCTTCTTTGATGGGAAGACATGGTTAGGGTCGGTCCTGAATTTCCTGTTCTGGGGATGCTACTGTAGGGTGCAGCTCCAACTTTGGGTTTTCACTACTTTCTCATGTCTCTAGTCCTTTCCATGGGAAGCTTGGTAGTAAGGATGGGGAGAGATGGCAACCATGAGCCCACCAAAGGCACCAGGGCCCAAACCCACCTGAGAATGAGGAGGAAGGGCCAGGTTGGCGGGGAGAGGAAGTGCCTCGCCACCCGCTGCTGCCCCCAGTATGTAAGAGAGGCTGCTGCTCCTCAGCCCTAGGAGGGTCCTGAGCCCACCCAGCCCAGCACAGGGGAAGAAGGGCCCCGTGGGCAACGTGGCCCAGCTCTCCTAAAGGAGCTGACCTGTGGGGCCTGAGCAGGACAGCTGACTCCAGCCTCTGCCACTGAGACCATTACTGCTTCCAGTATCCACTGGGGCCCAAGTTCCCCAGCTTGGAAGGAAGGAGGGTGGGAGTGACCAGGCTCCCCGGCCACACCTTCCGGCGCGACTGGGGACCCCAGCACTCATCGCAGCTCCCCCAGCCCAGCTCGCTACAACAACATTTTCCCTGTCTCTGTAGGGAGAGCTGGTGATTCTTTCATTAAGAAACATTTTTACGTTGGCCTGTCTGACTCAAGGAGCAACAGAAGGCAAAGACTAGCGATTTTCACATCACGGTGAAAATAAAATTTCCTCTAGACAAGTCAACAAAAACACCCTGAGAGCAGGAAGGTAAATATGTACTTTCTCCTTGTCCTTTCTCATTTTCCCCTTTTGTGTGTTAAGAAGCCCCTGTTTTGCGTGGCTGGCAGGAAGACGTTGCGTGGGAACGCCTGCAAATCTGCAGGACCCGGAGAGTGGGGGCAGCGGCATTCCTGATCTCACTCCTATCGATCGCCTCTAATGAGCGCCCGTGCAGCTGCGGCTAATGGTGGTGCGTCTGGTGTTAAGGGCAAGTGTGGGAGAAGATTATCAACCCAAGGGGCTTCACAGTTGCCGGACGGCCCAGAGCCCTCGGGGCGAGGATGCACTTGAGAGGTCACTGAATCAAATGAGGGAAGATTCAGTGCCTGCCGCCGGAAGAAATGCAGCAGGACTGGATTTTTTTTTTCCAGCAGAGTCTACAGGCATCAACAAAACCGTTACCTTCTGCTAGTCATTAGTCCCTGACCCTTTGCCGGATAAGAAGGCTCCTACCGGAGCCGCCTCGTCCTAATTATGACTCATCAGACGGCAGCAATCCTACCCAATTAGTGGGGCTTAAGCGAGGGGCACTTGATGGAACAAGGGTCCGAGCCCCGTGTGAACCAGGGAAGCCTGAAGGCCTGATCCAATGCCCTCCACCCTGAGTCTGCTCTTACCTGGGGGGCCAGCCTGCCATTTGATCTGATGCGCTTGATATTTCATTCACTGTGTTGCTCGCCACCCCCCTCGGAGATCTGACAGGGGCCAGATGAGTGGCCATAAGAGGTGCTGAGGCCAGTGGCCTTCAAGGGACAGCTAACCGGCAGATCCCATAGAATGCTTGCAGTCAAATGTCAGTACAGAAAGGGAGCCACAGGTATTAGACAAGATAAAAAAAAATGACTGTCAAATGCCTTCGGGGGTCAGGCATGTTGCACATTCTGAACTTTAATAGCATAATGGAGTAATTGCAGCTGGGAAAAGAACTCAGACCCAGCAGGAAGGGCGAGCGCACTGAGGCTGGGAAACGCAGGCGGCAGGGAGGGGGCAGGGAGTGACAACGCATGTCCCCTGCTTTGCAGAAATGCCCAAACCACTATTTACTTTAACGCTGTAAATAAGCAATTTAAATATTATCCTAGTTCCATGATAAGTAACATGGTAACATGATACCCTGCGGTTATAACAAATTATTTATGAGGTTTTTTAAAATTCTAAGGCAGCATCTTTGTAACCGGCAGATTCACATTGGGTCAGATCATTAAAAATATGGGTGTGGATTGGCCCCGCCGCGCGAGGGAACATTGATCTCTGAAACACGACTGACAACCACATTCTCTTTGTCAGCTTTTTCTACAGGAGCGGAAAGGTCTTTAAAAGTGGTCACCCCACAAAAACGCCACACACACCAAAAACCCACCCTGTATGCTTCCAGCCCCTCTTCACATGTTTAGCAGAAGGAGAGATAAAGAACCCAAAACACCTGGGCTGGTTGACCGAGAAGCCCCTTCAGCTGTAAGCCCTGGTGTGTGCACATTCAAAATCATGCTGGTGTTTGTTTCCAGGGCCCCTGCAAGGCAGGTTGGGGAGCATCGAGTTTAGTAAAGACCATGATCAACTTTCTCAGGACCCAACATCATGAAGGGCATTAACCTTTATCGATGGTGCGTAAAAGATAGTGGGGGCTGAGCTGGCCATTATTAATGAAGATGAGCCTTCTTATGAATATATTAATTAAATTTTTATTTCTTAATAAGATCCTTACATATCTAGCTTAGGAGCCCTTTCTTTAGCTCAATGTAAGATACCACTGAACTTACCAAGAAACAGAAGCAGGGACTCCCGACCTCAGAGGTTCGGACAAAGTCAGAGAATATTGTGGGCCAGCACGTCTGTGATTAGGAAGCAAGCATGAGAGACAAGCAGGGCTATGGATGCTCACAAGGGGAGTCCTGGGTGCTGAGATGATCAGGGAGGACAAGCGGTGAGCACGTGGGCAAAGCAGAACAGGCTTAGGAGCAGGCAGAGGCTGGGAAAGCCTCCAAGTGCTAGCACAGAACAAGCTGAGGTGTGGGGCCAGGAGCACTTGAGGAGGGCATTAGATAGTACGTAGAGGGTGTTCCCAAACATACCAACAAAGATCACACACCCACAGAGCAGGACGGATCAAATATGGAAAGAAAAACCCATGACTGAGCTCTTTAGTATGTGTGTTTTTCTTTATTTGTAAGCTTTCTATAATGCACATATATTACTCTTAGAATGAGAAATATAAGTTTATGCAAAAAACAACGCAAACTGTGAATGCGCACATTCAGCTGCATAGAAGAACAAGTGTGAGGTCAAGAGGCGGCTGCGGCCAGAGGTCGGAGGCCTGGAGAGTCAGAAGTCAGAGGGAGGAGTCATAGCACAGCCACAGGCTTTCCCAGAGGCAGGCTCAGCATTGCATGGGTCAGGGAGCCCCCACGTGGCAAGGCTCTGAGTCTTGTCCTATTGTAGATCCAGCTTATTCCAAAGCTGCTACCCCGTGGCTGCCGCTGAGTGACATGGGCTCTGTCTACCCTGCTGCAGAGAGCAGGGACACAAATGACCATTGAAAAGGATGAAGTTGGTGGCATGTGCGGTGATTCTAATCAACATGTGGCAAGCGGAAGTCAGGTTCAGGTTTGTGGTCTATGCGGAGCATCTCCACATGCCTAGTGCTGAGCTGGGCATGGGAGCTCATGGGGTGGGGAGTGGGGGCTGCAGGAGTGCGAGGCCAGATCTCTGCCCTCAGGTGCCTGAACTGTCTGGGGAAATTTGCATTCTCCACGCTCCTTCTGGTGCAATGAGCCAGGTAAACCCCCTTGTTGGTCCAAATCTATGATACAAAGCCCCACTGGGCAACTAGATTCTCATCTGCTAGAGCTCAAAATGACCCAGGGCTCTGTGGGTCCCTGAGCTCCTAGGTGACCACAGTCCTCATGAGTGCTCCTGTGTGCAGAGATACATCATCTCAGACCTAGTGCAGGGGGGCTCTCAGTCCACAGAGAACCCAGCATCAGAGTCTGCAATAGACTTACAGTTTGTGATCACACACCAGATGTCACAAGGCTAATTAGAGGAAATAATCTATCCAAAAGCAGTCCTTGCAAACCAGGAGATGCTTGGTCATGCAACAATGAAGAGAGCTGCTCTGGGTCTTGCAGAGGGGCGGGCTCCTGATCCCAGTTCAGCGAGATGAATGCCAGTTAGGCTGAGCCAGACTGCCTGGGCTCCTCTCTCCAGCTGCAAGTCACACATCCCTGCCCATGCTGGCCTGGAAAGACAGGGTAGATGTTGAAGGCCACTGAAGAGGCCCCTCGCCCTCCTTAGGATTCTGTCTTCCCTCTCTTCAATATATTCTGCAGCCTGGGACATCACTCATTTGACTAGTGGCAACCATCAAGGTACAGGCTTGGTCTTATCAGAAGTGGCACTTAGGTAAATGAACACCCAGTGGAAGAGGATACAAAGGCCACAGCAAGACCTGATGGAAGAGAACCAGAGACTCCTGTGCCGAATTCCCAAGCTGAGTCAGGGAAGCACCCTCCTGGACATGTGAAGATGAGTCACAGGACATCCACAGGACAGGCTGCAGTGGTGCCTCCCCTCACCTGGGCCAAGACCAGCCAAAGTTCAGTTCAAGGGTGATTGTTGGAGATGCCCAAAACAGGTGAGGAGGACACTGCAAGAGTGAGTCCCTTGTTGTGCACCTGATAACTGAAGAATGTCCCTTCTCAACCAGAAAGAAATGGATCAAATAATATAGGAGCCAGGAATTCCCAGCCACAAACCCACACTTAGGGCATGCAATGGAGAGTTTCTCTTCCGATTTCTCACTCATGTGAGCCCCCAGTCCTACTTTAATGACAAGTTAATTAAGAATTGAATGAATCTAAGAAGCTATGATCAAATAGAGTTTGTCTTGGCCAAGAAGGTAGCTAGATTTCAAGATCCTGAAAGGATTCCATTGTGCATAGAACTTTTTGGATGGGATAAAATTTTCACAACAGAATGCATCTATTGTCATTTTATTCTTGATCTTTTCATTTTGTGGTATTGTAAAACCACAGAGAACCAACGAATCTTCGCTCTGGAAAGAACGTTAGAAGCTAGCCAACCCAATTCCTTTAGTTCACAAAAGGACTTGCCCAAGGTTCCAAGGGCTGGTTGGAGGCAGAGTGGAGGTTGTCATTGGTGTCTGGAGCTGGTATCCTCCCTGCCTGGCACAACCCGAAAGGCTTCTGACCTCTCCAGGACCTTATAACCGCATTTCAGAAGACATCTACAGTCTTGGCTCCAAACCCAATCGGCGTTGACATTGATCACAGCTGTGCAACTTTCTGCCACCCAGAATTCTGCCCACTATGTTGGACAGGGAAGCTTCGGTAGGTCACGTGGTCCCAGGCTCTGACCCTACTGACCTGTCCATGTGTCCCTTCCACCTTCCTGTTCCCACGCTGTCTCTGATCCACATAAGAGTCTCTGAACACTCAACAGTCCTTCCTATTTCTGGACCTTGCTCACACATTCCCCTCTACTTGAATGTCCTTTTCTCTCTGCACAGCCTAGGTCCTTCCAAGTCTACACCAACAGCCAAAAAGTAAAGTGTGACCTTCTCTAGGAAGGCTTTCCTGACACCTCATCCCTCCCTAGCTCCCAGAAAGCATGGATTCTCTGTAGGGAAGTGATGAGCACTGCACTGAATTCTAACTGCAGGACCAACAAGACTATGATTCTCTTGAGGGTGAAGATAGCTTTTACTTTATTTTTTTCTACGCTTAGCATCCAACAAATACCTGGTCCAAGGGAAGTGCTAAATAATTGACAAATGGCTGAAAATAAAACTAGCATTTACTAAGAACCTTTTATATTAACTCATTCAACCTTCAAAATAACAACATATAAGATATATATGAGTTTATGTACAAAAAAACTGGGGTTCAGAAAGTTAAAACACTTTGATGGGGTGTATGGAGCTGGTGCCCACAGGGAGCCAAGATTGAGAGGCCAGGGTGGCTACCAAGTGCAAAGAAAGAAGCTAGAATACAGGGTTCTAAAAAGGCCTGTCACAGAAATGCCTACTTCCTTCTTACAGCTGCACTGATTTTTCACAATCTCTGACTAAGTCCATGATCTTTTTTTATAATACATTATGCTGAAAGGATGGCCAGAGAATAGTGCAAACTAAAAAATAACTCCATTCTGCGGACCATTTGGGTGCATGCAGAAAAAAATCAATAGTTTGCAAAGAATTTTCATTATATTCCATTATTACTATATGTCAAGTTAAGTAAATGTGAGCAGGCTTCAGCCAAACCAACTGACAGGCGGTGGAGGGGAAAGGTATTGGCATTTCAACATGAAGAGCTCCACGGTTTTATCTCAAGATAACGCCAGTGGATAGGAATATCACTGCAGAGAAATCCAAGGGACAGTTCCTCCCAGACATGGGATCCTCTCCACATCCTTCTTGAAGAGCCTCACTGTGGAATCCACAGGCAGGCCTGCTACAATGGGTGGCCCACATGGGTCCTGGGTGGGGAGGCAGGGCTGGAAAGCAAATCTTGGCACCTGGGATCCTATTTTCCTATTATAGTTCATGAAAAAGTTGGGCCCCAAACAATGACAAATCACGCTTAAGATCACAACAGGCCAGGTGTGGTGGCTCACGCCTGTAATCCCAGCACTTTGGGAGGTCAAGGCAGGAGGATCATTTGAGGTCAGGAGTTCGAGACCAGCCTAGCCAACATGGTGAAACTCTGAAACCCTGTCTCTACTAAAAATACAAAAATTATCTGCGTGTGGTGGTGCACGCCTGTAATCCCAGCTAGTCAGGAGGCTGAGACAGGAGAATCGCTTGAGCCTGGAGACAGAGGCAGCAGTGAGCCGAGACTGTGCCACTGCACTCCAGCCTGGGCAACAGAGTGAGACTCCATCTCAAAAAAAAAGAAAAAAGAAAAAGAAAAAGAAAAGATCACAACGAAAATGTTTAAAACTTAAATTTTTAGGTGTAGTGGGATCCTTGTGACAAAACTGTTCTATATTTGACTGTGATGCTGATCACACAAATATACAAAATGGCATAGAACTAAACACATACAAGTAAGTGCATGTAAAATCTGAATACAGTCAGTGGGCTGTATAAGCATCAGTACCCTGGCTGTGATACGTACTGTGGTTATGCAAGATGTCACCCCAGGGTAAAGCAGATACAGGATCTCTCTGCATTGTTTCTTACCATGGATGTGACACTACAGTGAACTCAGGATAAAACATATTTTTCTGAAAAACTAGTCATTACTCAGATTAAGATTCTGGATGTACCAGGCACCATTGTGAGAGGTAACCAGTTGGCTGAGTTGTGTGGTCATGGCATTTGTGGTGTCATAGCCAAAGAATTGTTATGCTGTGCTCTGTGCTGGGGCTCCCATTTGCACTTTCCCAGACCTTTCCTTCCCACGGCGCTGCTCTGTAATTAGATGTAGTTCCCTCAGAGCGGACCACCGAGAGCCCAGGCCAAGGCCGAAATGGCCGAGCCTTCCTCTGCATCTGGGCAGCCTGTGATGCACCAGGTCAGGCATGGCGGGAATGGGAGGACTTCTGCATACTGCATTCTTCACTCTTAAAAAAGCAGGCATCGGCCAGGCGCGGTGGCTCACGCCTGTAATCCCAGCACTTTGGGAGGCTGAGGCGGGTGGATCATGAGGTCAGGAGATCGAGACCATCCTGGCTAACAAGGTGAAACCCTGTCTCTACTAAAAATACAAAAAATTAGCCGGGTGCGGTGGCGGGCGCCTGTAGTCCCAGCTACTCGGGAGGCTGAGGCAGGAGAATGGCGTGAACCCGGGAAGCGGAGCTTGCAGTGAGTCGAGATTGCGCCACTGCAGTCCGCAGTCCGGCCTGGGCGACAGAGCGAGACTCCGCCTCAAAAAAAAAAAAAAAAAAAAAAAGCAGGCATCATAGGAGTATGGGCAAAGCTGCTGAGTTTTGTATTTTTAGCATCAGAAATGCAGCCAGCTGGAGGGCGTCCTTGCACATCCATCATAGGAGTTGAGGAAAAGCCACTGAGTTTTGTATGTTTTAGTTTCAGAAGTGTAGCCGGCTGGAGGGCGTCCTTGTACCTCCATCCTTTCTCTTCCACGTAGCTTCTTTCTCTTCACATCTCAAACCCAAAGCCCAGCCCTCAACCCACTAAGCAAGGTGGAAATGTCCCTTATTGGGTCCTTCTCTGGACGGTGCTCTTCTCCCCAGCCTGTGACAGACAAGACCAAGACTGGAAATTAGGATAAAGCAGATTTCAACATGAAAATGCTGGAGACACTGTCAAAGTCTATCACCCTCAGGTAGTGTGGGTCACACATATTCCCAGCTTCCCAAATCCTGCAAGGAAGAGATACCACATTGCCAGACCAAAAAAAAAAAAAAAAAAAGACAAAATGAAAGCTTATTTATAAACCAAATGACAAATCAAGCCTAACTGAAGACTGTGACTTCCAATTGCACAGCAGCTGTTTGTAACTTGAGGATTTCACCGGGTAAACGACAGCCTCTGTTAGGCTGACTTCAACGCTCAATCCTCTCACACTCCCATCACAAGTTCTGAATGCTTTTGTTTATCTTGCAATCTTCAGGGTCCCTACCATGGCTGGTGCTTTTGGAACCTTTCCAATTCTATCATTCGAATCTGCCTCCCACTTATGGGCAGCAAAAACACAGTAAAAATGTGCAGTGCATCCTGTTTGCAACAGGAAATGAGTCTAAGACCCATGGCTTAAGAGAGCAAACACAGGTTCCCAGACTAGCACAGACCCATAATCAGCCTGTCTAGCAAGTTTGGAAAAGTTAAGTAAAAACTAAAATGGCTCCCAATGTCTTCCTGATCACACTGAAGCCACCAGGATTCTCTGAATTATGAGTGGCAGAAACACAACTCAAACTAGCTTAAGCACTAAAGATAATCCATGGCCTGAAATAACTGAGAAAGTCCAGAGGGGCAGTCAGGAGCCAGCCTCACCGGAGCCTGAGGTTCAGCCCTGCCAGGTCATGTGTGCCCTCGAGTCCGGCTGCCTCCTGCCTCCTTCGCTTGCAAGCAGATCACATCCTCACTCCAGGCTTTGGTCCTTAGAGTTCCTGATCAGTGAGAAAGCGAGCATCCCTCCTGAGAGCTCCAGCGCAAGCCCTGAGAAGGACTCTGTGTGGCCCAAAGGAGGTCGCGAGCCTATTCTTAAGGTGATCACGGAGGCTGCAGAGATGGAGAACTTCAGTTGGCCGCAAGGGGCCAAGAGCCCACTCTGGGGCTTCCCAGCTTGGGAGTGCAGATAAAGGGGGCATCCAGTATTAAAGGTGAATGCAGAAAAAGGTGTCCAGTTAACCTTC
This sequence comes from Homo sapiens, assembly GCF_000001405.40. Classification (NCBI taxonomy): domain Eukaryota; kingdom Metazoa; phylum Chordata; class Mammalia; order Primates; family Hominidae; genus Homo; species Homo sapiens. Next base: position 128,318,323 of record NC_000010.11, on the reverse strand, counting down.
GTATCTAAGCAAGATTCTTTCAGAATGTAAAAAGTGCTGAAATATGTAGATCTATGAAGCATGCTTACAGTTACTGATGGCTGGTTAGAAGACAAATTTCTATAAGATAATTCAGATGCAGTTCTATTTTTAAACTTAAAGTTTCCCAGTTTGGCGGTTCCCATTCAGATAGCATTTTTAAAATATGGTTTCAGGGAATTTAATTTTAAAGGAAAAGGTGAAACCCAAAACCACTGGCTTTGAGTTTTAAATGGAGGCTTTTGGACATGTTGGTGACTTTATTTATTTATTTATTGACTCAACCTCATTGTCTGTTACAGTGAAAATGTACTGTGGGATCCAACTGCCTTGGATAAAAAGATTCCAGTCCTATAGTTCCCGAAAAAAAAAATTCTGTTTTGGTCCCAAGTCCATTCATTTTATTTATAAAAGAGGAAGCCATATGAAATACACAGGTACTATTTCATTTAAGAAGCTTCGAGTTTATATGGAGATAAAGTATTGCAAGGAATTTGCTTAAAGATCACTGATTAACGCAAATCATCTCTTGTTTGCCAAGAACAAATATACATTTGAAAATGAATAATTAAAAGGAACCATTTTTAAAATATTTTATTAAATAGTCCTGGTCAAATTGCTTAGAGAGACCACAGGTCACCTATAGGAATTCCCCACCTTCTGGACTATGGAAGTGCCCTCTAACAGGAATAAGACTTTAACAAGTGAGGACTCACTTAAAAATTTAAACCACCAAGACTCCCGTGGAATGTTGGGATTTCTTACTCATCAAAGCTCTCTTGGTGACAATGACAGAAACAGAACTCAGACAAGTTGGGAGAGAGGAGAGGATGCTTGATGGATAAAATTGGCAAGTTACAGGGGGTGGGTGGGGACAACAGGATCTGAGAACTTGATGTAGCCAGGCCCCATCCATGCTCGCTGCTACCTAAGTCGATTTTGTTCCCTCACTTGAGCTTCTTTATGAGGGCAGGACCATGTGTTCTGGAAGCTTCTGGGCTCATATTCCAGCTCCACAACAAGAGAGAAAAGATTTGCTTTAACTCTCCCTGCTTTGATGTGACTTAGATTCGACTTTGCCACATGACCAGGTCCAGACCTGTCACATGACCAGAAGAATGGGGCACTGTGATTGTCTCAGCCTCAGTTCCACAAAGCCACATTCCAGAAGGCGATGGTATGTGGGGTGGGGGAAGGTCTGCACCACCGCCTTAGGTCTAGGCAAGCAAACAGGGATCCAGGTCAGGACTCAGCGTTAGAGTAGCGCCACTCGAAGTCCAAGGAGCGGTGAGGTCCACATGCTGTTCTGTCAGTTATGAGTCCAAGACAAGGAGCTGCATCAGCATATAACAGCACACTGCCTCCTCTACTGAGAAAGACTCACTATCAAAAAAAAAAAAAAGTCAGTTCAACCAAACAGTGTGTTCACAGACATATTTGGCTTCGTGCATTTGAGTGATGCTTCTGCACGGTACGCTGAAAGGTACTGGAGATGCAGAAATAAATCACACACACACACACACACACACACACACACACACCATTTCTGATAATCTGGCAAGAGAGAAGGGCATATACACAAAAAATATAGTGCAGTGATGGCTGATGAGCATAAGATCAAGGTATTCATGGCAAACCCCTGGATGAAAGATCTATGATTTCATTCAAAACAGAAAACCTGTTCAATGGAGCCCTCTAAAGAGCTTGTATAGCAAGACAGTGCCGCCCCGTTCTGGCGATCTTGTGGGTCCATCCCTAACAGGACCCCAGGAGAGACAATCAGCAGCAGCCCAGTTAGGACTTTGGCCCTGAGAATTGAGTAAACTTTGGTCCTCACCCTGTGCTCCAGCATCACAATTCCAGCTCTGGATTCCAACTCGTCCTCACTGCTGAAGCTCAGGATCTGACCTTGAACTCTCCTCTGCTTTCAGACATGAAAACCCCTCATGGACCATTCCGGAGCCATGCCAGAAAATTACCCTTGCTAATTACAATGAAATAAAGAGTACTTCTGTGCCAAGCAGCAAGCCTATGCTATCTCTACAGCAACTGTCAGGGAAAAAGCAATCCAGAGTCGCATTAAAAGAGAGAACTGTAAGTATTGTGCTCTCTCAGGAAATTGAAAGAAAATTCACATCTTTACTTTTGTCTTCCAGCAGATGTCTTTACCTTGGTGGATGCCCTTTCTGCCTGCAGATGGGTCAGGTAGCGGAGGGCTGGCTCAAGCCAACAAACGCACTTGAATTCCCCGATTCTCCAATCTCTCTGAAGAATACTTAATCTTAATGATATTTCTTGCAGATACACATTAATTCTGCATTGTTCCAGTCACAGAAAATGCCATCTTCTTGGACCATGGTATTAAACATTCACTTCATGTTTCTGTTTCCAAGATTGAATCTTTCTTTTGTCGGGGACACTGCTTTGTCGCTGGGGCGCCAGGCTTCCTCAACCTCTGCTCTCTCCGTGAGTTCTGGTGCTCTCCTGTTGTTACCCGGTGGCCCCTCCAAAAGCTTTGCATCATGCTTTCCCTGCCCATGGCATTAAAATGGCCCTGGTTATTCCTTTTCGTGCCAAGAGCAAGCTGGAAACCGCCTTGATAGCCTTCAGAATGGACCAAAACTGCCCCCCTCTTCCTAAGGGCCTTTGCAACAATGATCTCCAATTCTAACGTGTTTGTGCCATTCTAATTAGTCCCTTCTAACAAGGGCAGAGATGCAGATAGAGACAGAGAGACAGAGACATACAGAGAGAAAGAAATATCACCACAAAAAACAAACAAAATTCCCAGACGCACCAGGAAATACTCAGAATCTTCACTAACCAATTTTCAAGTCTTCCTTTCCTGGTATCTTAACTGCTTCGGGGTTTTCTCTCAGCCAGGGGGCTGTTCAGTGCAAAACAAAAATCATAAGAAAAGCATCGGTAACAATGCAGGACAAATTAGCAGTCAAGGAGCACAATTTTTATGAAGTTCTCTTTGATTAAGAAAACAATACTTTGTTGCCTTCATTTCACAAAATTATTCCAATAGAAGGCTGCATGGAACAGAAAATCCAGTGCTGAATCATGAAAGGCAGTGGATCAAGGTCTTTCATCTAGGAAATCTTTAGCTAAAGAGAGAGAGAGAGAGAGAGAGAACATCAATCAGATATTATTTCCAATTATTTTTCAAATTGGAACAGAGAAAGAAAACACACACACACATAAGCCTGACATGGTGTTACTTGAGCTTGTTGCTGGAAGGAAAGTCCTTGCTTATATTGAAGTAAAGTTCTGAAAATAAGCAAAGAACAGATTTATTGATTTTGGGGGAGTCTGGGTGTAAAAAAGAGAGAGAATAAAGAAGTGCTCTTTGCCCACTCTGTCCAAATGACATCCCAAGTGGCCTCCCTAATGGTGGGGGAGGGGAGGGGGCAGGTGCCTACCCGGGCACATGGACAGAACTGCCCTTAGGCTAGGGCTAATGGTATTGGCTGAGCCCTGCTGTAAGCCTCTCTTTTCTAATAGCCAACTTTCTATGTGTGAGAAGACAGACAGATATTGATTGGTCCAAATGCCCTTGAGTTGACAACATCTGAAATGAAAATCCACAAGGCTAGCACAAACTTTCTGCAAGTTCAATTTCTAGAATCTGATTATGACACTGGACTGTGAAATCATTCACACATGTAAAAGGCCTCTCTTTTTTGTACCCCCATTTGGCACCTGTAATTGGAGGGAGTTAAGTGGCCTCATCAAGCTTGTTATTCAAATATCCAACAGAAAGAGGCAACTGCAGGCTAATCTTGGGGTGATTAAAGGAAGAAACGTTCTCCCGCTGGTGCAGGGCTAATGTCAGCAATGAAATGGACCAAGGCCTCACACCACTCCCCACCTGAAAAAGGAATTACACACAGCTTAAATACACGGTCTCTAAAAAGCTCATGCACAGAGCTGCTTTCTGATAGTTATTTCAGAACACCTACAGAGAATCTCATGATTTCATTACCCATGCATTTGGTGGGGATTAGAGCCCCCATTTCGTGGTCCCCATTACTCTATCACAATTAATTATTTTTTTCCTCTTCCTTCCTCTCCCAAATAAGATGCTGAAACTGCAATTCACAATTGTTAAAGTCCTGGGAATAGCAAGGTTTGTGGTACTCTATCCAGCTCTTATTAAAACACACCTCTGTATTCTACAAATTCCTCTTGATCAATACATCGACTGCAGTATAAACCTTAAATAAAGCACTATTACACTTGAAATACACACTGTTCTTGTCTTAGTAGGTTATTTAGAAGCATAAAAAGGCAAAACCTTTTGGAATTGGCATCTGGACATTTGTGCCAAGGAAACTGCAGATGGAATACACATTAAATTTATTCCGTCATTGATTGGAAACGCTGATCCTTTATGGCTTCACGTTTCTTTCCTCATTAATCTTAGTTAACCCTCTCAAAACAACGCCAGCTTTGTCAGTCCAAGTATCTAAAACCCACCATGCAGAGAAGGCAGCTTTTTAAGAAAGGTTTGATTCCTAGCATGAGTAAATCAGCCAAGAATCTCTGCCTTAGACAATGCCACTGCTTTCTTTTTTAAAATATTAAAACAAGAAAGAACAGCTTTCTGCACAACTTGGGGCTGGGGGAATAAGTGGGAGGCAGAAGAGAAGGGGATGTTAGCAGAGCCCAGCGGGAAGCCCATGGATAGTCAGAGAAGAGATGAGCAGGAAGCTCGCGGACTTGTTGCTACAGCACCAGCCACAGGGAGTCATTTTCAGCACACATCCAACATCACCCATGACCAGAACCTGGCGCGGCCAGGAACTCTGCAGGTCAATGTTTCATGACTTCTACAGCTCAAGAAAAGGTGCTTTCCAGTCAAATATACATCTGGGGTTTGGGGCTAATGCAATGGTTCTAAACATAAAAGGAATACTCTCAGATGTAAAGATTGTGTTCCTGCACCCTAATTTGGCTAACTGATATGATACTAACATTCCATTTTTCTACCAAACAGAAAGAAATGCCTGGCATCACTACTTCCTTGCCCACAGCAATATAAGGGCCATGGGTAAAGCCTCATGCTGCCAACAGCTGGCCCCAAACTGCCTTACTGCCCCTCAGAACAGGGCACAACTGCCCTATTCTTCCTAACAGCCTTGCAACAGTGCGCACCAGTCCCAACCTTTTTATGTTTTTCTTACTGGTCCCTTCTAACAAGAGACAGAGAGAAAGAGGTGAAGAAAGGAAATACTATGAAAACTTGGACACAAAATTCTTAAGGCTTCTAATTCTAGAAGAAATAGAGAATTCCTAGAAAGAAATAGTAACAATCACCACCTATTTACTACAGCAAAAATTTTAAAATGTTTAACAAAGGACTTAAAACCCTACCTGCTGCCATGAAGCATGCATTTAACTTACTGCAACCTTATGAATGGAGCTCCAGAAGGTAAAAGCCCTTTTTGAACTCATGAAAAGATCAACATCTGAATATATATTAAAGATAAAGTCTAAATAAGTCATAAAAGGCAGAAAAACAACAGCCTAACTTCTAGGTGGATGCGGGAGCCACTGGTCCCCACTGAGGGGTCAGAGCCCTGGGGAAGGAGGTGCTAAATAGATTATGCTCACATTGCATCCACATAGGCCTGGTTTTAAATGGCGGGCTGTCTTATTGGAAGGAAAATATAAATCTCCCAGCCCAGAAGAAGATGTGATCTCAGCACAAAATGGGAAACAATAGCTGGAAAGTATACCAGAACTTTCGGATGAGATACAAAAAAGTTAGTCCGCATGTGATTTATCTTCATGCATCTAGACATTTGGAAACAGCTGTTCGGATCATTCCTGAGTACTACGATTTAGAAAGGCCCCCACATACCCAGAATCAGCCTGGGGCACAGGACAGGAACAGCATTCGCCCTGGGACTGACTAGAACCCATCTACCCCGTCGCTGCATGCCATCCCCAACAGAGGGCCATCTATGGGATCTGTCAGGCTTCCCTCCCTTTCCAAGCAGAACTGAAGAGCAGTTAAGAATCACAGCACTGGCTCTGAACTGTGGCTCCGTCATCTTCTGCCCAAGTGACAAGTCCTCGAATTTCTGCACACCTCTGACTCCTCCACTACAAATGGAGATTCTGTCTCCTACCCAGTAGTCTTTTGGCCCTCAAAACAGCCCCCAGGGTGCTCTAAAAGGCCACACCCCTCCTTCGGCACTTGTATTCTTCATCACGCTCTCAGCCCCGGATGGTTTCTGTCTACTTCCAAAGAAAGAGAAAATCAGCCATTATAAGAACAGTCGAACAAATGAGCATCAAGCTTTGAAGCCTGTTCCAAAAAGTGAGTTTGAATGTTTGAGCAATGCCCCACTTTGGTGGGGTCACTCAGGCTTCCAAAGTGACTCTGGAAGAGGTTACAGGTGTCAGGGAGCTCCAGCCTAGCTGTTTGCAAAGTCACCTCTCTGCCTTGACCTGAAAGTCAGAGCTTATCAGAAACATCCGAACATCTGAAAAATTCTTCTTTTTCTCCGACTGTGAACCAACCTACCGCCAAATGAGTGTGCAGGAAGACAGTGAGGATTCAATTACAAAAAATTTACCTGTCTTGCCTGTCCCATTCATGAGGTCCCAGCTCTGTGGCCCAGTGTTTGCTCTGCTTATGAGAGGCATTGGCAGAAGGCCCTGCCCAGGCTGGGTTCTGATGACAGGCACCCCTCGTCACACTCCAGTGGACTCTTCTGACAGAGTCAGGACCCCTGGGGGCAGAATCCTGTGACCTAATTGAGTGGCAACCCCATTTCAGCCATGTCACTGCCACCAGCAGGGCCCCGGGCTCTGTATAGCCACCTCAGACAGTCTCTCTCAAAGCAGGGCTTGGGTCCCCATAGCCTCTCTTGGCTGAGTGAGTGGGAGTTGCAGTGCGGCCGGCTGCTCACAGCAGGTCAGTCCAGTTAAGCCATCCACGCTGGGCCAGCTCCACAATAGGGACCAGGCAGAACATGCACTTTGCTTTCTTAGAGGAGAAAAACACCTTTTGGATTGAGGACAAAAGATCCACTGAAAACAGCCTTCCTGTATTTTCACATGAAAAAAAAAAAACACCTCGAAGACAATGAGCTTCACCAGATGCAGCCAAATTCCAGGGCAGAACCCTCCCCACCGCTCCGCCTCCACCGCAGCCTCCTTCTGGCTTGTCCTTCAACAAACAAAAACATGTTTTGTTTTGTTTTTTCTCATTTCACAGTAATACACACTTTTGGTAGGAAATACATAAAAATGAAGAAAGAGAAGACAATTCTAAGACATCTATAATTCTAATTCTTCTTTCCAGAATAACCACAATTTTTGGTATATTATTCTAATTTTTTTCCATGAGTTTACTTTTTTTTGTTTTTTAAAACAAAAACACAATTATACTCTACATGCCTTTTTTCAGTTATAAACATAATCTGAATAACTTTCAAGCCCTTAAATATTTTCTTTTCATGGCATTTAAAGGGTGAAGAGTTGTAGCATTGTGTTTGCCCGAATAAATGCCATGTATTGAGATAAGCCATGCCATGAGGAACATCCTTACCAGCCCATGACTATTTCCTCAGAATTGATAAATAAGGATAAACTCAGACAGAACTGGTTTAGTTCAACTGACATGCATTTTTTTAAGCAGGAAAATACTTTTTAAAAAAATAACTATATAAAATAAATGGCAGCTGAGAGCGGTGGTTCACGCCTATAATCTTAGCAGTTTGAGAGGTCATAGCGGGCAGATGACTTGAGGTCAAGAGTTCAAGACCAGCCTGGCCAAAACGGCAAAACCTTGTCTCTACTAAAAATACAAAAAACAGCTGAGTGTGTTGGTGCACGTTTGTAATCCTTCCTACTCAGGAGGTGGAGACTGAGATTCTCTTGAACCTGGGAGACGGAGTTTGCATTAAGCCAAGATCACGCCACTGCACTCCAGCCTGGGCGAGCGAGACCTTGTCTGAAAAAACAAAATAAGTGAATAAATAAAATGGCAACCTCATGAGTTAGAAACTTGCCACACCATTTTCTGGAACATGCTCCAGGAGCTCCTTGATCTCCTCTCTGTGCTGCTAACACCACCTTTCTCAGGGGCCACGAGTGTGGCTGGCACTGTTTCTGCTTCTCAGTGTGGCCTCTGCAAGAAGCACCACTCAGCATCACTCTGAGCAGAGCGACCACTTTGCTTACAGCGTATGTACTTTGCTCACAGTATCTCCTCTCTAATGCCAGGGGCAGAGGAGCACTCCTTCTGGGCAGGAAGAAACACCTCTGCCAGCCGTTACGGCCTCTGTCCAGGGTCAGCCTCCCCCTGTTCTGGGAAGCCTGCCCTCCTGTCCCCAGGTGGAGATATGGAACCTGGGGATGGGGTCTGCTCAAGGCGGGTGGGATCCTTAGGTTTACTTAAGGTGGCAGGGGTAGGGGGTGTGAAACCCAAACTCAGTGTAGTCCAACCTGCTTCTCTCCATGGCCTCCCCGTCTCTCTGAGGGATGCTCCCCAGACCTGCAAGCCAGGCATTTGCGGCATCTTCAGGCATTGGAGGCATCTTCAGTCTTTCTCTGTGCCTCTCTCTGCCCCTGTCACCAATCAATAGCTTGGCCACAAACCCCTAAAACTTTCCCTTCAGAATATTTCAGAGCTGGTGGTGCAATTATCTGGCATGCAGAGTGCTTGGCACGGCTCCTGGCAATACGCATTCCCCACAATTCTGTACCAATTGGCTTACACCTGTGTGTAGGTGTGCATGTAGATGGATGGATGTTTCCACACACAACAGCCTTCTCTGCCTGCCCTCCTGCCCCCATTCTTTCTCTACTTGGACTCCAGGTTGGGGTGGGGAGTTAGAGGTTTGTTTTTTTTGTTTGTTTGTTTGTTTTTTGAGACAGAGTTACGCTGTTTGGCCCAGGCTGGAGTGCAGTGGCATAATCTCAGCTCACTGCAACCTCCACCTTCCGGTTTCAAGCGATTCTCTTGCCTCAGCCTCCCAAGTAGCTGGATTACAGGCACCTACCACCATGCCCGCCTAATTTTTGTATTTTTAGCAGAGATGGGGTTTCACCATGTTGGCCAGGCTGTTCTCGAACTCCTGACCTCATGATCCACACGCCTCGGCCTCCCAAAGAGCTGGGATTACAGGCATGAGCCACCGCACCCAGCCAAGTCTTTTAAACTATCAATCTGAGTATTCATTCATTTGCTTAGACCCTTCAGTGGCTTCCTGTCATCTCCAGGGACAAGTCTCGAATTGCTCACACACCTTACAAGGTCCTCTCCATCTGTTCCCACCACCTCTCCAGGGTCACGTCTCCATTTCCCTCCAATGCTCCTCCCCAACTACCACCTCTGCACACTGGCCTAGACAGCACTAGCCACATGTGGGCATTCAGATTTAAATTTAAATTAATTAAAAGTAAATGAAATCAAATATTCAGTTCTTCCATTGCACTAACCACACTGCATGCTCGGCTACCATCTTGGACAGCACAGATGAAGAACATTCCCAGTATGGCATTCCCTGGACAGGGCTGCTCCAGACCTAGAGAATACCACTCAATCTCTCCAAAGAAGCATGGTCTTTGCCCCTGGTAGTTCTGACCCCATGTCTGGGGAATCTGGGAAGACATCAACGAATCGTTGTCAAGATCAAACCCCATACTACATTTGTAAGCATCATTCTTCTTCATTTATTTGACTGGTTTTTTTCCTGAACTGTTTCATCAGCTCTTGGGCAATAGACTCCAAGTGTAGTAAGCAGACCACCCCTTAGCCTGCCTGATGGCAAATTCCACTTTCCTAGTGTGTGTTTTCTAAAGCAAAGCTCCCTCCATCTATTTAATGCCCCAGTCTGTCCTCGCAGGTGTCCCCATCAGCCTGGGTGCAGGTGCATCACACAGGGTGCTTCGTCTTTCTGAATACACCCATGGAGCCTCATGGTATCCAGAGACTCTCCCCTTGTACACTCTGCAGCTGCAGCTGGAGCAGCGGGGGCTGGAGGGGTCACTGCCCGTCTCCACCACACAGCCTGATGCCCCTCCTTGGAGCCAGTACCAGGGCCAGGCATAGCTTGGCACAACACACATGGTCAACCAGACTTTGAGACTTGGAAGGGGGCCAGAAGTTCAGAACCCACCCAACTGGTGCACCCAAAACCTCATGTGAGTGGCCTCCTCTTGTTAAGACATAAAGGCTCTATCTAACATGAAAAGGAGGAAAAAGTTATCCAGGAGAGGAAACAAGCCAACAATTGCCATGCATTCATGCCTAGTCAGCAATTAGCACAAGACAGGTTTCAGTGTCAACACATGGAGAAGACATGAGGGGCTGCAGCCAGGAAGGGGGCCCAGGGGTTCTGAGGGTGAGCAAGAAGAAGAGAGAAGGACAAAGGTGGAGGGAGTGGAGTCCGAATCCCACCCTGCCCCCCAGTTTGCTCAAGGCCCACCCTGTTCTTCCAAAACACACTGGCCCACCTTGCAAGCAACTTGCAGAATGAACATTTTCGACATCAAAATATTAATAATGAGGCACCTTCTCAAGGATCTCCTTGGAAACTTGCCTTTGGTTAAGGAATTCCTAGCCCAGGAAAGCAGTGGGAATCCTGCAGTAAGTGGGCTTGTTAAGATCAGCTGGCAGGGTCCCAGCAGGCTGCTCCACAGTCGATGAAAATTACTAAACATCATTGCAAAGAGTGCAGAGTAATTCCACGGACCAAAGAGAAAAGGGAGATGAAATTAATTGGCACCAGAAGTAAAGACCAAACCCCAGACTTGCCATAGAGCATTTGCTGACCAGAAGGGCTTGGGGAAAATCTGAAGGAGACCTGTGGGTTGCAATTATCCATTCTTTGTGGCCTCCGGAGGCCCTGGGTACCTTGGTGATCACAGTGAGAGAGTGGCTCCCATCTGCAGGATGTTAATAGCTCCAGTCCATAGGCCTCTGGGAGTCCTGTAGAGACCAAACCACATGCATTATTGGAGGAGACAGCATAAGGGGGTTAACATGAGGACAAAACTTACAGCTGTAACCTGCAGCTTCTCATTGTAGAACCAGGAGCCCCTGGTACCCAAGGGGCGGCCACCACTGAACCCAGCAGCCAATGGGGAGATGGCATGGGGAGAAGCTTTGGGAGCCTCTAGTCCACTTGAGCTTTAGTACCCAGACCTACCTTTCTGGAGAGGTGGGACAGGCAGGGTGGAGATGTCACTGCTGAAAGAGAAGAGCAAGCAGCCAACCTCCTAGTCCTTTCCACCAAATGTTTGCTCCTGCCTAGGAGGCGACCTAATCCTTCCCAGGCAGGGATGCAGCTTCTGTTTGCAGTGGTACAATGAGATTTCATCACTCCTAAAGCTCCTTAGCCCTGTGCCAAGGGTTGTCATTCTAGATCCCACTTCCCAGAGCCGGCTCCATACCTGTCGTGCCTGGCTAAGAAAAGGGCTCCACATGGGCATCACATAGGTGCCTTTGAATTGCACGAGTCTCCTACTTCACACTTGGGCAACAGTCCTCAGACAGAGAATGCTTTTGGTTGGGACATGAAGCACATTTTTTTCCTCTCGTACAGCCCCTGGGGTGGAAGTGTGCCATGGAGATTGACCTCATGCATTTGCTAGTTTCCTTCCTTACGTTGACATAAAACAGCATTTGGTTTTGATCCAACACAGAAAAACCTCACATCAGTACTGGAGGGAGCGGATGCCATTCATGGTTTAAAATGGAACAAAAACACCAAATGAGGGTGTTTTGGGGGGCTCTACAGTTGGTGACAAAGGGCTTCATTTTAATGTCTAAGGACCACATATTACACAAACAGTGCTAGCTTAGAGGAGGCTGTCTTCTTCACACTGTGCTCCCTAAAGTAGCTAGACATGGCATTTCCATTCTATTCCACTGACTCAGGGACAGAAAAAAAATCACCCTGAAAAACTTACTGGCATTAAAACCTTGCCATGCACACTGGTCCCTGCCCAGCTTTGGGTCCAACACCAATTCGTCCTCGATTTCTTCCCCAAATACCAACCCATACGGAATTAAGTGGGCTCTGTGATGCTAACATGATTTGCCTGTATATTCCTCCCAAGGCACTCTCCCCCATCATGAAGCATGGCCGGGCAGTGGGGCTGCAGTAGCCACAGGCTGTCCTTGTTCCTGCCTGCCGAAGCCGCCGGCTGCTGGCTGCCGCTGATCAGCCGGCCCCCAAGGCGATGGCCTAACAAGCCCCAGTAGAAGCGAATGGGAGGGGCTTCTCTCTTCCCTCTGCAAAGGAAATGAAATGGATAGAAATTATACTGAGAAGTCATTCACCCCCACCCATATCCATCATTACACAGGAATGGGCTGGCAAAGGATCATGACCCATGTGAAGGATTATACAGCCAGACCCACGGCCACCTCTGCCACCTTCCCCTGTCCCACCCAATCACGTGAAGGATTATACAGCCAGACCCACGGCCCCCTCTGCCACCTTCCCCTGTCCCACCCAATCACATGAAGGATTATACAGCCAGACCCACGGCCATCTCTGCCACCACCCCCCATCCCACCCAGTCATGTGAAGGATAATACAGCCAGACACACGGCCACCTCTGCCACCGCCCCCCATCCCACCCAATTAAGAAAACCCAGTTTGCTTGGATACCATCTGGTTCTCAGACTCCCTACCCCCACACTCTTAGCTCTGCACCCCTAAAATTATAATAACCAGAAAGGAGCTTACCAGAAGGCTTTAAGGATTAATCATTATATCACCAATGAAAATAAACTGAAACTATTTTCTAAAATAAAAATGCTCTAGGAAGGCTGAGCACAGTGACTCACACCTGTAATCCCAGCATTTTGGGAAGCCAAGAAGGGTGGATCACCTGAGGTCAGGAGTTCAAGACCAGCCTGGCCAATATGGTGAAACCCCAACAAAAATTAGTTGGGCATAGTGGCAGGTGTCTGTAATCCCAGCCACTTGGGAGGCTGATGCTGAAGAATCACTTGAACCCAGGAGACAGAGGTTGCAGTGAGCTGAGATCATACCACTGCACTCCAGCCTGGGCAACAGAGCGAGACTCTGTCTCCAAAAAATAAAAAATAAAAAATAAACTCTAGGAAGAAAAATTCAAAAATCTATCTCTAGTCGTAACTTTAGGTTACGGCTAGAATGATAATTTGAGTTAGAGTATAATTGACAAAAGAGGAGTTTTTGTTTTTTTTTACCTTAATCTGGGTGGGGTAAGTTAATAAAATGAAACATATTTAGAGGTAAAGATTATTTTTCTTCATCCTAAAGTGAATAGGAAGACAATAAAATCATTTAAGCAAAGGGACGACATAATAGGTTTGAATTTTAGAAAGGTCAAGGAGGGAGGCAGCTGGGTGTAGGGAGAGCTATGGGGTGGGATGGGCACCCTCCGCATCATTCCAGGCACATGGATACAGAAATCACTGGAACAGAGAGATGCCTGCCCTCACGGGGCTTACAGTCTAACTGGGGGAGACTGAAAACAAGCAAATTAATGAAGAAAGCATGTACACCAGAGTGCTGGGGAGGAAAACACACGGGGAGGGGAAGGGGATCTATCGGGTGAGTGGGCACAATTTTGATGATAGTGCTCGCCAGTATCTCAGACCCTTTCCATATAGTTTGAGACTTTTATCAAGTTGTCATCCACGTGTTGGGGCCACCAGCAGTGGATGGAGGAGGGCACTGAAGCAGAAAGAACAGCAGGGGCTGTAGGTCTCATGGCCACTGCACTTGGGAGAGCAACAGCCTCAGTAGGAGAGGGACCATGACCTTCAGATCTGCAAAGCTGACCACAGTGAACCTCGACATTTGAAACTCACCTCCCATGCGGCCCCCATCCACCCAACCTGCACACCCAACTCCCTACAAACCAAGGGGTGTTAGGATGCCCATGGTCCACGGTTCACCTGGGGGTTCTGGCTCATGTATTGAAGTGGTCAGCCGGTTATTCACTCCAGTAGTCATTCTAAAGATATTTATTGAACATCAGAGGTGCTTGGCACTAAAGTAGGGGAACCAGGGAAAGAAGACACATTGGAAGAACACGTCCAAACCACTGTCCATACTCCAGTGGGGGCACTGGAGGACAGACTAAAATACAATGTCACCATCAGTGGACACAAGGAAAGAGCAATGTGCCAAGTAAAGTCCAAATTCTTTCTGTCTAAGGGGTCCACAGAAGCTTTCAAAAAGAGATGATATTGGACCTGAGGTTGTGAAGAATGAATAAGAGTTCTTCAGGCTGAGAAGAGATGGAAGGGCATTCCAGGCAGGGAGAACAGCAGATGCCAAATCACAGAGGTGGGATAAGCCCACACCGTCTTGGAATGACCAAGTGGTTCAGTGTGGCCAGAGCATGGGGATGTGGTCAGGAGGAGCAGAGATAAAACTGGAGGAGGATATTGGGACTGGGCTGTTAAATCCTTATAGGCCACAGTGAGGACCTTGTCCTTTCCTGCAGGTAGTGGTGTGCAGGGCATCAGGGTGGCACTGGCACTTAAGGTGGGAGGTGGGTTGGGAGAGACTGTGGGCAGGGATACTAACAGAAGCCCACTGCAATCATTTATTATCCCACAGTTTCTGTGGGTTAGGAGTCCAGGCATAGCCCAGCTGGGTGTACTGCTTAGGGTCTCACCAGGCTGCAAATGAAGTGTCAACTGGAATGGAGGTCTCATCTCAGGGCTTCACTGGAAGGACTCACGTGCCCATGCTGGTGGTTGTTGGCAGGATTTGGCTCCTCACAGCTGTAAACAGCTTTGGCTTTTCTGCTGGCTGCTGCCTGGGGGCCAGCCTCAGCTTTAACAGGCTGAGGCAGAGTTCCTGTCCATATGATGTCCCTACTTGCTTCCTCAGAGCCAGCAGGGAGGGAGAGACCCAGCAAGACTGGCACTATAGTCTTACATCACATAGTCATATAATAGCATACATCCCGTCACCTACCCTGTGTTCTATTGTTTAGAAGCAAGTCACAGTCCCCACTACTATTTAGAATCAAGTCACAGAGGGCCACCAAGGAGCACAGGGCCACCTAAAAATCTGCCCTCCAAGGAAGACAATGCTCTTCACTAACGTAGAAGGAGGCGAGGGCAGATGAGTTCTGATCTAGATCCATGGAGTGAAGACACCTATGCATCACCACACAGAAACAGGGGTTCAGTTCTCAGCAGCAAGATCAAGGATGGAGAAAAAGATGCAAGAACCAGTGGCCCCTGAGTGGCAGGTGAGCAGGAGGGGCTGGATGGAGCCATCCAGACGAGTGTGTGGTCACAGCCAATGTCAGCAAGAGCAGCTGTGTCTGCCTGACCCCGGGTCCTTTCCAAACACAAATACAAATTGTTTCCTGCCAGGAACCAGGAGGGAGATTAATCAATAATGCTGCTGAAAAAGACCACATATTGCATGATTCCACTGATATGAAATGTCCAGGAAAGGCAAATCTATAGAGGAAGAAAGTAGAGGGTGGCTCCCTGGGGCTGGGATGGGAATGGAGAGGAGCTGCAAATAGGCATGAGGGATCTTTTCAGGTTGATGAGAAGGTCCTAAATTTAGATGATGGTGATAGATACACAACTCTGTGAATTTACTAAAAATCATTGACATGTACTTAAAACAGGCACATTTTATGGTATGCTAATTGCACCTCAATAGAGCTGCCTAAAAAATACTGCTGCCAGATAACACTACAGGCAACAAGAGTCAAAGGTCAGGGGGTCACACAATGGCTGCACAAACAGTGGGGAGCACTTTGGCCACAGTAAGCCCACCCTCCTCCCCAGGAGTCATAAACTCAGGATGGGGCTGATGCAGCTATGTTGGGGGCACTGGGCAAGACCTCCCAGGCCCCACACTCGGAAAGAGCTGCACCAGACCAAGTGTCTCCTGGAGAGCGGCAGGTGTAGCCCTCACCCTTTCACTCATCGAACAGAGCTCCTGAGAACTTGCAGGTCCCAGCCCAGGCCCTGTCCCCAAGGTGCTGATGGGCCAGGGTGGATGCACACACACACAGACTCCCTTACAGGACACAGTTGCCCCAGTGGAAACTCGTCCCAAGCACAGCCAGGGCCTCCGGGAAAGCCAGTAATACCCAGGACCACCCCAGTCCACAGGAGAGTTTGTTTCATTCTTGGTACCTTGGGTTGTTGTGAGCCACAAAACTTCTTGTGTTGAAACCATGGTGGACTCAGGGCCAAACAAAGGTTGAGTCCAGCTATTCCCTAGCCAAATATCCAGGAGTCAGAAGCTCCTGAGCCTCCCTCCCTGCTGTCTTCTTTCTGCCTGATATGGTTTGGCTGTGTCCCCACCCAAAAACTGCCTGATAAGGTCTGGCTGTGTCCTCACCCAAATCTCATCTTAAATTCCCATGTGTTGTGGGAGAAACATGGTAGGAGATAACTGAATCATGGGGGCAAGTCTTTCCCATGTTGTCTCGTCATAGTGAATAAGCCTCATGAGATCTGACAGTTTTATAAGGGAGAGTTTCCCTGCACAAGCTCTCTCTCTTTGCCTGCTGCCATCCATGTAAGACATGACTTGCTCCTCCTTGCCTTCTACCATGACTGTGAGGCCTCCCCAGCCACGTGGAACTGTAAGTCCATTAAACCTCTTTCTTTTGTAAATTGCCCAGTCTCAGGTATGTCTTCATCAGCAGTGTGAAAATGGACTGATACACTGCTTTTGCCTTTGGGGATCAGCACCGTATCCTGATGCTAAAGTTACCCAGGAGAATCAGGTCACCAGGGCTTTGAAATCAGAAATGACTTTCCTCCCAATACTAAGAAAATGTTTGTGACAAGAGGGAAGTAGGCGAAGAATATTAGTGTAGCTCATGGTGATAATAACATCTGATATTCATAGAGCTCTCACTATGTCCCAGCTCCACTTTAAGTGCTCTGCACATATATGCAAGAACTATTGCTGCATTTGCTACTCACACAATCCTAGAAAAAGGGTGTGATCCCATGTTACAGATGAGAAAACCAAAGCTTGGAGCCAAACCCCTCATGACACATCACCCTGGCCCACAAAGCAATTGCCACTCCCGTCTCTCTGCTGCCTGTCCATGACCCCATATGGAAACGCTTCTCCGGTCATCTGTGTAACATCTCCCAGACCTGCAAACATGCCCCGTAAGCACAGAAAGCATTCCAGTGTAAGCTTTCCTACATAGTAAACGTTTTTTAAAGCACTCACCTCAACTGTTTCTATGATTAGATAAAAGTCCAAACAAGTTGCAAGGCAAGCTAAAGGTTATTTTACAGCCACACAACCCAGCTAAGTATTTTAAGTGCAGCCCAGAATTATGAATCCCATCTGTAGAGGGTGGTGGCTTGGGACTGAAGGCAGGTAGATAGAATTACATGCTCTTAGACCTGGAAGGAACCTGGCCCAGCTCATCCAAGGCCCTAATTAGAGAGATGAGAAACCTGCAGCCCCAAGAAAGGTTGTAACCTGCCCAAGGTGAGTCAGGGAGGTGACAGAGAGCAGAGGAGGGCCCCTTGCCCAAGTTCTGGACATGCTGCTCTATGTCTGATTAACTCGTAGTTGAAGGCGGAGCAGTTTCCCAGACACCTGACAAAAGTCGTTTCAAACTAAGAGTTCTATTTAGTCCTTACACAGGACCTGTGTATTTTCTCTCCTGGAATTTGATATCTCGGGAAACCTGCCAAGGACTATTCACCAGGGAAAGTGAGTATGTAAAATGGGAAGAGGAAAATCAGAGCAAGAAGGTACTGGCAGGCTGTCACAGCCTGTATGGTGTCTCACCGTGCACTGGGGACTGGGCCCCACCACGTTTGTGCACCGCCCCGGGCTGCAGTCCACAGTGAACGCACAGCCCAGGCCTGGACCGGAGGGGGTGGCCTTACTGAGGAGCTCCTGTCCGGCCTCACAGATGCAATTTCTCTCCCCGCACATGCCTCTGAGCGTGAGGCCACACCCACCTCTCTGACCTTCCCATTGGCTATTTTTCACATTACTTAATGTTGTTTTAGAAGTAAATTTTCTAAACTCATCAGTCAGTAAACCTATGTCCAGAGTGATATTAACAGCAATTATCATTGTCAAGTGTCCTTAATTTTTTTCTGAAGGATGGCTTAATCTATTACACCATAATGGACCAGGATGGAGGCCACTCATCATTCTGAAGACTACATGACACATGCAAAGTCACAGTAAAATGTGAGATGAGGGCTTCGTTGTGATTCACAGCTTGCTTTCTTCGTTTGTTCCTTTCTTCTTTCTTTCCACACTCACCCTCTGGGTGCCTCATAGGTGCTAGGCACCAGGATGAAAGTAACCTTGACAGCCCCTGCCCCCAAGGAGCTTACCACCAAATTATAACAGACACTTGCTCGATATGCAGATTCCTGGGCTCCTCTCTAGAGATTTGGATTCAGGAATCTGTATTATATGGCACTGCACTCTTGGTGATGTCTTGCGATACACAGACTCTGCTGCAAGAAATTCCTTGACACTGCAGGTGGTGTTGTCCAAGAAGACAGAAAATGAGGGCCAGACAAGCCAAGAGCACCCATCTCTGCCTGCAGCAAGGAGGAGAGGGAGGCTCCAGGAGGAAGCAGTATTTGAGCATCTTTTAGGAAGAGGAAGAGTTTTCTGCATGGGGAAGATGCGAAGTGGGCAAAGGATGGGAGGAAACTGCCCAGAGTGTGGTGGGGAGAACCCACGGGGTCCACAGCTAGAGAGACTAGCCCAGGCCACAAAGGCCAGAACAAGGAAGCAAGAAACCACCCCACAGCCTGGGCTTGCCAGCAACAGACACAAACACCACACTGCGTCCAGGGGCCGAAGGGATCAGCATACTTGTCCCCATTTGGTGTCTTTGGCGAGAAGACGGGGATGACCAGGAAGAGGAGAAGAGAGAACACTTCATTCACAATGGCCCTCCACACGCTGGCTCACTAGCCCCTTCATTTTCCTCCCAGGCTGTCTCTTGCTTTCTTGAGTAAATATGCAGAAAATAGAACCATCATAAAGTCATTTCTTCCACTAGTTTTATTTAACACAGTCCGGCCCCAAACTGAAAACCCAAGGAGACCGTCAATTGAGCCTCAGCACGGAGCCGAGCAGGACACGAATCGGAGTACAGCCAGGGTCCAGACCTTCCCAGGTCCCCCCGAACTTCCCTCATGTTAATTTATTCCACATACCATCTTCTCCCGGTCCGGAGGGAATCCAGCTTCATGGAGGTCCTCTTAGCTGAAGATTTATCAAACCAGAGTATATGCATGGTATGAACATCAGATCCATTATCTAAGCTGTTAGTTTTAGTCGAAATGTAAAGAAGTGATTTAGTATAAAATCCATCACAAAAACATTTATTAAAAAATCTTTTGCTGCTCTTCATCTACAAACATTTACTATCCTGCATACAAATGTCAGCGGTTCAGCCTAATATACTTCCTCATTTATTTACTGTTCATTCCTTCTGGATAAAAGCCAAAAGCAATGTCCCCTGTGGGCTGCAGCACAATGAGGACGAGAGAACCCTTCTCATCACTCTGAGGTCAACCAAGGTCAGCCAAGCCACTTGATTGGGGTGCCGCTTGGTAACAGTTCACCTCTGAAGGTCAGGCCCTCTTTGGTGAATGGAGTCCTCTTCACACAAAGTTTTTACTTTTAGATGGAAGTTAATCGACATATCACCAGGACTTTCTGGAGGAATTAAATAAAATAAATGTAATGAAGATTTGACAGTCAAAGAGACCAAAGTATGCCCAATGCACTTTTGTCCAAATATAGAAGGTGTTAAAAAAAAAAAAATTAACACACTAGTTCCCTGCCTCAGTTCACAGACCCTGAATGATCTCCAGTGATCTCATCTTGTGTTGACCAAATTCTCCAAATGAAGCCAGCTGCCATGGAGTCACAGAATTCTGCAGTGGGGAAGGTTGACTTTGTACGTTGGGCACGACTCCCTCCCTTTAAGAGGAGGAAACCGCTAGCACTCCAGAGAATCTGAGAAGGCTGCCCAGGTCACACAGCTGCTTGGTGACAGCAGCGGCCCTGGAACCTTAGATTAGATGTGTGTCATTCGGCCCTGCTAGAGGGGAGTGAGAGGAGATTCCAACAGCAGAGAGAGCAGCCAAAATAAGCAAACAAATACAAGCCATTGAAACTCAGGGGGAGCTTGGATTTCAGGGCCTCAATTGTGAGCATGGAAAAGCACATTTCACCTCCAAGTAACCCTCATCTGCTTTCTATCTACACCCGTCACATCATCCCTTACAACGGGGGTTATCGATGCCTTCCTTACGGACCTTGTATTCTAAATTGGCAAAGCAAACATTCAGCTGTTAAAAACACTCCAAAGAAGGTTGGATCACTAACAGCCATTTTCCAACCTGAAGGCAGGCCAGGAGGGCCGTCCAGATGCCTAGGCCCTAAGGGGCCATGGCTTCAGTATGAATGCACCCCCAGGGCCAGCTTTGGAAAGGCAAGGATAAAATTAACGTGAATGGCTGTCTCTCTGCATTTAGGGGCTCTCCCTGCTCTCAACTTGAGCAAACTGCCCAGCAAGCAAACCTCACCTTTCACTGGCCTCTCAACAACAGGGAGGTGCCCACACCAGAGTTGTGCCCAAACCCAGTCGTAAATGCCTCTTGTATCCATGTGCAGAGCCACAGGGTCCAAGCCACGTCCCTGACCCAAGAGCTTCGCTGACAGCACCCCCGGACAAGCTGAGGTGGGGGCGCTTGGGCACGGGCTGAAGGCCAGGCTTAGAAGGGAAGAAGGCAAGCGACATATGCCCACGTCTCAGAGGGTATAAACCCAGAACCCACCTACCCCCACCGGCCCTCATGTTTCTACCTTCATTTCTTTCCCCTCATTTCTGATTTTCCTTCTCCTTCTCCACCCTCTTCCTTGCATAATGAAGACAGTGCTGGTGATGACACTGAGAAGAATGGCTATGGTATTGTTACAACCCAGAGTAGGAAAAGCTAAAATTTCTAGAGCACTTCCCTGGGCTCCTTGCTGTGTTCACATATTCCATCCCCGGAAGGACGCTAGGAATCAGATACAGTTGTTAACCACGTTCTTCCTTCTAGCACTTTCCACACCAAACATGTCTGCATACTTGTTGGCTTCCTGGCTGTCAGCCTCCACCACCAGGGCTTTATCTATCTTGTCCGCTGCCGCCTCCCAGCACCCAATACAGTCAACAAATGCTACTGATGGAGAAAATGAACTCTCATTTTGCAGATGGGAAACTGAGACTCTGAAAAGTTGCAGATCCCGGGTCAACCCAAGCAGGAGATGGGGAGTCAGGATAAACTGTGATGAGGTCACACAACTGTCCCTTCCTTTCCTTCTCTTCAGAACCGGCCTCTGTCAGGCAGTTCTCCCTACCCTCTCAAAGCCTGTGCTCACTTTCCTTTGCATCAACACAGCCCATTCCAGCTCTGATCCTGCAGCTGGTTCCCACCCCTCCTGGTTTATTCTGGATGGAAAGATGACTGAGATTTGGTGCTACCCTGGCCCCACCCCTTTTGGCAGGCGTGACCTCAAGCGGCTCCTGTCCAGCCTCCTCTCGGCACCCTCTGGTTCACGCGTTATTCCTAGCATGAAATACATCTGTATCACTTAAAGAAAGCAAGCTCAATTATTTAACTCTACCAAGATTCAGTTCAAATATAAGAGTTACAGTGTACATCTGAGACTTCTGGGAAATTGATTTTTCTGCTTAAGATCATTTCATAGGGTTTAGCATTAAAACCAAATCAGGCGCAAACTGATCTCTTCGTAGATAGTGAGTTTGTTTCCATTTTCTAAAGACCAGCCCAAGCGAGAGTCCTTCTCCCCACCCATGCTTGCTGCACGTATTTTACAATCTTAACAGACTGCGGTGGCCCGCCAAAAGTCATCTTTAAAGCAACCACTCCATCTCCCTCATCACAGAGCTGCTGGGCTGGATGTGCCCAGGGACAACCAGAGAGCGGGGAACAGCATTTAGCACTCAGCTGACCTTCTGTCCACCTTTTCAGAATGCCTGCTGGAGCCAAGAGAGTTTGGGTTTGTTTTTTTTTTTTTTTTTTTTTTTTCTATTTCTCAGCCATTTTCAAGTGGTTTCTTTAATTTCCTCCTGAGAGTTAAGCACTGATTGACCAGGGACTTTAAACTGAAACCTCTCACCAGAAAATACCATTGACGATTCCTGTGATGGAAAAACATACTTGGAGTTCATCTTGATGTTTACAATTAAGTCAGCTGGTCCTGGTTTCTCTAAGGATGCTAATACTTAATGTAAACTGTTTGTTCTTCAGAGGGGAAAGAACCTGTGTAATCACCTGAAGACAAACGGTCTTAACTTTCCAGAAGATGACAGCTTTACAAATGGAAATGATAAATTAAGAGCGTCTGAGAGTCCATCAAGGAAAGCAAAAACAAGGCAGGGGACGTGGAGGACATCGAAACAAGCCAACGAAGTCCACATCTGGTTTTCCCGCAAAATCACCCCTAAGTGATGTTCAACGGGGGAAAGTATATATGTTAAGGTGCAGGCTAAAGGGTTATCATTATTCCAATAAAAAGGGGAACATGAGACGGTGGGGTTGCTTGGCAATGGGCTTTACAGACAGAATTCAACCAGAATCACATCCCTCCATTACTGATGGGGGAAGCTTGGGTGTGGCTCCCAGTCTGGGAGGTTTCAGTCTCTCAGTGAGAACCATGGTAGCCCCAGCTCCTGGGTGGGCACTGAGGGCTCACAAGGGAAATCCCAGTGTCCAGCACATGTTAAGCATCCAAAAAATGGCTGCGATCATTATTTACTGTTGTTACTCTCATGTAAAACGTGCAGCACAGCGGCTGGCATATAGGAAAAAAAAAAAAAGGAACAAAGGTGGTGCCCTGTCCTCAGCCTGTCTTCTCCCATGTGTCAGATGAAATCTAACAGCCTGGCCTTGCCCGGGAAGGCTTTGGATGATGGGCACAGCGTGGAGGCCCTGACCTTGTGGTCAGTATAGATGGGGCTCAAGAACAAAGCCAGGAGGTACAGGAGACATGAAGGTCCCTGAAATCTCCACTGCAGTCACTCATCTGACCCAGGTGATGGGGACGTGCTCGGCGCTGCCCTCTAGAGCAACAACATTCACCGGAACTTTCTGCAATAAGAAAAATACTCTGTGCTGAGCACGTGAATGTGGTTAACTGCCACTGAGGAAATGGAAGTTTAATCTCATTTTAATTAATTAGCTTAATGGGTTGATTGACAATCAATTAATTGATTCCATTTAAATGGCTACATGTGGCTAATTGATACCATACTGGATGTCATAGTTCTAAAACCAGAATGGACTGTTGCCTGGCATGTTGGCAGGTGAGACCAAGCCCAGGGTGGTCAGAGGATACATGAAGGCCCCGGGATGTTTCTGTTCTCTGGTCTCCTGCCACTGGGGAGCAGATCTCCACCTCTGGCCTTGACTCCTGCACGCAGAGGTTGCTGGGGACAGTGGGCGCCCAGCCCCTCCTGCCACATGGCCCAGAGGCAGCCTGGCTCAGCACAGTACCAGATGCTGCCAACCAAAAGGCCTGTCTGGGCCAACACGGGCAAACTGGGAGGAAGGACCTCAGGATGGTCTCCATAAGCCCCAAGAAGGTGGACAAAACTAGGGCCAGCTTCATTCCTGGCCTGCGCAGCTTACCCCCCAACATCCCCACTGTGCTCAAAGAAAGGATATAGCTCCAAGGTTCTGGGCCTCTCTGTGGGCTCAGGTGGCAGGCGAACCAGAGGACCACAGAGACTGCTTCTCCAGGTCCAAAAAACCCTCACGTACAAACACACCATACATAGGCACAGATGCACATGTGCACACACACGTGCACAATACATATATGACATATATGCACACACATGCATTGATGCACATGGATCCCAGGAGAAGGCAAGTCCCTACAGCAGTAGCATAGAGACCAGTACTTATCCTAAGCTTCGACTTCCCCATCTGAAAAATGTAAATTCATTAATAATAATCATCATGCTTACCTAGCTGGGCTATTATGAGCATTAAATAAAATAACAGGATGTGGAAAGCACTGGTGGTTGCTGTGATGGTGTGGAGGACACACGTTGGGAGTGAAGGAGGAGGAAGTCGGGCTATTATGAGCATTAAATAAAATAAGGGGACATGGAAAGCACTGGTGGTTGTTGTGATGGTGTGGAGGACACAACGTTGGGAGAGGAGGAGGAGGAAAGGCGAATCCCAGCTGAGCCCCCTTCGAAGCCCACCCTAAGGGTTCTTCCAGCTTTCCCCCTGGGCCTGTTTGTCCTCTGTATGTTTCCAGCATCTGATATATCACAGGGTTTAATTTAGAGGAAGTTCAGGAAACAACACGAACACTCCTCACAGGGAGGCGGAAGTGGGGAGGAAGGTCACTGGCCATTTGGAGCCCGAAGACCTGAATTTAAGTCTCACGGTGGTAACAGTTTTCACCAAGTGGACACAGCACTCTGATCCAGAGGTTGAGTTTATCGTGGCCACTTCTATACTCAGTCCCTGCAGTCACACCTGGGGAACGATGGGTGAATGATATCCACTCTCATCAACAACTCTCAACAACCCAATCAGGAAAGACCATTATCTCTGCTCCGAAGAGGAAGAAGCAGAGACCCACCCAGGTGGCAGGTGGGCTGGTGTGAGTCCCCCAGGCTTGTCTGAGCTCCAATCCCAGACCTCAAATCATTACACACCCATCTCTACTTTCTAGGGAGATAATCTTGGAAAAATCATTTGTCATCTCTGAGCCTCCATTTCTGATCTGTAATATGGAAAGGAAACTCTATACCTATTTCCTACTATCCTTAAAAAGACTGAATGCAGAAGTAATGTGTGCCTGCTCACCAGCTGTTCCAAGTGTATGGCTGAGCACCACTCAAGTCCAAGGGAAACTTCCAATTCCAGGTGTTTTGTCCAGTCTCCCATTTCCCAGCCAACCAGAAACCAAGCCCCTAGCAGAACTATGACTATTCACCATCTGAAGAGGAAAATTTCCCCTCTGCAGAGAGCATGCCCCTTGTTGACAGGCAGCTCTGAGCACTGCTCACCTGGGCAAAGCCAAAGAGAAGAGCAGGAGCTGAGACCTGCTCTGTGTGCCTCAGGACGGCCCCTATTCCTAACAGCCCAAAGGACATGCACGATTTCCACTGAGTCATTCAATGGGACATCACTGACTGGGACTCAACCCTGTACCTGGCCAGTGCCTGAGGCTCAAACAACCAGAACCTGGCCCTTCCTTCATGGAGCCTCCACTCAAGAAGCTACAGGTAGAAAGCAGGTCCCTGCAGAAAGGGCCCTTCAGCTGAAACTCCTAGAAACCAAAACCTTCAGCTAGGGCATCTTCCCCACCCCAAATTCTGAGACTGGCTACACAGGTCTGCTATGAACTGATGTTTGTGTTTCTACAAAATTCATATGTTGGAATCCAAACCCCCAAAGGTGATGATACTAGGAAGTAGGACCTTTTGGGAAGTGATTAAGTCATGAGGGTGGAGCCCTTGTGAATGGGATTAATGTCCTTATAAAAGAAGGCCCAGAGAGCTAGCTAGTCCCATCCACCATGTGAGGCCACGATGACAAGCCAGGAAGCAGGCCCTCAGCAGGCACTGAAGCTACTGGTGCCTTGAAGTTGGACTCCCAGCTTCCAGAACTGTGAGAAAAAAAATTCTGTTGTTTATAAGCCCCTCAGTTTATGGTACTTTTTTATAGCGGCAAAATGGACTAAGATTAGGTCAAAGCTAAAAAAAAAAAAAGTTGAATTTCAAAGGACAGCAAATCTAGCACAAGTTAAGATCAACAGTGTGATGAAAAACATAGAGAAGGATTTGGAGAAAATGGAATCACCTCCCCCCAGTGGTGCTTGGCAGAAGTCCCTGGCCAGAGCTGAGATGCTCTCACCCTCCCCTGAGGCCACACAGCCCATCCAGGTGCACTGCCCTGATGCTTAGATGGCCCATCCCTTGCTTGTGGCTGACTCTCAGCACTGGGTGAGCTGGCAGCTCTGACCTGCCCAGCATTGCTCCTCCCAGGAGACCCATGTGCTCTGACACATCCTGACCATTTCAGAGCCTACAGGAGGGCAGGTGTTGCCCCGGGTCTTGCAGTCCCTCTGAAGTGTCTTCTCACACAAATTTCCTGTTCCCCTCCTCACTCCCCTGGATCTCTCTTATCACCTGGGCCAATCTTGCTCACCAAAATTCCTCTTAGGGACAACCTCTACATCTACAGATTAAACATACTGCTAAGCTGCTTGGGGCGGACAGGTGAGGCTCCTAAAACAGCAGGTTCCAGTGACAAAGGGGCCTTCCTTACCTTGAGGCCTGGGCAAGGCAGAGGGGTGGTGTTGGGGGCATCTGCAAGGTTTGGAGCAGGGATGGGGCAGAGTGGAACCGCACTGATTGCAAAGAGAGTAACCCAAATTCCCAAGGGAAAGCCACTGAAGAAGGAGGACGGGCAGCTGTATGCATGAGAATGCAGAGAAGAACCCTCAGGATGGGGTGGCAGGAATGACTTTGGGGAATACAAAGTTGTTTCCCATGAGGTGAGCAAAGCAAACTCCTGATGAAATCTTCAGTAATATCCATATCATTTGCCAATGATTGTATGGGAACAGATTATTCTGAAGATCTTGAGATGGTAGCAAATGCCTACAAGGAAAAAACAGGGACAAGTCTACGTATAGGAACCTCACCATGAAGCAACAGCTGACAAATAGGTACTGCTTCAAATAGCTTATTTACTCAATGGTCTGCCTGTTGTGGGTTCCAGTGTGTCTCCCAAAAAGATGTGTCTAAGTTCCAACCCCTAGGATATATAAATATGACCTTATTTGGAAATAGAGTTTCTGCAGAGTAATCAAGTTAAAATGAGGTCATATTGCATTAAGATGGGGCCTAATTCAATAACTGGTGTCCATATAACAAAAGAGAGATTTGAACACAGAGAGAATGCCAAGCAGAGATAGAGGCAGAGATTGCCGTGATGCGGCCACAAGCCAAGGAATGCCGGCCACAACAGAAACAGACAGGCATGGAACAGATTTGCCCCTAGAGCCTTCCTAGAGAGTGCAGCCCTGCAGAAACCTTGATTTCAGACTTTCAACCTCCAGAAATGTGAGACAATAAATTTCTGTTATTCTGAGCCATCTTCGTTTGTGCCAATTTGTTACAACAGCTGCAGGAAGCCAACACACTGCCCCATTAAGCTTTAAACTCAGCCTGGGCTTCTGCCCCCTTCACTTTCACCTTTATAGCATCTGGTACTTCCCTGGTGTAGAGTAGGTGCTCAGTAAATATTTGTAGAATGGATAAGTATGGGTGCATGAGAGAAAGAAAATATGTGTGATTTTATACAAAAACTCTTTGGGGTTAATAGGTGCTTTTGAAGGCTTTGCAGTGTGGAGTCTGTCTCAAAACTTGTCAGCACAGACAGTCCTTAGGAAAGACCTGTGCCCCTCCTCACCAGCTCTACTGCCCTTTCACTCTTCCTGTCCCTCAGTCTCTCCTTCCTCCTTATCTAGTCACAGTCTATCCCAGCAGCTGAGGAGGAAGGTTAGTCCAGATCCCTTTCTGTTCCTTAGTTTAGGATCCAGAATTCAGTGAACCCTTAAACTTATTAGAGTCTTTCCACTAGCTGAAGCCATATAATTTGAACTTGTAACTTAAATCATCCTAACAGATAAGGGATCTTTGCAGCCTAAGATAGGCAGAATTTTAAAAACTATTCCCAGCAGTTCTCACCCCATATAACCCCTCCCCTTTGAGTGTGGGGGGAATTGTGAATACAGTGAGATGTGGAACTGGTGATTATATTACATTATGGGGCAGGGGGATTTTGCAGATGTGATTACAGTTACTAATCAGTTGACCTTAATACAGACAGATTATCTGAGTGAGAATGATCTAATCAGACAAGGCTTTCAAAAGCAGAGAACTTTCTAAGGCTGGCAGCAGAAGAGGAAGTCAGAGAGGCTGCAACTGTGAGTAGGATGGGGGCACCCTTGTTGTCCTGAGGATCAAGGGTCCACATGGCAAGGGATGTTGATGGCATCTAGCAGCTGAGAGCAGCCCCCAGCCAAGAGCCAGCAAGGAAACAGATCTCAGTGCTACAACTGCAGGGAGCTGATGGCTGATGACAACTTGGATGGGCT
This sequence comes from Homo sapiens, assembly GCF_000001405.40. Classification (NCBI taxonomy): domain Eukaryota; kingdom Metazoa; phylum Chordata; class Mammalia; order Primates; family Hominidae; genus Homo; species Homo sapiens. The sequence goes on along the minus strand of NC_000010.11, from coordinate 128,290,124 downwards.
CAGAAGCAGATTCTTCCCCAGAGCCTCAAGATAAGAAATGAGCCATTCCAGTACCTTGATTTTGGCCTCATGAGACCCCAAGCAGAGGATCCAGCCAAGCCCACTGGACTTGTGACCTACTAAACTGTGAAATAATAAATAGATGTTATTTGAAGCCACTACATTTGTGGTAATTTGTTAAACAACTATACAAAACCAATAGAAAGTCTAATATTATGTAAGAAGATACAAATCTATAAAAAAAAGACATTATTCGCTCACTCCAGCAAGAGCAGCAAGAGAGTTAAGAACAGCTGGAGTGACGTATGCTAAACCCTAAGGCAGAGTAGGCCAAATGCAGCCTGTGGGCCAAATTCAGGCATCGACTGTTCTTGTACAGCCCACCAACTAAGAATGGCTATTACATTTGTAAACGGTTGGAAAAAAATAAAAAAGAAGAATAGTATTTCACAACACATGAAAATTATATGAAATTCAAATTTCAATGCCTATCAATAAAGTTGTATCAGAACACAGCTCACTGATTTGCATATCATCTATAGCTGCTTTCTGGCTCCAACAACAGACTTGAGTAGTTGCAAAGAGTAGCATAGCTTGCAAGTCTAAAAAACTTATTATCTGGCCCTTCGTAAAAAAAGTTTGCCCACCCCTGATCACTAGAACTTTTCAAAGCACCATTGTGGACCCAGATACGCTAGGCAGCAAACAATGGAGGACAGAGCTCTGGGCATTCTCTGGGTGGACAAGCATGGACAGCAAACTGATTCAGGAGACTTCTCATGTCTTCTTTGCCACATACGGTCAGGTTGTGTGTGTAAATAATTTACACACATGCACTGTAACTCCTCTAATGAAACAACAGTAAAAAACTATTTTATGACTTCTAAAAAAATGAACTAACTTTTAGATTAGAAATTATTTTAGAATAAAACCACAGGACTCAATATCTGGCACTCTGTAACTTGTGGTCTCTGTGACAGAGAGATTTGACTCTCCATGCAGAGCTTTTGGCATCATCTGGTGACAGCCCAAAAGTCACTTTGGGCAGAAGCCCCAGGAGGTTGACTGGGAAAGGCCGATGACTGAAGGGGTCTCCTCTGAACTCCAAGGGGCCACAGCACCTCTGGGTCCTGACAGCCATGGACTCCCACCCAAGAAACATCTGGGCAGAAAACAAGCAGTTTAAGAACAGAAGATTAGATTCTCATCAAAGAACACAGTCTCAGCAAAGTCCAGTCCGTCTTTCTTGAAAAGCTTTCTATTTGATCTCTATAATTTGACCATTAATATAGGAATACCAAAATGGAATACTCAGGGGCCAAATCAGGCAGAGAGTTAGGTCAGACGTAATTTTCTTGTGCAATCTGAACAAAAGACATTTTATAACCAAAGCCAAAAAAGGAGAAGAAAAAAAAAATGACATGGGTAGATAGAGAAAAGCACTCATAGACGTGCTCCCTTCATGCGAAATTTCAAAAAGCTTCGTGACAGCTCTGAGAACCTGTCTGGGGATCATTTTATGGAAAAGCAGTCACAATGATATCAATTGGGAAAGCAAGAAGAATGTATGTTCTGTCATTTTTAGTGGGAAAATATCTGCTTGAATTTCCTTGTAGTCACTTTGAAGACCTCTCAACTGAGAAGAGAAATTCACATTCTGACAGGTTCCCCACGATTCCTCCCATCAGTAATAACTTCATCTTCCGTCCTCTACCCAGTGACACACTCAGCACGTGTGAGGGTACCGGGTGTGGAAAGCCTTGGAGCCCTACCTCCCCCATAGCTGGCAGGGCCCCCTTGAGCAAGTCACATCATCTCCTTCCCTGAGCCTCACCATCCTCATCTGCACAATGGGAAGGATGCCCAGCCTTGCCTTTTCCTTCTAGCATGATCAAGAGAGTCTATTGAGACCGAAAAAGCAAAGAGAGCTAAACAAATGGAAGCCATTGTTACATTTGTCACTGAGCTTCACAAAATGATGACCAGAACATGCTGGAAAGCACTTCTGTGTGTGTTTGTGCACAAAGGCACACAGTTTTCTCCTTCATCTAAAAGGAGAATACATTCACATGAAGCAAAGGGTTGGCTGCTCCATGCATAGAGATGAAGCGCATCTTTTAGCCGCCGCCACATACCCCGGCCCTGCAAGGAAAATGTGAAGGGCCTTGAATCCATCCCATTCCGTTTTTCTGCTGTTGCAAACCAGATAGAGCTCACAAAACAGGAAAACTATATTGACACAATCCCCAAGATAGAACAGAGAGCGATTTTGATGGGGAGAGGAGCAGAATGCTGAAACTCCTTAATGCTGAGGGTTTATATCAACCCAGAGTACCTTAAACGCATTCGCTCTGGAAAACACCAGATAAAAAGGAGGGCCGAGCTCCCTGCTTTGCAGGGGCACTGGGGGCTTGGCCCAGGCCAAGTTGAGGGCTCTCTCCTCTGAAAGACCAACACAGAATTCTCCTTGGCAAGTGCTGCTGTGGGCTTGCCTGAGCTAATATCGTATGAATAGAGATGTTTCAAATGTATTAAACATTGGTCCCTTTTTTAGAAATTACACTGACAGAGCCTTCCTTAAACATTATTTGAATAAAGCCTCATTACTCACAGTCCAGAGAAGTTCATTAGGAGGAGATCGCTTTGGAAAGGAATCTAGGAGCTCGCCTTTCTTCTCAGCAGTGAATTACATTAGCTACTTCCTAGTTATTTAAATCTTGAAATAAAAGATGTAAACGCTACAGTGACATCTTAAGATCATTGCCAAGGCAGGTCTTGCATGCACAAAAATGCCCAGCTGGTCTGCAGATAAAACAGATTGATAATTAGTTGCAAAATGTAACATTTCATCAAGAATATTTTGAATAATCCAATTTATCTTTGTCAGATATGCAGCACATATTTTTCCGGGGAGCAGCTTTGTTCTTTAACATAATATTATAATTTCAGGCTGCTAATGAAGGCGCCCGCCGGCCGGCCGGGCCTTGATGTGCGGCGTGGCGGGGAGCGCGCCGCGGCCCGGGGACCCGTGCGCCTGAGCGCGCCGCGCCCCGCTGCCGCCACCTGCCCAGCACAGCGCTGGCTGTGGTCTGCGGGCCGCGGGCCGCGGGCGATCAAAGGGCCGGCGGCGGCAGGGAGGGCGCCCCTGGCCGGGCTGTGCGCTGGCCGCCGGCGGGCGGGGGCTCCTCCGACTCCCGCTTCTAATCAACCGATGGAAACGCGCGCTCCCTGCCCGCGACCGCGAAGGCGAAGTCATGGGGTGGGCGCCAGTGCAGGCTGGGGGTGTGGCTGCTGCGTCGCGGGCTTCCCCCGGGGGCGCGTCCGGGTTGCACCCTGCGTGGCCTTCCCCGGAATAGCAAAAGAGATGGGGGGGCCGGGGGGTGAGCGGGAGAAGAGGGACAAGGGTGGCTTGCAGGACTCGGGAGGAGCTGCAGGTACATCTAGAGCTCCGCGGACCCCAGGAGCCAGGAGACAACTACGGCCCAGGTGCTGGTAAAGCCTTGCTGGGGCACTTTGGCACTTTATATAAGGCCTATTGGACACCGATAAGTGAGAGCTGCTTAGCGTTTGTCCGGAGAGCCTCAGCTCCCGGCCCAGGACGGAACCTCCTCTAAGTCCCAGAGCGATCCTAAAGGCTCTCCCAGAGACCTGGGTTAAGATGAGCAAAAACGCCCTCACTCACATCCCCCAGTGACTCCACATCGCCCAGGTTTCACCAAAGACTGGCCCGGAAGAGGGTGTGGCTGGATGGAGGAAAAGTATCCTCACAACTTGGAAAATTCGCTCCCCCTTTCCAAAAGGGGCGTGAAGTTTGGCAAAGCAGAGAAAACTCCAGGAGCAAAGAATGTCTTGATACTGTATGCACACACTATACGTGCACACAGTGTCTCCTATTTTAAATTTACCATTTCAGCTGCGTGTGTGCAAACCTCACACTACTATTATATCCGTGCTGGCGTTGCTTGGTAATATTCGGTATTCTCAAAAACAAATTAAATTCTAGCCCCAAAATTAAAGTTCTTTGTCTCGCAGTTCAGAAATGATAAGAAGAAATGAGTGCTGCTCTCCTAATTGACTGCATTGGAAAAGACAATGCTACCTGTGTTCCAAAATCCTCAGGACAGATCGAGGGCCTCTGGGCATCCAGGCTACAGGCGTTGGTTACCATGCTACCTGGTAAAAAGGGATAAGAGTGAACTTGAGTGCATTCAGAAAATTCAGAATACTTTGGAAAATGAATCTGTTCACAAGACCAAACCGCTTGACTCACTTGAAGACTACCACATAAGCAGGACTTCTCTTTACCGGGTTATTTCTGTTCCTGCAGTCAAGGGCTGCCTTCCCTGTTTTCAAGTACATTACAGTCTCAAGGATCATGGTCAGTACATTAGGCTGAATATATTGACTTGAACCTCTCCCAACACGTGCAGATCTTACAATACATTAGGAACGTAATTCAGCAAAGTGGGTGTGCTCTTGACATGGATCCTGACGGACCAAGCTGCTCCTTCTTGCTTTGACTTCTTCCAGGGTGGTGTTGCAAGCCTTCCTACATGATTATCTACTTTGTGCAGACTCGAAGGTCAGTCTAACATGATCTCTTTTTCAAGCCACCTTTTCCTGGGTAAACTCTGACCGTGTTTGTTTTTTCTGAGCCTCCTAACCGGCTAATGGTCCCCACGAATCCCTCATTTTCTTCTGTCCTCCTCTTCTCCACGGGCTACCTGGACCCCTGGAGCTATAGACCTCCCAGTAACCCTAAAGGATGGCCAGGAGGCCAGTATGCCCTCAGGCTTCCAACCTCTCCCCACCTGACCTGAGCAGCCACCATTCTCTTCTTTGTCCCGCAAGGGACTCCTCTGAGTACCCAGGAGGATAAGGGAAAAAGCATGTCCTGGCCATTGACGTTCTGTGCTGGCTCCTGGAAGTAGCTGATACTCAGCCCCTCTGCAGGACCCTCTTCCTGGCACACAGGCCCTTGGTGACCTAGCCAGGCCCCATGGCCAGATGCATGGGTTCTTCAGAAGTCAACCACCCTGAGCTTCTTTGAAGGAGACCTTCAGAAACACTGGGAAAACCCACTCACTTTATCTCAGGGCTGTTCATGTCAGCCATGTCTTCTCCAAGAGCCAAGAGCTACTTAACAAACCCATGAGAGGGTGGCCCTGCAGCCCTGCCTCCATCTTCAGGACAAGGCAGGGACCCTGAGATGGCCCACCCTGCACCCTCCTCTGTCAAGCATGCACACCCTCGCCACAGCAACGCCACTGTAGAGGGGTCAGCTCTGCCTAACTCCATACTTCACCAGGTTAGGTGACTCTTTGGTGTCCCATGGGCTCAGTCATTGAGCAAACACTCAATGGGCGGGGATTGACCTGACCTGCTCTGTTTTGCTCTGTGGCCAACAGACCCCAGGGAGACACACAAGCTGGCCCAGCCAGCTCCCATTCAGAACCACCCCAACACACACCAGAATGGCACAAACAGGAACCCACTGACCCGCAGGCTCCTGAGATGAGACAGTCACCCTTGCCCAGATCAACAGGCGGAAGAACCACATGCTATCAGCAGGCCCCTGTCCCCAAAAAGCAGACATCAGAGAGCAAGGCATGACTGTTTCCAAGGGGTTTTGCCCAGGAAGGGTGTCCCCTCTGTCTTCCTGTCTGCCTTTCCCCAGTGTCCTGCCCTGCTCGGAAGCCTGCAGAGACTCCACAGCTAGAGGTGGTGTTAAGGTTAAGCTGCACACGGCTGCCCCAGTCACCCTGTCTTCATTGTCTATCCTAGATGAATCCTTGTTTGAGAAGAGCCAGTCTACCCACTGTCCCAGGCTCCCCTACCAGGGAGGGCCTCCTCTCCTCTCTCAGTCAATCCCCATCGTGCCCATTCTTGAAAGCCAGGGTCAAACACTCATCTTCCACACACTTGGGAGTCTCAATACCACCGCATGTGCCCTCAGCACTGGCACACAGCACTTTCAGCTACTCACCATTGCTGACCAGGCACAAGTCTGTCATATAACTTCCTCTGGGGCTCAGAACTTGTAGTGCACACATCCATGCCCAGCCTCTTTCTGTACCCAGTGCAAGCACAGAGCAGCATTCAGTGCACATTCATTAACGTGTCCTTGTCTCTGTCCTCTGAGGCCATTCCTATGGGAGGAGGCCCAGCCTGTAAGTCAGGAGCACTCATGGCGTGTAGAGCCAGGAGGTGCCGAATACAAGTGTGAAGTCTTATGAATCTGCTTGTTGATTGATTGAAACCACTTTGAGATTGGAAATTATTCAAACTGGAGCCTGGCTTAGGGTAGGTGCAGAGACCTTCATCATGGTCATCAGCTCTGGTTGTATGAAAGAGAAAGACAAAGAGACCCAGAGAATGCCTGCAGAATGGGGGACCCCATGACACAGAGCTTGCTCTCCTAAAACACACTGTGCCTATTGCTTCTGGTGGCAGTGCTGCTGCTGTCATGTTACAGGGAGAGTGTCTCAGCTGCTTCTCTGCAATCTCATGACTGTGGTGGAATGGGTCAGGATCAACTCAGCCTTCTGTGTGACCCAGGTATGACCCAGAACCTCAAATACAGTCATGTACCATGCACCACATAGCAATGTTTTGGTCAGTGATGGACCCCGTACACCATGATGGTCCCATAAGATTATAATGCAGCTGCAAAATTCCTATCACCTGGTAACACAGTAACTGTCGCACCAATACACACTAACACGTTATTCATGTGTTTGCAGCGATGCTGGGGCAACTGCACTAGCAGTCATAGCACAGTCTAGCACACGCAGTTATGTACAGGACATAATACATGATAAGAATAATAAATGACTTACGATGCTATACTTTTTATTGTTATTTTAAAGTGTACTCCTACTTTTTTTTTGGGGGGGGGGGACCGAGTCTCCCTCTGTGGCCCAGGCTGGAGTGCAGTGGCACAATCTTAGCTCACTGCAACCTCGGCCTCCCAGGTTCAAGCGATTTTCCTGCCTCAGCCTCCCGAGTAGCTGGGATTATAGGTGCCCACCACCATGCCTGGCTAATTTTTGTGTTTTTAGTAGAGATGGGGTTTCACCATGTTGGACCAGGCTGGTCTCGAACTCCTAATCTCAGGTGATCTGCCTGCCTCGGCCTCCCAAAGTGCTGGGATTACAGGAGTGAGCCACCATGACTGGCCTTTTTTTTTTTTTAAGTTAACTGTGAAACAGCCTCAGGCAAGTCATTAGGAGGCATCCAGAAGAAGGCACTGCTGTCCTGGAAGATGGCATCTCCATGCGTGTTATTGCCCCTGAAGACCTTCCAATGGGACAAGATGTGGAGGTGGGAGACAGGGCTATGGGGCTCCTGACCCGGTGTTGGCCTAGGCTAATGGATGTCTTTGTGTCTTTGTTTTTAACAAAACAGTTTTAAAGTTACAAAAATGTTTAATTTAAAAATAGAAAAATCTTACAGAATAAGGAGATAAAGAAAATGTTTTTGTACAGCTATACAATGTGTTTGTGTTTTAAGCTGTATTACAAGAGTCCAAAAGCTAATAAAAATTTAAAAATGTATAAAGTAAAAAATGTATAGAAACTACAGTAAAAATTTACACTAAGCTTAATTTCTTATTGAAGAAAGAAAAATATTCTTATACATTTAGTGTAGGCTGAGTGTAGAGTGTAAAGTCTACAGTAGCGTATAGTCATGTCCTAGGCCTGCACATTCGCTCACCACTCACTCACTGACTCACCCAGAGCAACTTCCAGTCTCCAATACTGCAAGCCCCATTCATGGTAAGTGCCCTACACAGGTGCACCATTTTATCTGTGTATGATATTTTTACTCTACCTTTTCTACATTTAGCTATGTTTAAATGAATACCATTGTGTCACAACGGCCTGCAGTATTCAGTACAATCGCATATAGTGCCGGCGTGTGGCCCAGGAGCAGCAGGCCATGCGTTTAGCCTAGGTGTGCAGTAGGCTGTGCCATCGAGGCTTATGTAAGTACACTCTGTGATGTTCACACAGCGACTCTGTAGCCTAACAGCGCGTTTCTCAGAATGTATCCCTGTTGTTAAGCAATGCATGACTGTGTAAGATAAATCGGGGTGCATAAAGCCTCAAGGCTTACATGTAACTGCTGGAAGAGGCACCAGCAAGCAAGAGGCAGTGCAGCCGCACAAAGCAGATTAGAAACTGGGGAAGTGCAAACCTAAAGGAGGCTCTGCCACCGCCCTGGGGTAATTGCCCTCTCCCATCACTAGCCGGCGGGTTCCCAGGGTGCAGCGGTGGACCTCCTGTCTCAGCAACCACGGCTGCCAGTATGCGCTGTCTGTAACCATCCCAGGGTAGGGCTGTCCCCTGGCCCCAACTGCTCCCCTGTAGCGTGGGCACCAGGCAGTGCTCAGCAGTGCAGTGAATAAACTGGGAACCCAAGCGCAGGGCCTTTCCCTTCTCTGACCAGATGTAAGTGTGTTTGTGCGTACGAGTGTGTGCATGTGTGTGTAAAAGTGTGCATGTTTCTGTATGAGAGAATGTGTGTGCATGCATGCATGAGTGTACATGTGCATGTGTGTGCACATGTGTGCCTGTGTGAGAGTGTGTGTCTGTGTGTGTGCATGTTTGCCTGCATGTGTGTGTGCATGTGTGTGCACATGTGTGAGCGTGTGTATGTGACAGTATGTTGTGTGTGTGTCAGTGTGCGCACGTATGTGTGCACACACACATATGGGGACAGAAAGTCTCCTTGGCCCATTTTTGTCCCTCCCTTTTGAATGTCAGCTGTGTCCCTGGATCGAAGTTCTTTCCTGGAATCCTCTTCTCAGAGCCCTAATGACTCCCTGTTTTTTACTTCCTATCTTTTTCTCAGGTCCCAGGGATTCATAAAGTTAGGGTTAAATAAATAAAGCCATGGCCCTGGTGTGAGCGTGGGGCAGTCCCCAGTCTGGCCCAAAGCCATCTTTTGTGCCTGGCCTGCAGCAGAGCCTCCCGGCCCTGCCTGGCCTAGACCTACCAGGTTCAGGCAGCTCGGCGCCTTGCCCTGCCCTGCCCCATTTCCTCTGCCCACAAGCCCATCTGCCCTCCTCTCTCTGCCCCTTGCTGTCCTACACAACCTGCAAGTACCACTTCCTCTGAAGGGCTAGCCAAGTGCCCCCAGCAGGAACTCACCTCCCGAGCCGAACTCTGCTCATCCGCTAGTTGGCTCTTAGAGCCAGTCTCCTATTGCAATTATCTGTGGGATTTTCTAAGGCACCCTCACTGGACTGTCAGCTCCTGTGGGCGGAGACCAGGTGCTCTGATTACTTAGCACCCCAGTTCTCAATTAAAACTTGCTGAATACATGCTTCATAAGAGCAAAGCTATGGAATTAACCTAAGTATCCATCAATGGATAATTGGATAAAGAAAATATGATAAATACTACTCAGCCATAAAAAGGAATGAAATCATGTCTTTCCCAGCAACATGGATGGAACTGGAGGCCATTATCTTAGTGAAATAACTCAGAAACGAAATGTCAAATACCTCATGTTCTCACTTATAAGTGGGAGCTAAATAATGTGTACATGTGGGCAGAGAGGATGGAATAGACACTGGAGACTCAGAGAAGTGAGAAGGTGGGAGGGGCGAGGGATGAGAAATCCCCTAGTGGGCAGGATGTGCACTATTTGAGTGACAGACACACTAAAAGCCCAGGCTCCCCCACTATGCAGTATATCCATGTAACACAACTGCACTTATATCCCCCAAATCCATAAAAACTTTAAAATAAAAAAATCTAAAATAGCTTTAAAAGAATTCCTGTATAAATATGTGAATGCATCCAACAAGGAAAGCCTTTAGACACCATTGAAAGGTATCAATAATATTAGGTTTGCATCAAACGATGAACCTCTAGACATTAGGTAGGAAAGAAAAATGAAATATATTTCAATTGATCACAGAAATAGCAATTCACATGAGCTTTGGCATAAAAGTGAACAACTAAGGTGAAAATGATTTTTTAAATGTGAACTAAGGTGAAAATAATTTTTTATTGGGTGCCAAGCAATTTCAACCACAGATCTCCTGGAAAAGTCCAATATAAATACACTAAATAATAAAAAGCCAAGCAAACATTCGCGAAGGTTTCAGTGTTTTCTCTGTTAGGCACGAATTTGCTCAGGACGACAGGATGGTGTGATGCGTCTTCCATGGTCATACGCGGTCCCACAAACCTTTGCTGAGTGAGTGACTGAGTCTCCACAATGGCTGCCTTCCCGGTACAGCATGGATCAAGTGTGTCCAGCAGAAAGGCAGCCCCACACAAGGTGGGTGGGCAGGTGCCACCACGGTCACTTGCTCCGAGGCATCCTCCTTCATCTAAGGTCACAGTCACTGTGTGGTCACCACCCTGAAGACGCCGACATGCACTGGCATTTCTTTACAGAATTGTCCTGCACCCAGCCTACAGCAGACAAGCCCAGGGGCAATGATACAAGGGACAGGTGAGTGTCGAAGGTTCTAGAAAGGCTTCGGAAACATTCGCCTCTAAGGCTGCCCAGGGAACCACCTGGCAAACGGCTCACTGTTCTCCAGTTATCCCAGACCCTGGCCCTCAGCATTTGGCACAGCGACTCCTTAGCTGGAGTGCTTTTCTCCCCAGCTTGCCTTCCAGTAAAGTCCTATTCAGTCTTCAAGGAGAGAAGAGGAAAGGGAGGGACAGAGAAAGGTAACAGTGCTTTTCTCATAGTAGATGCTCAATAAACACTGCTGAACTGAAAGAAAAACTAAATTAGTCCCTTATGACAGAGCCTCCTTGTTCCTCAGTTATATGCAATTCTTATTTGTCTATGTATCTGAGTTTTTATCTTAAATTTTTAAATCTTTATTTTATTTTATTTTATTTTTTTGAGACGGAGTCTCGCTCCGTCTCCCAGGCTGGAGTGCAGTGGCACCGTCTCAGCTCACTGTAAGCTCTGCCTCCCGGATTCACGCCATTCTCCTGCCTGAGCCTCCCGAGTAGCTTTATTAGAAGAAAAATATTCATAAAATTCAGTTATTTTAGAGTAATTTTTTGCTTTTTTTACCTTTTTATTAGAAACTCATTTTTTGTTAATATATTTTTATTTTGGTATTGATTATATTTGTGAGTATTTTCTCTAGGAGAAAGCTATATTAAGAAATGAAAACATTTTAGACTTCCCTGCCTCTGGCCCCAACTACCCAGAAAAAGATCAGACACAAACATCTAGGCTTAAAACTCTAAAAAAGTGGACAATCAAATCTTACATGCAGGAGACCAGAGGAGTTCGTTACTTCATCTGGACCAGGAGCCGGAGAAGAGGGTCCAAGCTTGGGCAACTAGTTACCGAGGAAAGAGGCAAGTCTCGCCCCACCCCCAAGGGTGGAAACCAGCCGGGATGAGCAGCAGCATCGTGGTGGGAGGGTCTTGGGGGCAGGGGCAGTTCCACATGAGGTCTGGTGCCCCCCAAAGAGTGCACAGCTGCAGATGACCAGTCCTTGCCAGGGGCAGGAGAGAGCCCAGATGACCAGCGCTGACACGTGGTAGCCTGGGAAGGGGAACAGGCTCCAGAGTGGGCTAAGCCCCGCTGAGCCTCATGCTGACAAGCCTGTGACCCGTCCCCTTCTCAGGAGTGTCTGCACAAGACTCTTTGTGCTGAAAGAAAAAGGTGATGGCCGAGAGAACTTAGCAGAGAGTGCTAGGTGCCAAATGCCATCACTTTCTGAGCCCCCTGCAGCAGGCAACACTGTTTTCCCTCTTAAAACTCCTTGTATTTTTTCCTTTGGTGTGCCTATCACAACTGGTCATTAATTATGCAATCATTCATTTATTTTATATTCTATCTTTCTCAATCTATTATAAATTCTGAGGGGGCAGAGGACTTGTCTGCTTTATTTTCCTGGCTTTGCACATAGTAGGTTCAGGAAATATTTATTGAATAAAGATACACATCTCCACATTAACTGGTGTGTCACTCAGCTTCCAGAGCTGCAGAGTTGTGCTAGGAAGCCCCAGAGAGGCAATGACAATATCAAGGTTGGGGCAATGCCTCTGCCATCCCAGGGATATGACTCAAATGGAGCGAATCCTTCCCTCTCACGATGCAAACAATTTCAGCAGATTCTCAAGATATAATTTTCCAAACACAAATTAGTATTGCTGTAGACATTGACTCCACAGTTTCTCACACAGATCACTTGACTCTGAAGGATTTCACAAATGAAGAAACTCACAAAGGAAGGAGTTGAAGTAAGTGGCAAAATCCTGCGGGAAAGGTGTTCAGAGACCACTCCCCAGTGGGGTGACAGCGGGCTGCCATCAACAGTGTGGGCCCTCTGGGCTGGAGAGAATTACCCTGACTGCCCGGAATAGTTAGGCCACCACAAATCTCTGCTCATACACAACAGGAATCTGCATAAACAATATATAGACAGCCGCAAACACTGAAATTAAAGAACTGTTTCTTTCTAACAATTTGGTCTGCAGCTCTGACAATTATCTGGGGATAAATCAATTTGCGGCAGCTGTAGACAGCCATTTCCGTGTGAGTCCTGCTCAGCTTAACTGGAGAAGCGTGTTAAAAGTTAAAGGACCTTCATCACATAAAGAACATGAATTTTTCTAACCATAAATTTATTTCACTGAATTCCTGAGCTATAAAGTCACCTTACACTCTTCCTTGTAAATCAGAGGAGGTGTACCCACTTCCTGATGTTTGCCAATTTGCTATTTTTCCTGTAATTAGGAAAAAATGCAATTCGCTAGAGTTACAAGCCCCAACGAGAGTACTGAATTGAGTTGTTTAATATCTGCCTTGACTCAATGCTTTATAAAGAATGGCTCTATAGGGGAGTAAAAGGGCAAAAAGAAATTATTATCTAACACAGGATGATAGGACTGGACGTCAAGCATGATCGTAGTTTTCATCGGCTTGGCTTTGGTCATGCCACATAAATGGATAGTGCCATCAATTTATGGCACCTAGTGGTGGAATAATACAGGGCTGGAAAAATGAAAGCTAATAAAAAATAAAAATTAAAGGTGCCGGGAAGATCTGTCTGCTGTCAGGTATGTGGAAAGAACTCAGATAGGACTATAAGTCAGGCAGATGCCCAGGGTATCAAAACTGATCTCTTTCAGAAGCACAGCCTACTAAACCTTCATAGGCTTGTTTGGTAGAAATTATGAAACAAACAGAACTGACAATAGGAGCAGTTTCCTCAATCTCTAATGGTAACTAGAAAAAGGATCACTTTACTTATGTTCATGTGTAAAATGAAAGTGATTTTTATACATCAGATCTTCTTTTTCGTCTTCCAGAATACATCCTAAATTCTGTTTTGTGGCATATATTGATTTCAATCTTGGGAAGCATTTTTCAGTAAAAATCAGCTGTCTACATAAGGCATTATTACATACTGTGTAAACAGGAGCATGTTATTTCATACTTTGATTACCAATACAGATGCTACTTTATGGAAATTATTTCCATTGTTTTTTGAAAAACATATTGATATCCATAATTAAAATAAATATAAATGAAAAAGATAAAATCAATAAGTGCTTATGTGGCCAAAATAAACCTTCAGCAACGTTTGGTACATGGTAGGTGCTCAATAAGTATTGGAAGGATTACCTTTAAATGAATTGAATCTCAGACTTTTTAAAAAAGGGATGTAATTTTATTTTTAAAAATGGAAAATGCTCCTATTCCCATTCATCTTTGAAAAGCAAAAACAAAAAGCCCCAAAATCCTCAATTATAATCAAGACATAGCAAAAAAGTACACAGGAAAAAAAAGTGCCATTTTGTGGCAAATGAAGCATCCCTGTTATGGGATGTGTTACCCTTCCTCTCGCTCCCCAACTCCGATTTCAGTTCCCCAATAATTTTAAAGGTGAACAAAATGGACCTTTGTATGTAATCATCCTAATGACCCTGGCCTTCATATTTAAAATGTCATTCAGAGATAGTTTCGGGTTGGCAGCTGCTGATGGAAAAGCGTAATAAATAATCCTACTTCCATTTGCACACAAGCCCTGCATGCAGAATCTGCTCGAAGTGCATTTCCAGCAGAACACCTTGGGACCCACTATTGGAATGCCACCCCATTCGACGCCAGGCACCCGCTCATCAGCTTCCAGGAGGGAGTGAAGAGCAGCTAGCCCAATTGGAGCTACCAGGGAATTTAGGAAGACAGAATGTAATTACCTGAACTGGAAGCCGGCCAAGGCACTGGGGCTGTTCAAAAAAAAAAAAAAGTCAAGGAAAAAAATACCCTTAATTCTCCTAGCTGATAACAAAAGCCAAATGTGGGCTTTCTTTCTGTTTATGACTCGGCACCATGGGGTGTTTAAATCATCACCAAACAATAAATAAAAATAAAACTTCAAATTTCTAGCAGGCCCCTTCCAGGACACACACCACTGCTCACTGCAGACTCCTTTGTCCATGTGTGGAGTGGGTGCCGTGGCGGCCGATGGCAGGTTCATTTCCTTTCCCTTTCTCGCTCAGAGCTCGACAGCGGGTTCTGCCCACTGGCCGACCATGTCACTCTCTCCAAAAAGCAGAAACCTTATCAGACGCCACCGGGCGGAGGTCAGATATTGTTTCAACCATTTGCAGAGCTCATTTTTTTTCCTTTGAAAACTGGGCTTCATTCTGATGTAATGAAGTGAATAAAATAATAATAATGCACCAGGGATATAAAATTTTATAGAGACCTTTTGCGGGGAAGCCTTGTGGTTTTTGTTTTGTGTTTTTTTTTCCAAGAGGAAAGACATGGGGAAAGGAGGATGGAGAGAGAGAAATTTGCCTCAGAAGGACTGGAGGTCGTCTACATGCTGAAAATATTAATCAGTTGGCTACAGAACCCACTGGAGAGGACGTGGCGCCAATAACGTCCGCAAGCGTGCGAGGATGGTTTCCTCAGGAAGATCTGTCATGCTCTTAACTTCATAAAAAGCAGAGGCGCTGTTGCGGCTGATTCAGAAGACTTGCACAGCTCTTGGCTTCCCTCCCTGCCAGAGCACAGTCAACTGCTAATGACCCGCTCCTCTCATAATTGCACAAGTTGTCAACATGAAAATTCCAGTTAAGCTTATGGCTTGTGGTTTTCCCTGGAAGGGAAAACAAAGGAGTCCAACATGACACCTCAAACTTTTGGGGGGAAATACATGGCCCAGTAGACCAGAGTTATCCTAGTAAAACCTATTACACAAAGAAGTCCAGTCTACTAATTCATTTTTAAACTGGAAAGGCCATTTCTTTTACATCCTGAAAACAGTAGACTCCAATAAAACTAAAGTGGAAAATTTACTATTTCATCTGATTACCTACATTTCCATAATGTTGAAAATCTCAATCATTTCAGAAATAGTTTTTTTTTTTTTTGCTTTTTTCTCGGCAACCTATCTGCACATTACTTTTAAAGAGAAAAAAATATGATGTCCATAAATTCTAAGTGTGAAACAAATGGGGGATGGGGAAGGAACAAAAGCAGAAAAACTAGGAGCTGTCTAAGGCATCCCTGTGAATGCACGCTTTGGCTTATTTCCAATGCAAGGAATGCCCATAATAACTAGATTAACCCCCCAATCCTCATTGTTCAATTTTGCACAACTATAATTATTTCTATGATCCTTGATTGGATTAGTTTAGAATTTTAAAGCAAAATGCCTTTACTAATATGTTTCTATTTCTACAAATCTATGTTTAGTAAAACAGGAAAAAGCAGGTTTCACTCTCAGCTTAGAGTCTGACTGCTTACTTGTTTAGGGGGTGTGATATTTTGGTAAGCTTTGGTGAACTCTTGCTGTTGCTGAGTGAACACAGTTGAGATCCACTGGGAAGGGAATGGTGACCTCTTTCACGGGTTGTACAGGCAAAGTGGGGATCAGAGGAAAGAAGCCTCTGAATTTTTTCTGATTCGTCTGAAGAGCTGCTGCTTCCTGGACTCTGCCACCCTCCTTCGGACTTGAATCTTTAGGAAATGGAACACTCACACCCACAGCCATGACATTTGTTTTCCAATTGGTATATAAAGTACCTAGCCCAGCACAGCCACTGATAGCACTGGCTTCTTCTTGCCTTTGCCCCTCCGGGGTGTGTTTTTGGTGTTTTGGGGTATGTCTTCTTTTCCAGACATAAGAGCCCCAAACATGGGTGACCCCAATGACACAGACCTCTCCCCACTTGTGTGAAATGAGCAGCAAATGAATCTAACAGACACCCCAATCCACGCCAACTCCCATAAAATCAGGGTGTGAAGCATGGGGGAGAGAGGGATTCTTATTAATAATTCATTCTGAGCAACCCCCTGGAGCAGTTTCACTATGATATGCTATGCAGAATGCTTCAACACACTAATTAATATTTTCAAAGTGTTCCATGGGCCCCTTTTAAAAGCATTTTTGCCATCCATTGAATGTTCTGCATTATAAGTAAAAGATCAATGCTGTCCCCCAATCCTATTCGTGTGCTGTCTAACTAAAATAGGACATTTGGAGTCAACATAATTTTTTTTTCTCCTTTTAATATCCTTCCTCAAGTGTTGGGCTGGAAACCGGCTTCTCTTCTGAGACCAGCTGTTCTTCCCAATGGTAGCAGAAAGACACAGGCCAGGGAGTCATCCACGTGAACTGCCCTGAGCATGGCGTCGCCCCTGCCTCTTATCGCTCAGCCTAATGCCAGGGACAAAGACTTGAAGGAGAGGGTCAGGTTCCTTCCAAGGCAAGTGTCCCCAGGAGTGGTGGCAGGAAGATCACTCAGAAAGGGGCCTTAGCCCAGAGCTCCACGGGGCCTCGGCTCTACCTTGCAGCTGAGCTTCTGATGGACAGACAAACACAAGCAGGAGACCCGGGGTAGCCCCAGCACTCCCGGGAGCTGACCACTGTTCAGAGACAAGACCTCCCCTGCGCAAGACCATCAGGGATGGAGGCTGCATCCAGACTCTCCTGGAGCTCCTGCCCCTCAGTATAGTTTAGGGTATGAAGGCTCATCTGCTTGCTTGAGGACCAGACTGGCCAATTGTTACCTTTCACGGGCAGAAGCTGCCATGATCTCTCCAAATGATACCTCAGCTTCACTGACTCTGGCCACACAGCCAGCAGAGGTGGTTAGAAGTTTAGAACCCCAAAGGCTTGTCCCCTCAGAGGGCAGCAGACGGTCACTCTCCATGTGCTGATCTCAATGATTCTTCCTAAATGTTACCTGGAAACTATTTCTCAATTCAAATCAATGGTGCCTATTGATCCTGGCAATTTAAAGAATAGGAAAGGAGTAACTTTTGCCCTTTACTCTCTTGCACTCAAGAAAGTGATTTAGAGAGTCGAATAGGTCCACTTGGAAATAACCACTGGACAACGTAAAGAATGATCCCACCCAGGAGGCCTGCAGCGTGGTCCCTGAGGGCTCTCGGGGACCCATGAACAGGTTCCCTTCCCTCCCTTCCCAGGCCCGGGGGCCACGCTGCCCTCTGCCAGCTGAAGGGCAGAGCCCCCAGGGAGCACAGTGTCATTGGGATTATTTTCTCATGGACGTGGAATCCATGTAACATAATATTAACCATGTTAAAGTGTGCGGCTCAGTGGCACTGCTTACATTCTCAATGTTGTGCAACTGTCACTCCAAACATTGTCATCACCCCTGAGTAAAACGCTGGGCGCAGGAAGCTGACCCTTTCCCGTCCCTACAACCCTTGACAACTATTCATCCGCTCTCGGTCTCTATGGATTTGCCTATTTTGGATGTTTCATATAAATGGAGTCATACAATTTGCAGCCTTTTGTGTCTGACTTCTTTCACTTAGCACAATGTTTCAGAGGTTCATCCATATTGCAGCACGTACGAGTGCTTTATTCCTTTTTACAGCCGAATAATATTCCATTGTATGAATATACTGTTTTTTGTTATCCATTTATCTGTTGATAAACATTTGGGTTGTTTCCACCTTTTGGCTATTGTGAATAGTTCTCCTGTGGACATTTGTGTACAAATATCTGTTTTATTTTTAATTATTTGAGGGCATATACCTAGCAGTGGAATTGCTAGGTCATATGGTCATCCTATGTTTAACTTTGTGAGGAGTTGCTGGAGATTCTGAGGTAGCTCTGCTCTGTGAACAAGTGCTCCTCTGGGCAGATGGGGCTTGCCAGGGGCAGTGAGGAGAGGTGAAAGACTCTGTGTTGCTTATATGCCATTGAGAGGTTTATAGGTGATTCTCTCAAAGAAGTGAGTCCCCCAGATACACATGTAACTCCCAACCGCATAATTCCAAGTGACTTTTTTTTAGTAAAGCTGAGGAAAAGAGGAGAGAAATTAATGTAACTCCTCTGGGATTAAACTTATGTTATCAACAGTTTCAGATACAAATTCCCCACCCTGACATATAAGATCCTTCACAATGGACCTATACAGCCCTCAGCTTCCTTCCTTCCAGACCACCCAGACACCCTTGCAGACCCACCGGACATAACCACTCACAGATCTCTAATCCCCTATTCGCTGACCTTAGGCATTTGCAAATGCTGTTGCCTGTTCCAAAATGCTTTTCCCTTCTCTGCCCCGAACTCACACCTCAAAAATCCCTACAAATCCTTCTTACAATATACACTTAAGACCCAACTTCATCCATTAACCACCCCTGACCACCCCAGATACCGTCCTTCTCCCTTGGACTCCTAACCCATCATGTGGGAGATTCCATGGACTAGAATCACTATGTAACCCTTAGTATGTCCTGCATTCTGGAGGACAGTGTAACCTCCCTGAGGGCAGGGGCCATGTCCGATACACTTTGTATTCCCATAGCACATAGATCAGTATCCTACACATTGTAAAAGGCCAAGAAATTCCTCTCGATTATTGGTTAGGAAGAAGTGGAAATCAGAACCAAAAATCATGAAACAGCAAAGTTTGAAAAGGACCTCAGCAATGATGTACTTCGACCTCTTGTGGTAGCAGTGACTGTGGACATATAACCCTTTAGCAGGGCAGAGGCACAGCTGGAAGAGTCCAGGCCTCTGAACTTCCCACCCTGTACACTTTGTAGAAATAAGGCTCTGAGAAGGTCTGCACTCATGAAATCAATTCAAATGCATTTGACTTGTGCTTCCCAAAATATACTGCGTTATGGAAAACTCCCACTTGACCGCAGACACCTTCTAATACCTTGGAGCAGTAATGCTCTGCAAACACAATTAAGGCAAAGCTAGTTGAATGTTATCTGTAATAACATAGAACAAAGTAGTCAAACCAGAAGGTAAAATTATGCAGTTTGACAACAGTGTATTTGGGCTGAATATCATTTCTAGTTGGTCAAGTGAAGTTGATTATAAAACTAATAGAGAAACTCTGGAGAGATAATTGCATGACATTCTTGAAGGTTAAAAATTTTCTATTGGATTGGAAAAGGGGCTAATGGAGTCTAAGCCAGAATCCTAATCATCAAAACGAAGCTTTTGTAAATTCAACTGTTGCTTTTCAGATGAGAAAACTGAGACTCAGGGCACAGATGTGCCCAAGATGTTCCAGGCAGCAAGACCAGAGCTGGGCTCTCTTTACCTCTTCATCGTGGTAACACAGACTGGGAACATGGGCTTGGAACCTCAGGAGGCTGACCAGAGTTCAGGGATGCAGGAGGTCAAACCTCAAGACTCAGCATCCAGATTGTGTTTGAGCCTGAGAGGCAGGTTACCAGGAAGGCAGTGCCACCTCCTTTCCACGGCTATGCCTTCTTCAGGCCTCATTTGGAGACACCAGGTTATGAAAAAGAAGACAACATCTACACCCCTATCCAAACCAGTAATACAGACCCTTGCAAGAGACGATCAATGAGTGATGACAGAAGGAGTCAATTTCACCTTTCAGAGTAGGGGTGCAGTTAACATTCAGAGCAGGAAGGAGAGCAGACTGGACCTGCCTGGTTCTGCCATGACCTTGCTGCTCTATCCTCACCCCTTACACCCTGTCCTCCTGGATCCTTCTATCGAACAGAACCCACCCACCATGGAGTCTGCCCTAGCAGTAGCAGAGGTGATTTTAAGAGCACCAAGTGGCCGGGCGCGGTGGCTCACACCTGTAATCCCAGCACTTTGGGAGGCCGAGGCGGGCGGATCACGAGGTCAGGAGATTAAGACCATCCTGGCTAACACGGTGAAACCCCGTCTCTACTAAAAATACAAAAAAATTCGCCGGGCATGGTGGCAGGCACCTGTGGTCCCAGCTACTTGGGAGGCTGAGGCAGGAGAATGGCGTGAACCCAGGAGGCGGAGCTTGCAGTGAGCTGAGATTGTGCCACTGCACTCCAGCCTGGGCGACAGAGCAAGACTCTGTCTGAAAAAAAAAAAAACACCAAGTGAGTCAGGGTTCCCCTCAGAAACTGACAGGGTGGTCGGGCTCCGACAAGAGCTTTAGCCACAGCACTTGCTTACATAGCAAGAGCCACACAAGTTGGCTTACAGTGGGCCTCAGTTTCCACTAATTCACTCCACATGGGTCTCTAAAAGATGTGGGTCCCTATTGTGCCTTGGGAGGAGGCCCTGGATACCAGAGGAACTCGAGGGCAGAATGATTTCTGAGGCCAGGCTGGTAACATTCCAGTAAATATCAGAGATGGAAAGGGGAGGAAGGTGCATTGCCAGCGCTTGCCCTGTGCAAAGCACCATGCACCTGCCCAGCTGCATCTTGGAGGGCATTTATCATCCTATTGACTGGTAAGCTCAGAGAGGTTAAGCAACATATGCAAGGTCAAGCAGCAAGCAGGTAGTGGGCCCATATTAGAACCCAGATCCATGGAGCTCTACAGCCACAGCTGGGTCCAGTGTCCGCTACTGTCTTAGAGAGCACTGGGCGGCGGGGAGCTCTTCAAACTGCCCACCTTTGTGGCCTGATATATACATGTATGTACAAATATGTACACAGTCATGTGTGTGTATATGTGTGTAATATGCCGAAATAAAGTTTCAAGACACAGCTCTTATTCTTACTACATGCTATGAATTCTCACATTTTCTTACCTGTTCACTTTCATTGTGGGACCCACGATTTGAAACATGAGTTGGTCCTCCACCTTCTTTAACAGAAGCTGAACTGAGGTCCTGCTGAGCAGTGGACACCGGGCACTCTGACCCATCCCCCTTGCCTCCATGGCCTGGGTTCCTGGGTTCCTAATCCCCCCAGGTCCTCCAGGTCATCAGAAATCCCTTCACTTTGAATCTTGAGTCACAAGATGGATGATTTGTCACAAGGGGCTGACCTGACCCCACTGCTTTCCAGCGCACCTGGCTCTGGCCCTGGCGGGTCCCCTCCCTCAGAGGTTCACAGGCAGACAGGTGGCTAATCATGTCTGGGGTGACCACATGCAAGAGGCCACTCTCTCCTGCCTGCATTTGGTCCTGGTAAGGCCTCCAAGGAAAGGGCGCAGATGTGCTCAGTGTCCTAGCCCACTGGAGAGGACCAGGGATCTTTCCAGACTCCCAGAGGCCTCTCTATGCCCTCCCCTTCGCTAGCACAGCTCTGAACCAGCATCAGGTAAGCAAATGCAGGACCCTCCCTCAGACCGGGGCCGCACAGCAGGACGCAGCCCCTTTGCCTGAGCGGTCCGGTGGTGTCTGGCAGGTCAGAGCCGCTCTGTGCCCCACCTGCTTCCTTCTTCCCTGTTCAGGAAACAAAGCTCGAGAGTCCAGCTGCACGGGGGACTCCGTGAGGACCCCACGGGCAATTCCTAAGTTGGAAAGCAGCAGCTCAGAAGGGCAGCGGGGTCTCTGGGAGTCCTGATTGCCCAGGGGGAGAGCAAGGCTGGACTCCCTCCATCACGCTGAGGGCACCAGGAAAGAAGGCCCTCACTTTCCTGCCTCTTCCCGCCTGCTCTGCAGCCTCTCCAGGAGGAACCCTCGGGGTGGAGCGGCGCATTCACTGCACTGAGCCCCCGACTCTTTTTAAAGCTTAAGAGCGCCATCTTGTGCATGACAGGAGCAACCGCGGGACACCAGTTTCCCAGCGGCTGAGCAGAGGGAGCTGCCTTCCCTCCTTTCTTTCCTTCTTTCTTTCTCTCACTCAGTGAGGCTTCGTGGCCTCTGCAGGGTCCCCTGCAGCCAGAATGTTCTCCGGCTTGAGGTGGGGCATGCAAGACTGTCCCCACCACCCCCTCCTGGGTGGCTTTGCTTTGTGTCCACCCGGCGGGTCTGCAGCAGGGGTGGCCTGTTCCTTGCTCCCCACCACCGACCCCACCCCCAACCCCCCACCTTGGACTCCAGAAGGTCTGCACTGTGGTAAAGAAAACAAGAGGCAGTGAGTGAATGAGAGAAAGAAGGAAGAGAAGGAAGGAGAGAGGAAAGGAAGGAGGAGGAAGGGAGGGAGGAAAGAAAGGAAAGAGGGAGGAAAAGAAAGAAAGGGAAGAGAAGGGGAAAGAACAAAACGAGGGAAATGAAAACATCGTCTGCACTTGGCTTTCATTCAGAATGTTCTGTGGGTACAGAAAATGTGGTCCCTCTGGGGACTGACACAGATAAAGGAAAACACTGAAAAGTACCCCAAGTCTCCACCTGGCTTGTTTGGGTGAACGGGTCCCCTCAGAGCCTCAGTTTCCCTATCGGTAAAATGAGAAACTTGGGGGGTCATCAGATTCCACCCCGGTGACCTCCTGACGCTGCTTTCACCCTCCAGCACACCAAGCCTCCAGACCTCGCTGCTAGGCTCACAAAAATGCCTGCTTTGGGCCGGGCGCGGTGGCTCACGTCTGTAATCCCAGCACTTTGGGAGGCCGAGGTGGGCGGATCACGAGGTCAGGAGATTGAAACCATCATGGCTAACACGGTGAAATCCCGTCTCTACTAAACATACAAAAAATTAGCCTGGCGTGGTGGTGGGCGCCTGTAGTCCCAGCTACTTGGGAGGCTGAGGCAGGAGAATGGCATGAACCCAGGAAGCAGAGCTTGCAGTGAGCCGAGTTCGTGCCACTGCATTCCAGCCTGGGCGACAGAGTGAGACTCCGTCTCAGACAAAAAAAAAAAAAAAAATGCCTGCTTTGAATTTCAACTTTTTTCCTCTCTGAATTCTAGATTACAATGTTTTCAAGTAGGAAAAAAAAAAAAAGCAGAAAAGAAGAAACCAAAGGAGAAGGACTGAGGGTCCAAATGGTTTTGTAACCAGATGAGGATCTTCATCTCTCTTTTGAAATAAAAATGTAAGGAAAACATCAGTTATGGTACAGGGAAACCAAATACTGCAGAGAGAGAGAGGGAGAGGGCAGCTGTCTCCATCCGGCTGGCTGTGGTCACTTTACTGACACACAAAACCATCCACACCCCAGCTCACCCCAAAGTTTTGGGGGTGGAATAAGGGCATATTGATCAGTTACAGGCAATAGATGGAAAGGCCGTACCCCCACGAAGTTTATCATTGTTTATCAAAAGCCTAAATAATAATAATATCCACTCGCATATGCACATCTATTTCTAAGGTCTTGGAGGGCAAAGGCCTTGTATTTGATTCCTAACTTTCTTGCTTCCATGAGAACCCAGGGATATGAAGGGATTTTTGTCTAAGGTCATGCTGAGAAGAGAATAGCCAGGAATCCTGGCTCCAGTCTCTGCCCTCATCTCCTGTCTTATAAAGTACACATAAAAGGTACAATTATGAGAAATGAGCCCATTTTGTCATGAAATTCCATATCATATCATTGCTCAGGTATTGAAAACAAGCCCAACCTGGGCTGAAGCAGACGTGGGTATTCATGGGGTCCTGTAGTCCTTCCATAATTTAAATGCTACAATGGAGTCCTGAGGTCTAACAAAACAGTATACAGTAAGTCCCCATTTGCAGCAGATTGGTTAAATGGGTGTTTTTTTAATGCAAATTAGTTCAAATTGCTATCAAGAGTAATTATTGTAAAAGAAAGGCGGTGTTTCCATCATCCTTCCCTCATTTCGTTCTTCTATAGTCTCTTTTAAATAACTTAGCCATAAAATTTCAATTGACCACTAAAAAAAAAAAAAAGAAAAGAAAAGAAAAGTGGTGCAATCAGCGGCAGAGAGAAAAGGGTGAAAGAGGTAGAAGGAGGGCCGGCCCCCACAGAGTGAGGGTCCTCACCAGCCCCCTGGCGGAGCCTCCCAGGACCCCCGGTCCTAGATGCCAGCGACCCCGCGCCCCACCGTTCGTGGGCCCCCCGCCCCCCCAACCCGGATCAATCTCTCCCCTCTACCCCGCGCCCCCCGCAGGTCTCTGAGATGTGCGGCTGCCCCGCGGGGCGACTTCCCACGCGCTCCCCTCTGCTATGGTCGGCGGTTCCTCCAGAAGATGGGAAAAAGAGGCCGAGTCCCCACGATGCGCCCCCAGTCGCCAAGGCGCGCGCCCCTTTTCCCCGGCCGCGCAGGTCCGCTGCTGGAGCCAATGCATTATAATAATATTAGGTAAAACAGCGCGAGCATACGAGGTGGAAAATTGCATCTCTTTTGTTCTAAATTTGCCAACGTCTAAATCTTAAGGGAGGTATTTTTATTTTACATATTTGTTAATGGGATCTGTTTCTTATTGCCCAAAAATGCTTAATATACAAAAGGAATCAGATTCTCTTTCTGGCCTTAATTCATCATAACAAACAGAAATAGAAACTTGATTTCAAATTTCGCTCTGCCTCGCATCTCCAATTCATATTCGCGGCACATCCATCATTAATAGCGTCTAGAGGAGCCCTTTTATTTACCTATTATGGCATCGTTTGTAACATAAAACTGTTGTGTTCTCTTTTCATTAACAGATTCAGTTGCAAATGCTGGGGAAAAAAATTACAAAGAGCCCCTTTTTAAAATGTGCACATTTATTGGGATTATTAAATCACAGCAGCTAATAGTGGTTGTCACCAACTTAATTTAAAAAGTTGATTATTACTCAAGCCCTATGTATTCCAGGCCTGATACTGTATAATTAGCAGTTGTGATTATTTAGTTAATTTGTAGATTAGGAACAAGTGTCTGTTTTGAAAAATGTGGCACTCGACCTTCAGACACAGAGAGGGACGAGCCAGCCCCTCTTACCAGGGACAAAAGTATTCTGTCAGAAAAATGCATTTTGATGCAGGTCAACAGGAAAAAGGGGACATTTTACAGATCATCTGCCTGCATCTTTCCAGCCAAAAGTCCAGTGCAAAAGCCACTCCAGAAGTGTTTAAATTAGGTGCCTCCCTGGTGGGGCCAAATCAAATCAAATGGCACACTCGGAGCCTAAACAAGTTAAAAGATGGTCCTTGTGGGTAGGAGCCACTAAAGCCATAGTAACTAGACAAAAACATCCTAGTGACCCTCGCTCAATAGAGATTCGGCCATTAAGACTGGTCCAAGGTGGAGAGCCACTGGACTTGGGAACAGACCCCATCTCTTATGCATTATTTCTATTGCCACTTTGTCATCAGTCATATGATGGTAATAAAATTTGTAACTGTTTCCCTTATACTCCCTGCGATTTACCTCATCTAATAGACAATGCAAATGCTAAAAGGCACATATACATCTTCATTATATAAGCCGGTGTCTGAGCCACTCTCCTCCAGAGACAGTTTTATTCATTTTTATACAATTTGCCTACTGTACAGTACAGATGGTTTCTATTAAGTAAAATATCTGTTTTCTTCCAAATTTTTAGTTTTCATGATTAAATTACTTTAAAATGATGGTACATTGTATTATCTTCTTTCATGACTTAATTTAGCTCAAATACTCCCAGCATAAACTGTAAGCCCAGCTTTATCCACTCAGAAAATCGGCCACATACTGTGATTTTCTGAGGGTTATTTCACCCTGACTGTGATTCCTATTCTGTATCAATTACTTTCGTTCGAGTCTTAACTATATGGATTATTTTCTGGAGATAAATTTGAATATGAATATAAATGGAAATTTTGGACTAATATTAAAATAAGATTTCTTCCCTAAGCTGTTTACAATTTGAGACATTGTTTGTCATTGTTAGTATGCAAGTTTTGCATGCTGGTGTCTCAGCCACAGAGTGGCTTGCAATTCGAAATATTCAAAACTGCTGCCCCCAAGTGGCGGGTCCTTGAGCCGTTTTCCCTTTCCAGCCTTGCTGCATGCACAGTCTGAATTTTGAAGTGGCTGCGTGCACGCTCCTATTTCAGCAGGAAGGAGAGCTTGAAGGTGCAGTCTGTAGCCCATCTTCCCACAGCCGGGATCATTCTCTGGATCTCGGCTCTACTGAACGTTGAGAGCTCATTTCTGAAGGCTTGGAACCATCAGCCTACTTGTCTCACTGTATTAGTGTGATACTAGGCAAATGTGGCCCTGGGAATTTCTCCCTTTTTTAACATTTCGCATATTCATATTTTATTTTTGCACTCACGCTTTCTAACTTTTCCCACTGGAATGCTGCCTGCAGCCAGGTCCAGTGCTGCTGGCTCCTGCCCTCACCGGCTTTTCTCAAACTTGCTCACTTCCCACCAGCCTCAATAGCCCCAGACCTTGAACACAAACCCTCCTGCACTCAAGCAAAAACACAAGGAAGGGAAAATTGCAACATTTCCAGGAGGAAAAGCAGTTTATGCTCAGGAAAGGAAGGGAGCCACCAGCAGTAGGAGAAGAAGAAGAGGGACAGAGGAGGAGAGGGGTCCTGGGCAGTCCAGCTGGAAACGGACTTCACAGCACAGTCTGGGTTCTAGAACGAGCCCGAGGAGCCCTTGCAATTTGCTCTGCAGAAGCCTGCCAAGGCTGGGAGCTGGAGGTGGCCCTCTGGAATTGATGGGTCCACCATGGGCCCTCACCTTGGAGCTCCCTCAGAGCTGTGGGGGCTGATTCCCATCACACCTTCTTTCTGTCTCTCCCTGACACCAGCTGCAGTGGCAGTGGGGCCAGAAAGACCAGAAAGTGTCTCAGTGAGTCCCCAAAGCACATGGCATGACACAGTCCTTCCAGACGTGAGGGTAGAGGAAGACCGGAGAGACTCCAGTTCTAGTCCCAGCTCCCACCTGCGACCCCAGGCAGGCCAATTAACCTATCTGGGGCTCCCTGTCTGGGGGATGTTATGAAGATCAAATGAAATAATAGGCCTGGAGAGGCTTTGAAACAGTTCAAAGTGTCTGACAGACATAAGGCATGATTTTGACTCTGAGGTTCACCTTAGGCTCATCACCAGAGCAGATCCCAGAACTGCACAGCCCGCCCCAGACCAAGAGCAAGTGAGGCCTGGGTGCAGCGACTCATCTCAGAGATAGATTTCTAACTAAAACCAGGTAGTTTGCCATGGTACAGTATCAGAAGCATTTGTTGTTGTTTGTTATTGTTGTGATTGTTTTTGAGACAAGGTCTTGCCCTATGGCCCAGGCTGGATAATGCAGTGGCGGAATCATGGCTCATTGCAGCCTCTACCTCCTGGACTCCAGCAATCTTCCTATCTCAGCCTCCCATGTAGCTGGGACCATAGGTGTGCACCATCATGCCTGGCTAATTTTTGTATTTTTTGTAGAGATGAGGTCTCACTGTGTTGCCCAGGCTGGTCTCGAGCTCCAGACCTCAAGTGATCCTCCAGCCCCAGCTGGCCAAAGTGCTGAGATTATAGGAGTGAGCCACTGCACCTGGCCAGAGGGGTTTTCTAACAAATAAATCTTGACATGAGTGAGTGTTTCTTTCTCAATGCAATGGCCCTCTGGAAGACCCCCTCTTGCACTTACGACTTGGCTGGGTGATACAATCCCACTTTAAGCCAGCTCAGAGTTTGGTTAACATGACATAAATAGATCCAAGTTAATGAGACAAAGGATGAAGGGGTGAGGGAATGCATTGTCTTCTTAATCAACTGTTTGTTTTCTTAATCAACTGTTTGTTTCATAGAAAACAAAACATAGGAGAAATCCCTACAAATCCCTACAAAAGCCCCTGCAATAGGTTTGTCCCTGCCTGCAATGCTCACCAACCAACAGGCTGCCAGGCTTGATCCAAAATGACCACCAGGACCCGCCAGTCGCATCTCTGTCAATGGGGGTAGATGGAGATGCCCACAAAGACCTGGTTAATTCTGCAACCAAGACACATCTGGCCTCTGTACCGCAGAGGGAATTAGGATTATCTGGATAATTGTCTTAACCTCTGCTACTCCTTGCTTCCTGAGACCCAGCCAGTGGGTCTGGGTCTCAACCCCACCCCCAGATCTCATGCACCCAAAGGCATCCAATACTTTCCTACCAGGTGCTAGAAAGCCAAGTCCCACAGAGGGTTATCACCCAGCCATGCACAGCCACTGAGACACAGCTCCATCCAATTAAAGAGAGATTGGGAAACAGTCAGGCCCGGAAGGATCTAAGCTCAGGCTAACGCACCTGAGAGACCCACATAAGAATCACAGGCCTGGAGAGCAATTTCTCCACCAGCCTGGTTAATCTTCCTCCTCCTCCCCCTCCCAGAAACGCCCATATGAACCCTATAAAATCATTCCACCCAAAACTACAGGCAGTTTGGATGCAGTCACTCAGCTCTTAGAAAAAATCCAAACATGCAAAGGCAGTTGCAGCAGCTTTGCTCTAGTGCAGGGACGCACACCCCAGGAGGAGGGGTACAGCAGGGTGGGCCACCTTCCCTGCTGTGGACAGTGAAAATGATCAGGAACGTCCAAAAGCTTAGAGGATTTCCTCCTTGCCTGTGCAGGAAGGAGAGGTCTTGGCAACATTGAAACATAATATTATTCCACTCAAATGAAGATTTAACTGTTCCAAAATCAATTTCAGAATGTAGGAATGACAGTAAGTAATACAATAATAAAGTCATTCAAAGATCATGGGGCAGTTAAACAATAGTCTGGGAGACTGCATTGTGTAGTCACAACGTACTTCAGAAGAGTGAATTCTTCCTTGCTTAAGAAAGAGCACTAGATTGAAAATATTTTCAAAATAAAAATCAATACGTTTCCCACATTAGTGGGCCACGTTTATTGTGTGGCCACAGGTCTGGTCCTGGGAGAGAAAATGATGTTCTGACTCTGGAGTCCTAACAAACATGGGGTCTACAGCTCACCCACTGACAAGCTGTGTAGCCCAGAGCAGCTATGGAAGTTCTTGCTAAGCCCATTTTCTCCCATGCAAAGTAGAGAGAATAATAGAAACCTTCTCATGATCCTCCCTTGCAGGGAGGATTCCAGAGATCCGTGAGGGAATGCGTGGTATCTGGCCCACTCTAGATACTCCAGAAATGGTGTCCTTCACTAGCTAAGGGGCATGCACAGAACATCCACCTGCTTCACTAGCTAAGGGTCATGCACAGAACATCCACCCGCTTCACTAGCTAAGGGGCAAACACAGAACATCCACCCATTTTGCTAGCTAAGGGGTACACACAGAACATCCAGCCACTTCACTAGCTAAAGGGCATGCACAGAACATCCACCCACTTTACTAGCTAAGGGGCATGCACAGAACATCCACCCACTTTACTAGCTAAGGGGCACACACAGAACATCCACCTGTTTCACTAGCTAAAGGGCACACACAGAACATCCACCCACTTCACTAGCTAAGGGGCATGAACAGAACATCCAACTGCTTCACTAGCTAAAGGGCACACACAGAACATCCAGCCACTTCACTAGCTAAGGGGCATGAACAGAACCTCCAACTGCTTCACTAGCTAAAGGGCACACACAGAACATCCAGCCACTTCACTAGCTAAGGGACATGAACAGAATATCCAACTGCTTCACTAGCTAAAGGGCACACACAAAACATCCACCCACTTGACTAGCTAAAGGGCACACACAGAACATCCACCCACTTCACTAGCTAAGGGGTGTGCACAGAACATCCATCCACTTCCCTAGCTAAGGGGTATGCACAGAACATCCACCCACTTCACTAGCTAAGGGGCATGAACAAAATATCCACCTGCTTCACTAGCTAAGGGGCATACACAGAACATCCAGCCACTTCATGAGCTAAGGGGCACACACAGAACATCCAGCCACTTCACTAGCTAAGGGGCAGATACAGAACATCCACTCACTTCACTAGCTAAGGGGCACACACAGAACATCCACCCACTTCACCAGCTAAGGGGCACGAACAGAACTCCACCTGCTTCACTAGCTAAAGGGCACACACAGAATATCCAGCCACTTCACTAGCTAAGGGACAGGTACAGAACATCCGCTCACTTCACTAGCTAAGGGGCACACACAGAACATCCAGCCACTTCACTAGCTAAGGGGCATACATGGAACATTCACCAGCTTTTGCTGCAATCTTGCAATCTAAGATGTGGGGCTGGGAGGTGGAGAGGGGGGACTACACCTGGAGAAAAATAGGGAACACAGCAAAGCAGTCTGTGAAATGTGAGAAAGGCGGAGATCAGACTTTACGTGCTGC
This sequence comes from Homo sapiens, assembly GCF_000001405.40. NCBI lineage: Eukaryota > Metazoa > Chordata > Mammalia > Primates > Hominidae > Homo > Homo sapiens. The sequence continues at coordinate 128,259,779 of NC_000010.11, read as the reverse complement.
AGAGAGCTTGACAAGGGATAAGCTGTGTCCAAACAGGGAGGTCGAGAAAGCTCAAAGAAGGAAGTGGATTTTGAACCAGGTTTCCAGAGGCAGGAAGATAGATGCTAACCTGCCCTAGAGCAAATACTCTGTGTGTGTGCATTACATCTATGTCTTAAGAGAATGTAAGTTGAGAAAAAAAATTCACAAAGTTGGGGGCAAATTAGTATATACACACATTTTTTTAAATAACATAGCAATGCTCAAATGTGGCAGCTGGTACTGTTACTTGTATCCGTCAGGATGAGCCTGACTTGGACTCCCATTACCAAGTGCTACCTAGAGAGGCTTCTGCAGGATGTTGAAGTAATAAGTACATATGTGCCTGTAAGAAAGTGCAGACAACTCAGGGAAAAAAGGATCTGCCAGGTCAGACAAGGTGTCACAAAGACAAAATAGTTGATTATAGACCATTTTTTCACTTTGTAATTTTGTTCTATAATTTTAAGAAACCAAATGTGGACACAGCATAAGTGAAAATGTGTAATATCACACAGCAAAGCCAGCCTTCACCAATGGCACACAATAACACTTCTGGTGCCTAAAACCAATCCAAGAGTGAGTCTATCTCAAGATATCATCAAACAGAACTACGTCCTGACGTCCCTTCCATGCCTTGGACTTGGAAACTTACGAGATCAAGCAATTAGTTTCCCAACTGGATTACTTAGACAATCATATGTAAAGGTCTATGAATATTAAGAATTTTAAAGGCAGCAATTGCTCATCTTTTCACAGGAAAAAATAAAAATACAAATCCATTTCCCTTATAACCTTTGGGCCCATAAACAAAAAGGAATATGGAAATGTACAAATTTGTATGTAGAGAAAAAAACGCTTTAACTCATGAGGGTTTATACATATTCCCTTCCATACTGCTCCTTGGGGAATATTTTTCACCAAATTTTACTTTGAAGCTACATTGGAGATCTGGCACAAGGCCCAGACTGTCTTCAAATTTTGTCAAAATTTTACCAGCATTGCAAATAATATATAGAAGTTGGGAACTTCATTAAAGAGATGTTATCTGATATGACTTCTATATTCAATGACAGAAATGACAATTTTGTGGCTGGAAGGCCACAAGATGCACGTGATATGTGACTGATAGCGTATGCTAAAAAACAGAATGAGAAAAGAGGAACAACTATCTCAAAAATAAAATTACATGTGACTCAGTCTAAATGCAACATGGGATTCTGGATTGAATCCTGAAACAAAAAAGGACACATCTAAAAAAAAACTGGGGAAATCCAAATAAAGTCTATAGTTTATTTAATAGTAACATGCCCATGTGAACCTCATGGTTCTGGTAAGTGCACCATGATCATGTAAGATGTGAACAGTAGGGAAAATTGGGTGAGGGGCAGCCATGTAGAAACTCTCTGTACTATCTTTACAGTTTTCCCTTAAATCTGAAATTATTCCAAAATTTAAAGTTGATTTTATTTTATCTTATTTTATTTTGAGATGGAGTCTCACTCTGTTGCCCAGGCTGGAGTGCAGTGGCAGCAAGCTGGACTCATTGCAACCTCCGTCTCCTGGATGGAATCTCCCTGGTTCAAGCAATTCTCCTGCCTCAGCCTCCCAAGTAGCCGGGATTACAGGCATGTGCCACCACACCCGGCCAATTTATGTATTTTTAGTAGAGATAGGGTTTCACCATGTTGGCCAGGCTGGTCTCGATCTCCTGACCTCAAGTGATCCTCCCGCCTGGGCCTCCCAAAGTGCTGGAATTACAGGTGTGAGCCACCACGCCTGGCCTTAAAGCTTATTTTTTTTTAATGTGGCTAAGGAAAGGAAACTCTTGCAGTGCTGTTAAATTTCATCCAAAAACAAAACAAACAAACAAAATAAATTATTTGGAGTAAAATATTAGATCATGAATTGCTATAAATATAATATGAGAAAGACACTGCAGAATAAGGAAAGTATAGCAATTGCTGTTCTATCCCAACTGCTCACCCATCAGTGGATGCCACAGTAACATCTTAAAATGCTGAATTAACACCACTCAAAATACAGCTTGTAACAAATGGTATCATAATACAAAACAAAAGGCTGATAAAGGCTTTACCCTTGAAGCTCTTACTGGAAGGAAGTTCCTGATGTTGCATGACTTGGGCAACTCCCCACGGCAATTTCATCAGAAGAAAAGGCAAAGGATGCGTGATCATCACAAAATGTGTTGTGGCTCCTCAGACCCTAAATTGTCTTTGGCCAGTGCCCCTTGATCCTCCTCTTTGGAGCACACTCTCAGGAGAAGTCAGCTTTAAGACAAGACAAATTTTGGACAAGGAGCATGGCAACCTGCACTGTATGGTACAGGAATACACCTTTCTCCATGGACTCAGTATTTCCCTAATGTCCAGTGAAATCCCAGTTCAAGTATCCTCCCACTAAGCTGGTAGGAAAACATCTCAGGCATTACTTGTGTCTACCCTTCTTTTAGTTCACGTAAGAGCACAAGGGGCTTCTATGGTACACAAAGAATGGGCAAAGGCCTCCTACCTCCAGCCCATCACAGGCTTCACAGAAAGCCTTATCATGCAAGTCCCAGTGGTTCCCTGCAGGCAAGTTTGGGGGCAGGAGTCCTGGTGTGGTTGGAAGCCTCAGGGCCAGGCACCAGCCTATCTGAGAGCACCACAGAGACCTCCACCTCTGAGGAACTGGCACCTTTGTCAGGAAGTCTCTGTCAGGAAACTACTCCCCCAGGATAAACTGTTTAGGAGTGCAAGTTTTGGAAAACAAAAACCAGGATGAGTAGAGTCTGCAGCCAATATTTCCCTTGGGCAGAACAAAACAATTTCTAGGGCATGGGAAAGTAAAGGGTCTATGGATCATTTAGAAGACTTTTAGCCAAAAAAAAAAAATAGTGATGCAAGTAATAAAAGCATTATCTTGTCTAACAAGATCTCCAGAGACAGGAATTCTCAGGGCTCTGGCTCAATAGTGTCTGAAGACCCAGGCTCCTTCAATACCTCCTCATTCATCTTCAGGGAGTCGCCACGTCTTCCCACATGGTGACAAAATGGCGGCAGCAGTGCCACACATTGCACCTTACACAAAAATGTCCCCAGCCAAAAGGAATTTCTTCTCATTCCCCTCTCTTTAATAAGGGAACACTTCCTGGAAGCCCCTAGAAGACTTCTCATAGGTCTTGCTGGCCAGAACTGGACTGCATGACAACCTCAAAGTCAATCACAAGCAAAGGAGAACAAAACAGCAAGGAAGGGCTTACACAGACCATGTTTACCCTCCAGAGCTGGCCCCAGAAAAGTCAGGGTTCTGTTAGCAAGAAAGAAGCCCAGCGGTGAGGTTGCCGACAGGGTGTAGTACATCCTGGCTGATTCAGTGAACAAGAAGTTTAGAAGGGGCGAAATGGAAGCCAAATATGAGGGAATGTCTCTGTAAACCATCTTGTCACATGGAAGAATGGGTGACACTGAATGGCAAGAGAAATAAGAGATGCTTGTGAAAACAGAACAGTGGCATCTCAGTGGACCAGGACATCCAGAACCTACTCCTATCCCTGGCATTCTCTGCAGGGCAGAAGGACACCCAGATGTTCTCCCAGGAAGGCTGCTGGCTTCATGCAGGAGGCCTGGGTCTAGGCCCCAGCAGCCTCATGAACCCACCAGGATGCCCAGGGATCCCCTAGTGGGGCCCCACATTGCACAGCTCCAGGCAGCTCCTTGTCCCCAGAAATCAACTTGAGCGATGGCCCCTGGGGCCCCACGACGCAGCAACCCTCATCTCTCAGGGGTCCACAAAACATATTCCTGAGGGTGCAGTTCCTCGTAAAGGAGCCCCTGCCCTCCCAGGCCCCACTTTCCCTCATCGTAGAATGAGGGGCTGGTGGATTTGGTGGCTGCTCTGGCCACTTGGTCATCCCTCCACCACCTTCATAATTTGTGGTGAATCCACTTAATATTATTTGCTAAATATTTTCCCCTAAATGTGCTTACCATTTTTTAAATAAAAAATCAATTTTAGCCTCATCCTCTCTATTTTACCCTCAGGTAGGAAGTCATGAAAGTGATGAGCTAGTTTTACTTCTAAGCAACAAAACAGGTTCCTAATTATTAATTTCTAAAATAAATCTGCATATCACCTAAAAGTACATTGTGTGCACCAGCAGAGCACATGCTCCTTTTGGGGACTGACTGGAGGAAGAGGCTTCTAAGATCTCTTCTAAGTGCTAATATTCAGGGACTCGATAAATATAAAACAGGCCTCTATATAAACTTCCTGTTTGCAGCTGAGAGCACAGAACAGCCATGAGCGTGGCAGAGCAAATATCGAGCCTGTGGAATAAACACTTAGAGAACGTCCAGCTAAGCATGGAGCATGGAGTTCAAGGTGGCAAAGTGACAAACAAAAAAGATGAAGTTGGGCAAGATGACGTGGCCAGGAAGGGAGCCCAGGATTCAGGGGGACCCAGGAGTAGCTGGAGCAATCCCGGTTATGCAGACAGGACATAAGCCAGGAGGAAAAGCCATGGTGTCAACAGAGGACAGAGGCACATGACTCTGCAGACACTGGCCATGGAAAGGCAAAGGAGACATGAGGAGACGGAGATCTGGATCCCAGGGAAAAAATCACTAGAATAGCTTCAGGGTAAAAGAATTTTTAAAAAGAAGAAAGAATGCTTTCAGCTATCTTCTCAAAAAGTGCTAAAAAGAGTGTGAGAAGAGGGAGTTTGTGAAGCATTAAGAAGCTGAATTATTTGTGCTGAGGTCCCTCTAGCTATGACACTATTTAATAGACCATTTAATAGACAATTAGAAAGCCGGTTGTCTTCATTATAGTAAACAGACAAATGCCCACACAACGGTGTAATTTGGTGGATCTCACTGTTGAGGACAAAAAGGTGAAATCCTGGAAGGCAGAGACATCACCGTTTGCAGAAAAAGGATGCACATACAGCAGCAGGAGAAGCAGGTCAGGGAGAAAATCCTAGAAGGCAAACCACCCATCCTGTAAACAAGACCCTAGAACTCCCTGTAACATGGTGAGTTCCTCCTAATCCAATCACAGAACACACCAACAAAGACTCACAAAGGATGTGAGTCACAAAATTTCCCCTAGAGGTTTCCCAACCTCCCTCTCTGCCTGCTGTTTTGTTCAAACCAAATCTACGGGGTCAGCTGGGCTACTCACACACAGTGCCCACTCCACATTTTCTTGTCCCATTGAATGGCCAGCAAATAAGAGAGTCAGGAGTAGCCCTGTGTTCACAGGCCCTAATCACAGCATTTATTGATACCCCACAATCATCGAACTATCAAAGGTCAATCAAGCCCTGATCATTCTGTGCCATCTTTGCCCAATATGAATCCCCTGAAATCATGAAAAGATTATGAATCTCTAAAATGCCAAGATAAGTTATAAAGCAAAAAAAAACTAAAAGGAAGACCTCCTATTTTTCATGCCATACACACACATCACAAGCAGGCCATCAGATCCGCAAAAATGCTCTGGATTAAAAGATAAAGTGAAATTTAAATATCATTTAGCAATCCAAAATTGGCTTCAGGCATCCCAAAATGGAGCCAGGTGCAGCAGCCTCTGTGACAACTGTTCACATGCATTCCGAGAGCACCAGACTTCACCTGGTTCTTAAGACTGAGTTGTAAACATGTGTTCCCCACAGCAGCACACCGTTGCTCAGGATGAACGAGGAAAAGATTTAGTGAAAGTTGCATAGGATCCGTGCTGGCCTCAAAATTCCATTTCCTGAATTTGGAAACAGTCTTTCTTCAAGACAGGAATTGGCCTCATGATGCTAAACGTGAGGGAAGGGGCAGCAGGGACAAGACGTAAGCATGACAAGGGTAGAGCCTCTCCCCTCGCTGCAACTTTACTTAATAGAAAGCCGCTGGTGGGATGAGACCCACACCCAACCTCTACAGCCACCAGATCAATGGGAAACAAACGAGTAATTGATCTGATGTTTGATCAGGAGTCTAGTCATTTCTTCCATTCATATTCATAACAAACCTGCACTCCTATTAATTCGTAACCAGAAAAAATTACAGTGAGTCCCATTTGGTCTTTGTTTATGTGATATATGTAGGTGCCGACTGGGAGAAGGCAAACTAACTGAGGCATGCTGCAGAGTCGTGAGATTTTAATTTTTAAAAACACTTACAAGCTTATACATCTGAATAAGTGTTTTCCCTTTTGAAAGCTGCCTCCTTGGTAGATCTTTGTCCCAAAGGGAACCTCCTCCGCTCAAAGCTGTCTTTAGACGCCTCCTATGGAATAGGGTTAGAATCCATTTACAGGTACCAAGACACTCAGGTCACACTTTGTGTACTAATTCATACACAATATTATTCAGGTCATCACCTGACTTTGGTTTGGCTGCTATTTGGCTGTTTAGCAAAAACAGCAGAGCCTCTAACTCAAGTTTGTCAGAAGGAAGGCTTCCTGATGCCAACCACTTTGAAATGTAACATGGTTTATAAGAGCCAGGAGCCCCTTCTACAATGCGCTGAAAAAGACACACGACTTTTTAAAAATTCACCCTCACCAGCACATGCGGTCTCCACTTGTCTCCTTAAAGCCTCAGTTCAAACGCTGGCTCTGGAATTTCACAGGTCAAAAGCCTTGCGCCAGCAGTCAAAGCATGTGCCTGGCTCCAGAGCCTTCTGATAAAAATGCTTTGGTCCATTCCCCTTGGGTTTAAAAGGAAGGTTTTTAGCAGGAAACCTCCTGACCTCAAATAATGATCTCCCGTATCTTAGTTTCTCTGTGGTTCCAATATTCATCCACTCCATTTGGGGGATGCAGAGGTTGTTTCTCTGCAACCTTCCCACAGGCCAGAGCAGGATTTTTGCTGATCTGTGGTCAAGTCCAGGACTCACAGAAGATTCAAAGTAACAAAAAAAAAAACATTATCTCGTGTGATGACAAAACAGCTTCTAAATGATTGCCACAACCTGATGCCTGTCTGGTAGAGAAATGTTTCTTTAATAATGTTTCCCTTGACTTTTATTCCAAAAAGGAGACTTGTTTTGAAAATTTGACCAGATCCCCCCACCACGACACATGCACAAATATTGGATGTGTTGCTCTATTCCCAACTGCAAATGAATTTCAAAGAAAAATGCAATGCAATATACAATTTTTCTACAGAAAATGAAAAAAATAAAGATTTTTTTAAATCTATGACATTGAATCATCTGCTGATTTTGACTGCTAAAAGAAAGAATAATCTTTGAAAATTTAGTTTTTTCAATGGAAAAACTTTTTTTGTCTTTCAGTAAAGAGCAAACCTTCTTTACCATAACTTGGGAAAAAATCTAGGGATTCATGAGCAAATACTCATCCTGAAAATGGAAACATCAAGTGACAGAACTTTTATCTATGTTACATCTATAACATAACAACATGCATAAATTCCAAGTTCGGGAAACGCACAGGAGGAAGGTGAAGAGCTCAAATGAAAGGAAAGAGGAGTGGAATGATAATTGGTTTTTAGAGCATTACACTTGTATTTAATTATTTTAGACGAGAGTTTTACTTTACTTTGTGCCATCAGAAGCTGGGCCATGTTTTAACCTCAATTTTCTTCCAACCTTTATTTCATTACAAATAAAGGTGCTAATATAGAACTCTATGTAATAAAGGTCTTCATAACACCAAGAGAGAAAATTAAAACAATTATGAAAGTAGTTTCTCATAGTGGCCAATGATGTACAGCTGCAATTTAACCACCGTCCTATTAAGAGGCGGCATTTATAACTTACCCTTTATTTTCATTTTGTTGTAGAAAAAACTGTTACAGTTTATGTAAGTTTTTTTTTTTTAAAGTTCTGCCGTGAGTTCTGCCTTTCCTTATGGGTGATCGGGAGGAGAGCAGCTCAAATCATGGTTGTGGATGCCCTGCTGTGCAGATGAGCCCAGAGACGGCTGCCGTTGTTCTCTGAAATCTGTTATGATTCCTGAGAGATGGCTCCCCCGCAGAGACTCCAGGTGGCTTTCTAACCCCTAAAAAGAGCCATGGTTCTCAAACCTCGGCAAGCATAAGAATTACCTGGGGGCAGCTGACCAAATGCAGACACAAAAATGAAGAGAATCAGTCCTCAGATCTTCTATGCAAGGTTGACTTGAGAGCTACAATTGGACAATTACAATTCAACAAGATACGGACCACAGTGGAGGCACCTATGTGCTTGGATGTCACATGACACCATCAAAGGAGGCAGACATTTTACCAAAAAGAATGGGACTTCTGAGCTGAGGCTACAAGGACCAATGGGAGTTGGTCAGAGGGAACCAGAGAGCCAAGCACAAGCCAGCACAGTGTGTGGGTCCCCAGAAAGAGTGTGTGTGTTGGTAACTGAGCCCAGATGGAAGCCCAGGCAGGGCTGACCAGGCCCATGAGAAAGTGATCTGCCTGCTCTGCCACCTGGGCATGAAGGCATTTAAAATCCACCACCCTCAGGGCTCTGTCTTTCCCTCTGCAGGCAACAAGATTCTAACGATGTCTCCTGGCCTCTCAGATCTACCAGGAAAGCATCTCCACTGAACCTGTTCTCAAGATGAGTCCAGGAATAGAAAGTAAGAATTGGCTCCAGAAACAGTTGTCCTGGGAGTTGACACATAGGTTGCACTCGAGGTTGTACTTGAGTTTTCCCAATAAAGCATTAACTGAACTACACCTCAACAAGGACTTGTAAAGGGCAGGCTTGATCCAGATCCCAGTGCATCAGGCAAGAGGCATGTGCGCTTCCTCCCCTACACAAGGGACACATTGGAAAATGGATTCCATTCTACAAGAATTTGTGGGGCACCTACTCTGTGCTAATTTTAGGTAACTTGGATATATTGATGAAAAAACAAACCAAAAGAAGACAAATATCTCTGTCTTCATGGAGCTTCAGTTCTAATAAACACATCTGTCACATCTGTGAAGATTTTTTGTTGTTGATTAGTTGGTTGGTTGGTTGGTTGGTTGGTTGGTTGGTTGTATTTTAATTATAGCACCATTGTTCACAGGGTTTCTATGAAATAGGCACCCTCATTCCTGATGGGAATGGACTTTGGAAATGTGAATGATAACCTGTACCACAAGTACTGATGATGTTTATACTCTCTGACTCGGCAGTTTCATTTCTATTCTTCAATTTTAAAAAAATTCCTAAATTTGGAAAGAGTTTTCCACAAAAAGATGTCCCTCATAGTGTTATTTACATTCAGAAAATATTAAAAATAATTTGTATCCAATAGGAGCACAGGGAGGGAAGAGTTAAGTACACTGTGGAACTCCACATCATGAAGTACTTGTAAATAATCTGTTGAATCATATGATATTAAATAAATAAAAGAGCAGGATCCAAAATTGTCTGCATGTAGCATCTGATCATAGATGTATAAAAGGAAAATTATTTGGGAAACGATTTGGAGAATATAACACCAAAATGTTAACAGTCATTATTACTCCATGGGGTGGTGGAGGGCTGTGATCTTTCCTTCTTTCTACTTTTCCATAGGTTAAAATTTTTCTATAATGATCACATCCTTTTAAATAGGAAAAATGGCAAACCACTAAGAAGAAAAATATCTCTACTCAGGGAGGAAGAGCGAGAGGAAGGAAAGGGTCTGGAGGAGGAAGGTGAACACCTGGGTCATGCAAATACCCCATGGACCCTTCAGTCATCACTGGGAATTCCATGCATTTCCAAACTCTCCTGGGGATGTTGCTTCAGGAACTAGCTAATCTGTTCTCTCTCTTCTAATTTTTTAAGTGTTGCTAAATAATCATGTCACAAGGGCCCTGCTAGGACCAACCATGGCATTTTCCTACAGAGAAAAATCTTATCATCAAACGAGAGAGGGACAGAACTTTCTCAAACATTTCCATTCTTTCAGACCTGAAGAATTTCATGATGGTGACAACTGAGGCTTTAAACAACTTTTTTGTTTATTCACCCTCAGCTCAAAGATGATCTCATATACAGTTATATTTCTCATCACTACAAAGCTACCTCTCAAATCAAAGTCTCCAGTTCAGGCACCACGTTTCTGACACCTCCACCTCACCCCGCAGAGTTGATCCCTTCCAGGCCTGTGTTGCCTCTTCCCTGGTAGGGCCCTTGGTTAGTACACTCTATGGAGATGTCTGTGTCATCCACAGACTGTCCTCCCTAACAGGGTAGGGGGGCACGTCTCATTCATCAAGGAAAGATTGTTGAAGAAATGAATGGATACATGAAAAAAAAATCAATGAATGATTTTCTTTCCTGAGCTTCAAATCTTGGTTGCCAATCACTTGCTAGTCCCTCTCAAACATTTAAATTCACAAATTTTGAACAAATAAATGAATCAGACTTAAAAAGGAATAAATAAAGATTTTTCAAGATGATCACAGTTTTCCTTCTTCATTCAACAGATGAAGCATCAAGCTAAAACATCTCCAAGATTTTTTTACCTGGAGTAATAGAGTGCAGATCTGTAAAAGAAACCAACATATCATCATTATTTCTGTAGGTTCCAATCTTGAGAGATTTCCTTCTAATAAAACCTGATTCTAAACATTGTGTGCAAACACAGATAATATTTTCAGACCTGCATGGCCAAAATGAACTGCATACCATTCCTAGTGGTGGGGGAAGGGGGCACCAAAAATGCAATGTTCATTTTTATTCAGAAAATACAAAATAGAGTTTTGTGGTTACTTGAACGAAGCATAACACACTCCCTGGGCCTCTTGGTCTAGTCGATGTATTAATAGTAATTAATAGTAGCTGGCCTGGGCTGCTTCACATTAATCAAATCCTCAAGATGTCCACTAGAGGAAGAGCATGGTCACTTCTCAATGTTCATTTTTGTCTTTGAAAACACCTTGAGCAGGTGAATCCTCACATGATCCAAATTTTGAAACTTTTCAATAGGCGACGAATTATGGTATTGACACACAGTGCAAATGCAATGGCGATTTTGAATACATTGCTAATGCAAACACTTTATTAAATTTTGCAAAAACAGTTCTTTCTTTTCTCAGAGTCCTACGTGTATATAATTTACTGTCATTTTCCCATTAGTTTCCTCAAAGCTATTGATTATCTGGTACCGCACAAAAGGCAGTAACATTTTCTATCAGACTATATCCAAATAAAAGGCATTAGAAACATAAAACAAAAACCAGCACTTGTATTTCAGTATTTTGTTGGAAATGCTCATGTTTGAGCCAAAATCCTGCTCCCAGATGACCAAGGTCAGAATTTAAAACGTGGGTGGCCGCAGATGACTGAGCAAGTGGGACTAAAGCCAACAAGGGTAATAGCAGCTCCTCTGTACCAAGCCTGTGCTAACTGCGGAATGCAGGTCACCTTCTGTGATTCTCAGGGGCCGCTGCGAATGGGACTGCTATTATCCCCTTTTAAAGATGAGGAAACGAAAGCTCAGGGGCATTAAGGACCCTGTCCAAGGTCACTTCTGACCCTGGAGCCCAGGCTCTTCCTCCTACTCCATACTGCAAGGCCTGGGATATGCCGAGCCTAGGCTTTCAGAAACCAGAGGTTTCATTCACACAATCAGGGATACTAGGATGAGCATAAGTCGTCTCCCTTCAAGGCAACTGAAATATTTCCAACTCCCTTTCTTCAAGAAGTAGGCACTCCTCCTCTCCATACTTCAGACAAAAGTACCTTCCCTTTCTCCCCATTGCCACCCCCCAATGTCACCAGTCTCGCCTTTCACGATGGAGTCAATGTGCCAGTCTTCTGGCATCCAATGACTTGCTGGCTCCCCCGTGTTTATCTGTCCCAGTGGTGGTCCATGAAGCACTGCCATGTTCCTCTAACATCTGGGACTCCTCTCATCCCTGCTAATGACCCAGTGGTCTGCAGAAAGGCATGCTGAGTGCATATGTGCCCATCACCCAGGCTTAATGGGGTGCAGAGGAGCTGAACCAAAGGTGTGGGCATCCCCCGGGAGGTGCCTGAGGGCCGGGCCACAGGCCTGGCGGGGCTGAGGCCAGCTGATTCCAGGTCACTGTAGAGGAATTAGCAAAGCCTTCCAACAGCGGGTGGCGGGAGCTCCTCTCTGTGGCTCCAGGCACTGGAGGAAGACCCCAGGCTGTTGCCCTTGACAGGTGGGAATCGGGAGAACCAAGCTACAGCGACGGGCTCAAAATCCCTCTTCCCTTGCCCATGTAGTTGTGGGGAAGCGGATAGAGACCAGGCCTTGTGACTGACCTGCTCAGGGAAAGCCACTGAGATACAGTGCAGTCACTGCTACCTCAGAGCTGGGAGCAGGGACAGCCCCAGCAAGAAAGGGCCTCTGGTGTCCTAGTTCCCTTCTCTCCCAGCCTGGGTCTGGCCTCTTCCCTGACTCTGAGCCCCAAGACATGTTTTCCCCTCAGGGTCTCATCCTCCCCTCCTCCACCCTGTGTAGACTACATCCCTACAATGAGTGACTAGAGTCAGCTTTCTGCAGCTCCCCAACCACCCCAGCCATGAAATCTTATTATTATCTATAATATTATTTATATCATTTACAAGAATGCTAAAACTATTAATATATAAACTTATTAATATTAATAGTCTGTAATACAGATTAAAATTGAATTATCCTTCCCAGGCAGTAGAAAGAAAACGGGCACTATAAAAGCAATAAACAGGCACTTATGCTGTTAAAGTGGGATCCATTTCCACTGGGATGGATGCAACACAACAGTCCTGAAAGGCAGGGCGCTGGCCCAGCGTCTCGCTGGGACCTTGAATCACTGCACATCATCAGTGAATCTCCACGTGAGGCCCATGAACTGCCGGCATCAGCATTTCCTCAAAAGCTGGTTCAAGTGCAGGTTCCCAGGCCCCACCAAAGGCCCCCTGAACCAAAAGTGATGGAGGGGGCCCAGGACTCTGCATGTGAGCAAGCTCCCAGGGGATTTTCATATACCCCTGCTTTGTGGACAATCACTTCCCTGCCTAAGGCTGATGTCAACCTGGGACTGATCCCACACAGGGCAAGTGGGCTCGAGGTTTAGTACTGCCAGGGAAGGATGGAGGGGTCACAAGGACTGGCTCTCATCACAGCACTGAGGCCCTTAGAAGGATGTCATCTACCGGTTGCTATCACCCACCCTTCTGAGCAGCCTCTGTACCACAGCCACTTATGGTCCTTGGTAAAAGTCAGCAGCAGATAAGATGAGGAGAAGGAAGAGAGGGAGGAGGATGGGCAGACTTACTTCTCTTGGGAAATATGTGGGTATTTTGCTTTAGAATATGGGCTTGGGAATTTGTAAGACATTACCTGGGCACATAAATACTTGTTTTGTTTTAACAGCACAAAAATATAGAAACTCAGGGTTGAAAAGCACTTCAGAAATGATCTAACCCCGTCTTCCTTTTTATAGACTTAGGACCTAAGGTTAAGATGGGAGAGAGGTTTATCCCTCCACCACCACCCCCAGAGAAGTCAGAGGCCAAGAGGCTACCCTAGGTAAAGAGAGGCCCTTTACATCTCAGCTGGTCCTGTGGAATCAGGAACCAGGGTCTGAATTTCTGATCATGAATTAAAAATAAAGCAACAAGAACATGAGGAAACTACCAAATTGCCTGATTTACATTTTTCTCCAATAAAGAATTTCAGTTTTTAAAGTTACTTTCAAAACGAACTGATTTTTTCATGGACATTTTTGCCATTAAAAAACAAATTATTCAAGAAAAATCTGCAACAAAGACATTTTGCCCAGTAAGTTCAGAGTGTTCCAACTGGAAATGAAATCTGATGGGAATTGGGCAGCTCAATCTGCAATGCTTGGTGTGCTGGGCACTGATGGGTTTCAGAGCTACAAAGATAGCCAGGGCAGAGTGGCAGAAGAGTGGGCAGGAAGGACAAAGATAACATATGGTGTAGTCAAGACAGAACCTGGACGGTCTGGGGTCTGAGGATGATCACTGGAAGAGCACCCTGCCCAGTGCAGGGGGATCTCAGGGAGCTTCCCAGGGCAGATGGAGCTGCTCTGAGAACTCAAGAATGCCTTAACCAGGCAGGGATGGGGAAGATACCTAAAGGCACCTTGGGAAAGGATGTCAGTGCGTGGCCTTCAGAGGCAGGGGAGAGAGGAGGCTGGAGAGGCAAAGAGAAGGAGAGCTAGTTGGGGGGCCTCAAAGGCTGCCTCGTTTAGTCTGGGCATTATTTGAGGACACTACTGAAATTCTTACAACAGGCGAGGGGACCACTGCTGCCCTTTTGGCTGCACCATGGGGGCAGGTCTGGGTGGAAATCAGGGAGGCCAGCTGGAGGCGGTTCATGAGTCCAGGGAAGAGGCAACTGTGGCTGAGACTGGGGTAGTGGCAGCGGGAATGTCAGGGCTGTTGCAGGGGTGCTGACAAGCCTTTTTCATTAGATATGTATGAGGCAGAGGAGAGAAAAACGAAAAAAAAAAAAGTTCAGAGGACTTGAGCAGCTGGACAACAGCATTTACCAGGAGAGCCAAGAGAGAGGGGTGGGGCCAGGTGATCATGGAGTCCTTGCCCTTGTTATTGTCGTCGTCAGCATTTTAGTTTTCTCTAGGGGTGTTGTGGACTGAATGTTTGTGTCCCCAAGGCCTGACATGTTGAAGTCCTAACTCCCAATGTGATGGTATTAGGCAGTAGGGCCTCGGGGAGATTAATAGGTTCAGATGAGTTTGGCAGGGTGGGCTCTCATGATGGGATTTGTGCCCTTATAAGACAAAAATACTAAAGAGTGCTCTATCTCTCTGTTTCCCTCCCTCACCATCCCCTTGCCATGTAAGCACACAGCATGATGACAGCTGTCTGCAAGCCAGGGAATGGGCAGGCCCTCACCAGAAACTCTATCAGCCAGCATCTTGATTTTGGACTTCCCAGCCTCCAGGACTGTGAGAAATAAATGCATGCTATTTAAGCCCCAAGTCTATGGAATTCTATTATAGCAGCCTGAGCTAACTAGGACAGTGGGTGAGGAGGTGAGCTTGGACATGGTGCTGATGGCCAGTAGGCACTTGGCTGTACAGCCTGGGATTCAGAAGACAGGCCTGGGCTCAAGGCAAGAATTGAAGTCGTCAGATCCAGGAGAGAATCACATCTCCAGTGAGCTCATGTGGAGCAAAAGAGAAAGGAGCTGAGGATCCAAACAAGGCGCTCAACTCTGGAAATAAGAGGAGAGAAGAGGAACCAGCCAAGGAGCCTGGGAGGAGCAGTGGAGGAGAAAGAGGAGGGAAACTCAGAAGATGCAGAGCCCGGGGCCTGGGGAGGGAGTTGGAGAACTGAATGGCCACCTACAGCGGGTGCTGCCTTATGGAATCCACCCATTTTAGCAGCAAGGAGGCCACTGGTGACCTGGGAAAGAACATGGGAAAGGGCTAAGTTAGGATGGGTTGAAGAAGTGTGGGAGTGGGATGTGGGCAGAGGATGAATAGCAGTGTTGGAAGATGTTTGCCTGGCAAGGAGAGATGATGAGACAGGCAAAATTTGCAAGCGGGAAAAGCAGGACCGAGTTGCAATGCTGGTGGGGACTCCTGGTAAAGAGAGAGAGTTTGGTGTTACCAGGCAGAGAAGGCAGAGCTGGGATGGGAGATGCTCTCTCACACAGTGGAAGAGAACAATTCACCCACAGAATGTGTTAAGGCAGCTCGTTTTTTTATTATTATACTTTAAGTTCTAGGGTACATGTGCACAACTTACAGGTTTGTTACATATGTATACATGTGCCATGTTGGTGTGCTGCACCTGTTAACTCATCATTTACTTCAGGTAAGTCTCCTAATGCTATCCCTCCCCCCTCCTCCCACCCCGCGACAGGCCCCGGTGTGTGATGTTCCCCACCCTGTGTCCAAGTGTTCTCATTGTTCAGTTCCCACCTATGAGTGAGAACATGTGGTGTTTGGTTTTCTGTCCTTGGGATAGTTTGCTCAGAATGATGGTTTCTAGCTTCATCCATGTCCCTACAAAGGACATGAACTCATCCTTTTTTATAGCTGCATAGTAGTCCATGGTGTATATGTGCCACATTTTCTTAATCCAATCTATCATTGATGGACATTTGGGTTGGTTCCAAGTCTTTGCTATTGTGAATAGTGCCGCGATAAACATACGTGTGCATGTGTCTTTATAGCAGCATGCTTTATAATCCTTTGGGTATATGTCCAGTAATGGGATGGCTGGGTCAAATGGTATTTCTAGTTCTAGATCCTTGAGGAATCACCACACTGTCTTCCACAATGGTTGAACTAGTTTAAGACAGCCCATTTTGAAATCATGTGAAGCATCGAAAGTGAGAATTAAAAGTGTTTGTAATTCTGGCCAAGTCACCAGCAAACTCCTCACCAAGGGCTTGTCAGTGAGTCCTGGGGTCAGATTCCCTGCTTTTGGTCTCCCTTCTTCCTGTTTCCTAGGAAAGCTCACGCAGTTCATCACTGGGAGTGTGTTTCAACGGGGCATGACAACATCCCATGAAAGAGAAACTGCATGTGCTTCGGTGGAAGTTGCAGATTCCAACCCTGTTCTCCCGGCCGGTTGTACCAGGATATATGGAAGACTGACCAGGAATAGGGTGGCTCTGTGGCTCCAGAGTGGCAGCGACAAGACAGGGTGGGTGGGGTGCCCTTCTCTCTATAGCGATTTTGGGCCAATAAGGTGTGGACAGAATTGGAGACCAGGCTGTCTCCGGTGTCAGCTCACCACAGACAGAACCCCTACAACTCCTTTATCAGGACCCCAGCCAAGGACCCCAGGGCCCGGTCTCTGTGAAGGCGCCCACCCTTCCCGGGTTCCCCAGGGATGGGCCATGCCCCCACCACTCTCAGGCCAGGGAGGGAGCTTCCCTGGGGGAGGTGACCCATCCCTGGGCCTTATCAAGAGCAGCAGCCCCCAGTGTCCCACAGTCTGTGAGCCACTCACCAGCCCCAACTGCCTTCCCAAGGCAGGCCTGTGCAAGGCCGGAAGTCTGCCAGGCGGCTTGGTCGGAATTCCACCAGGGGGCCTGGCCGGAAGTCCACTAGGGGTCTGGCCAGAAATCCACCAGGGGGCGTGGCCGGAAGTCCACCACAGGCTTCGGCCTGCCCTGCAATATTTTTCTCATCAGCCCTTCCTTGGGTACTAAAAGTTTCACATTTCTTTAACTGATGTGGTCAGAACATCAGAGGCTTTCTGTTACGCTGCAAAGCTGTTGTCACAGATAGTTTTGAACAGATTTGGCAGCTTGCGGTACATGACAGAGACACAAAGGATGGAGCAGGGCCTAGAAGAGGCTCAGGGACTCAGGTTGTGGCCTGGAGGGGTCAAGAGACCACACGTGAGGGGGACACTGAGGTCTCTCGTCACTGGAGATGTCCCGGGGTGACTGCATGAAGCCGTGGGGCCCGGGCATCACCACTGCAAGCCCCAGTTTCACCCACATGAGGAAAAGCGGGTACAGAGTTTGCGTTACTCATGGACCCCCCAAACGTAAACCAGACTCTAGGCTGGTGTCTGCACAGCATCCCAGGATCGTTCAGGAAATGCCTTCAAGAGGAAAAAGCCCTCCACCAGCCCCAACATCCCCAACTCTGAGTTTTTGTCTCTGACATGAACAATGGAATCGCGCAGCCACTTCCTAAAGCATTGCTAAGCTCCTCTTTATGGATGGAAATAGTGGATATTTTTTTCCTGAGCTCACCTTTTGGCTTAAGTAGGGAGATTAAAGAATGCAGGCCTAACAATTTAGAGGGTTTTCTGGCTTAAAAAGTAGAAAATACATCTGTAAACCTGATTTTAAACATCATAATCTTCTTATTTCAGGGTATCGACAGCACATAAAATACATACAGCTGGATAACCAAGCTATTTAGCCTCAGTTAACTTTTTTTCTTTTAGATTGCCAAAAAGATTAAATCCTAAAATGTGGGCATACAGTCTTTTTCAATTTGAATTTTAAATTATTTAAACCAAAGCTACCATTCTGCATATTTAACAAGCATTCATTTAATGTGCCACTTTTGTACAGCATAACCATTGGATAACCAAACTGTCACCACTGAAACATACAGTTAGAGTCTATTTGTTTTAACTTCCTTATTCTAATATACACAATATGTGGATGTGTGTGTGTGTGTGTGTAAGACACATATATTTATATATAAACAATACACATTACACAGTAACATATATGTAAGGTTATACACGCACACCATTTTAACAAAGTAACTAGCAAATTAATAGCCAGATAATTGGGTATGATCTATTCAGAAGTGTAATTGTTGTCTTATTTTAGTCTTTTCCACCTATTTTAATGCCCACATTTGCAGAGCCACACAAATAAACCAATCCATCTTTTATTAGCCATAGCCACAAATTCTTAATTCCTAATTCCCTCTTAAACGTCCCTGGTGACTTCGTACTGACAGCAATTTGTTTAAGATAGATATTTACTGCTGGGTCCCATGGCCAGGCCTGCATGTCAGAAGGCAGAAAGGAAAGAATCATACTGCATGAGATTATCTGTGAAGGGGGGCAGATGAATGATGCATGCATGTGTGCAAGGCACTGGGCCATGCCAGGGCCAGCGCTGCTGATGAATGGTGAAGCTGGCGTCCAGGCGCCATCTCCATAGTTCTGACTTGTGTGGGGACGTGAATGCCTGGCCACAGGGGCAGGATGGCGGATACCCCAGCCAGTCAATACAGAAAGGATGAGTCCTTCTGTCTCTCACTAAGCACAAATGGTCATTATTGATTCCAGAAGGCTGGCCAGAGGAGGTGGAATCCCCTGGGAGTCACCGCCCACCCCATTCAAGGTAGTACATTTCTTAAATGATCTGATTTACAGTTCCTTCTTGGGGGCATCTTGCCAAAGTGTATTTGGCTGAAAGGGCTCTTCGGTGTCTCCCATTACCTTCACAATAAGTAGAAGTGCAGGGTTCTAGTTCCCATGCAAATGAAGGGCCAAACTCATTTTAGATTCCTATTTCCTTTCCTTCCGCTCATGCAAGTGTTAGGGGTGCCCCAGGCCCCACCCAGCCCTGAAGTGGCCCCATCCCACTGCCCTGGCCAGCTCTCCCAGGTCAGCACGTTGCTTTTTGCAAGATAAAGATACCAAACTGAACCTTCTTATAGAAACTAAAAGCATAATAGCCCAGTGATGCTGTCACGATTTTAAACTGGGCATTTGTAAATCAACTTTCATAGAGAATATATCTTTTGCATATTTTTTTATTTTAGCAGAACCCCATACATTTGATGAACAGAGCAGTATGAGGAAAAAATTCCTTGACAAAGACAGGCATTTAAAACTGACTATGTAGCACCATCATTTTGCTTCTTCCTCATAAAACCATACCACACTCACACACAATAAGGTGTTCAAAAAGGAGTATAAATATCACAGGACCAGAAAATTTTTGATACGTTCACCATTTTTAATAAGACACCCTGTACAGAAAGAAATGAATTTTTAATGAGTCAGACCACAGAGAAATAAAAAGCAGATTTTCAAGTTTACTTATAACCTTATAAACGGGCTTCTCCTCCCCTCGCAGACCTGCCTGACAAGCAGAGTCCTTGGTAGTAAATTAAAGGTGGGCAGTTCACAAGAGCTACGCTTTCCTGTTTCTCTCTAGTGCTCCTGCCCCTCAGAGAGGGAGCATCACCTGCTCCTCCTGCCTGTCTCGGCCTTCTATTCTTCATTACACAACAGATGACCTATCTGATAGACGTCTTCCCTCCTGCAGATTCTGTTGCCAGCCTTCAATGAGAATAAAGCCGGCAGCCCTTTTTATCTTCATTTGGCTGCGGTTCCATCCTCTGCTTTTTTCTAAAGATCGTTTGCCAGCATTGCTTGCTCAGTTGTACCCAGTGGAACAAGCAGTGTCTTCTGAACTGACAATTCTGACTTTTTGCTGCTTGTGATTTTTCTAAAGCATGACAACCACTCGCATGAAGACACGGTAAACCTTTTCAGATAAGGAAGCCAGGAAAAAGAAAGGCCTTTCAAGAAACAGAGGTAGTTACTGCAGGAGCTGAACAAGGCAAGTCTCCTATGGATTCATTTAATTTGGCCATAACTTACAGGTGGTAAGAGAAATTAGAATCCTGCCGTCCGTGAGAGAGAGAGAGAGATAGAGAGAGAGAGAGAGAGAGAGAGAGAGAGAGAGAGAGAGAGAATACATACATGTTTTAAAAGAGCATTTTATTTGGACAGCCACTAAGAAAATTCAGATTAGGAATTGGAAACCAGAAGGCTTCGTCTGTTCCATATGTATGCACATGCTATATTCTAATTTTTTTATATTTATCAGAAATGATACGCCTAATTCCAAACATAAAGGAGAGTTTCTTTTCAACAGAGTCTTCAATAATATCTGTCCTCCTTCAAAATAGAGTAACTCTAAATGCTGTTCCTTCCACAGAGGTACTGAGAAAACAGATGATCTGTTGAGTCTGGAACTCAGCATAGTGATGCATGTAAGTTAAATAAGATTTTCACCCTAGAACTTAAAGTATAATAAAATAATAATAATAGTGTGTTAAAATTATCTAAAAAAGATTTTCAAATGGGATACTCTATTAAGTGCAATATTATTTCAGAGTAATATCAGGATACAGTATTTTTTTGGAATAATATCAGTGCAGTATTATTTCAGAGTAATACTAGATAATCCTGATATCAGTATAGGTATAGGCCATTGCCTATAAGTCAATCGCAACAGACTTTCCAACCAACTAGTGGACACCACGTATATGTTTCCCTTTGCATCTCCCCAGAATCTCTTAAAGTTACTTCGACTTATTAGAAACATATTCTGGAAGATAGAATTACTTAATAATTTTTTACTCCTAATTTTTTAAAAGCTCACGTTTTCTGTCCATTTTGCAACAGATGTAGGTATAAACAGCCATTTTACCAAATTCAAATAATAATAATAATACCTAGCTACCATTTATTGAGCATTTAAAATGTGTCAGACGCTGTGTTCGGTTGCCTGGCATGCCTGATTTTCTTTAAATTTCTCAACAGCCCAGTCATGTAGGTACAAGTATCCACATTTGGTAGAGAAAGAGCCCAGGGCTTAGAGAGTTTGTTGGTTTGCCCAAGCCAAAAGTAACAGCATAACCTGGTACCCAGTTGCATCAATTCCAAGGCCCAAGCTCTGGACTCCTTTGCCTGGTTGTCACCCACAATAGATATGCAAATGATTATCACCTAAGGCAAGAAAAGTTCCTCCACTCCATGAATGCCACCTCTCCCAGGTCGCCTCACCCAAACTGGTTTATAGCCACAGCAGATTATTGATGGCTGGGTGTGGAGCCATGTAATTTGTTTGTGTCTTTCATCTCTCTTAACTCTGTGAAGGAGGGAAACGTCTCATCATCCCTCCTATTCCAGAGTCTAACAGTCAAACTGCCTTTCAACTAATTTAATTAAATCAATTTGCATGTATCTGATCAATTTCCCCTCACTTCTGATCTTCCTAAATGACCTGTGTCAGTTTAAAATGTCAGTGCTAAAAGATGTGCAAAGTATGCTGTTATGTGACAAAGCAGATTATAGAATACAGTATATAGTGGGATAACATAATATAACATATGGGATAAAACAGTTATGGGGTCACATAAGATTTTGGTTGATTTTAATTCTTTATCTTTTTTGTGTAATCTAAATTTTCCAATGTTTATGATGAACACGTATTTCTTCTATCATTAAAAGGTAAAAGTGTGGAGAATTGATGTTGCTAGGCATATTCCTAAAATCTAAGGACCTTCCAGCTAGAAAGGCCTCAGCCACCTGCTCAAATCTGCTACACACGGCTGAGAATTGGAGGACCAGTAGGGACAGAACTTGCCACAAGCCCTGCCTCCTTCCACATCAGCCTGGGAAGCGGACTCGTCTCTCTCCCAGTAGGAGCCCAGGTGGAAAGTGAGTGCATGGCTCTGTGCGCTCCACCTGCCCTGCCAGTCAGGAACACTCTTTGGAGCACCAAGCAGATTCTGTGAGGAGACCAGGACCCTCCCCTTTCTCCAAGAGGGCTCTGCATTTCCTCAGGAAGCCCTCCCTGCTCTGTAGGAATAGCCCATCCCAGGGGCTTCCACCCTGCTGGGCCCCATCTGAAGCTCTAGAGGCTGGTAAATGGACAGGAGACCCTGGGCTGGGGGCAGAAAGACCTACGTTCCATCCCCACTTGGCACATACCCATTGCGTGGCCTTGGGGAAGCAGCCTGTCTCTCCCATCTTCCTTCAGCATCTGTAAAATGAGGGTAACCATGGCTCTGCTGAGAGTACACAAATGCCACCTTAGCAGGGTGCTGGACACAGAGCCTGAATCCAGCTGGTGCTGGCTGCACTCATCGCAATGGCCCTGTAGACGTCTAGCTGTGCAGCCTCCCTCTGGCCGACACGCACTTCCCCTTCAGTTCCAGAAGCTGGATCTGGGAGTGGAGGGATTTGACTAGGATCAGGGTAAACCAACTGAGCCTGCAATGGGTGACTGGGTAGGGCTGTGGGGAGACAGAGGGCCAAGGTGGAAGTAGATGTCACAAAACTTTTCCCCAGAATTGAAAATCCAGGTGAACCCAAGTCAGCAAAAAGAGGGGCTGAGCAACTTTTCAGAATGGCTGGACGTGACCAGTGGCTGCAATACCAGGGCTCTGAAATCAGTGGTGTTTGTTGTGAAATCAGCTGGAATCCCAAAGCAGAGGTAAATGTGTGTTTAGAGTGTGTGGGAACATTTTTCCTATACTTGATTCCAGCCTGTCCACCCCATCAGCTGATGAGGCTCAAAGCCAATTCCAGCCATCACAGCTCAGCCAGCTGGACTAGGTGTCCAGAGTGGATGCAACTGACCTGAGACAACCTCGCCCTCCTCAGCCCATGGACATACACAATCTTCCAGGGACATCCTATAAGGATGAAAAGAATGCCAGATTCAATGGGAATTGGAGTCCATCCTATGTCTTAGATTGTAAAATATGTCACAGAGAACACAACTTATCCAGCATTTCCCATTTTCAGTGGGTGTTGACTACAAGCATTTACATTAGAAATTGCACCATAGAGTTCAGCTTAAAATTTATAGCAAAAAAAGTGCTTCTCTTGGGGGTAGGGGAAATATGGGCATACTCTGGACTTTGTGCTCAAGCTTGCTATGAACCTAAAACTACTCTAAAAAATAAAGCCTATATATAAAAAGAAAAATGATGCCTCCTACCCAAGCCATTCCCCCCAAAGATCCCAGCTGATCTTGTTGAACCCACCTTCCATGTGGAGCCCTGTGCTCTGCTGGAGTCACCCAGGTGCCTGTTGGTCTGCTGTTCTTCACTCAGTTCCTCCTTCACTCCCCATCTCCCCTTCCTCTGCTGCATGCACAGGCACAGCTGGGTGTGCACATGAGGGTGCCTGCATGTGAGTGCAGGCACATACGTGTGTGCATGTGTGTATGCGCATGTGTTTTCCATTCCTTCGTCCTCTCTGTGTGGCACTCTCCTCCTCCTCCCTCTACTCAACTCCTCTATGACACTGAGCTCTGCTGTCTAACGTAGGCATAGACACCTCCATGCCCCCACTGTTGCCCTTGCAGGTGGTTCCAGGTGGACACATTGTCATTTGCTTTCTTGAAGGACACTACTTTGCCACTTTAATTTCTTATACCAGAATCCAAACCAACCATGATTTTGGCTGAAGGGAGGAAGGGATTGGGAGACACAGACCTCTGAAGATGCCCTGAGCTTTGTATTCAGATTTCCTGGTTCCATGCTAGCACCTTGCCCACTGTGCTACCAGGGCTATTACTCAACCTCTCTGTGTCTCATTTTCCTCATCTGTAAAATGGGGGTAATAACATCAAATACCTGGTGGGGTTGTAGGACAAATCAATGGGCTCATGCACGTAGGTCCTTAGCACAATACCTGACACTTACTGAGTGCTCCATAACTGTTAGCCATTGAAGTCAAAATTATTTAATGTTACCTAAAATTATTCAGGCTTAACAGTAATTTTTAGAATCACCAAAGAAAGTTTTCAAGGCACAGAAAATGTTACCAAAATCATAGCATTTGCAGTAACTTAGTCTTGGAAACTCAAGTGATCAAATGAGAAGTTGGTATTTCTAACAAATCAGTTTGGATTAGGACCGTGCCGAGTCTGCTGTTCACTGGGCAAGAAGGCACCGGGTCATCCCTTGACAGCCCCTACCCAAGTGTGGGATACGCATCATTCCCCATGGCAGCACAGCAGGGAACTTCGCTGCTTCACTGCCCTCCCTCCACGGCTATTCTTTCAACATACATGTTGGTATTATATGCCAGGAACAGTAAAGGGCTCTGTTGGGCCTTTTTCTAGGTCAACCCTCAGATCAATGGAATGGTTGTTGGACATGCCTTCCCATCTCAATGTTCCCTTTCCCAGCCCATAAACCAAGCTTCACTGTGCACAAGAAGACCTGAGTTACTTCACACACCCATGAACTTCTCCAGGACCTTGAGGCTGCTGTTTGAAATAAGCGATAGCTTTGTGAACAATAACACAAACTTATAACGAATGTGTTGATCCCACTTGGCCATCAGGAGTGACAGGCAGGCCTGCCGTCACTTTCCCAAGGCCCTTCCAAGCAACTCAAAGAATGAAAGGAATTAGAACCCCTGACACCTGACCCCTGCAGATCCAGGCAATCCCACTGTCTTCAGGAGGCAGGAAAACAAAGGGTGAAATCAGAGGCTTCCTAGGGCACGGGGTCCGAAATCAGAAACTCCCTCTAGCCTCATCAATAAGCCATAAGGAGCCAAGAGAAAAGCTCTCAATTTCCCTTTAGACCCACACTGGCCCTGTCCTCTCCTGCAGCCCCAGGGAGAGCCCTGCATTCCTGGCTGCCATCTGGCCTCCAGGCCCAGGGACTCTCTCTGGCTGGCCACGTACTTGTATATCTCAAGTATTGTGTTTCTGGTTTCTGTGGCTTCCCTACCAAGGAGACGTAAGAATGAGGCTGGTCTCCATCATTGCAGTGACACCTGATGGTCCCCAGGGACCTAATATTTATTATGCTGGGCATGCTAGGTTGCTACTAAAAATTTAATCCATTTTTTCTCCTCAAACTCCCAGGCAAGTTTTAGAATTCTTATTAAATTTTCTCCACCAACCTTTCATATTTTAAGTACCTAAAAATGCTTTTCTCATTGTCATGACCAGTGTTACATCATACCCATGACTTCTCCCTAAAATGTATTTGTGTCTAATAATAAAGAACCTGAGCTCATTGGTGTCCAAACCTCAGTGCCATAGAAACATACTCTTTCTGTAGGTGGTTACTTCTCTGCCCTCCAGCCCATCAGTTCCAAATCCCTTGGGCTGTTTCGCCAAAATTGTGTTTGAACCATCAGCTCCTCCCCATTCCTCATCACTGCCTCAGCACATATCATTCCTCTCCTTGAACACTGCCATCATTACCAGCTCATCTCACTGGTTCCCAGAAATCCTCCACCATGTCCACCTGAGCTCACCTAAACCACACATCCTGGGCTACATGGCCCAGCCTGGAGACCTCTGCTGGTTTCCTGTCATCAGTCTATAAGATAATGTCCAGACTCCTCCCATGGCATTGAAAGACCTCTCAGTCTGGTTGCAATCACCATTCCAGCCTTGTCTTTCACCAGTCTCCAAGTCTATTCACCCTAAACTAGAGTCACACAGGACAACCGTGTGGCACTGCCTCACCCTGCTACCTGGAAAGCCTCCTCTGCCTCCACTGTGCCTGGTAGACTGTTCCACTGGACACTCCCAGTTATCTTGACTCCTGGCATTCCTGTCATTTTGTAGTCTTTTCCCACAAGGACTATGGGCTTGGTCACATGAGTTGCTTTGACCAATGGGACATTAGCAAGAAGAGTACAAGCAGAAATTTCATAAGTGCTTGCACAGTAGAGTCCTCTGGAAATCCTTCCTGGAGCCCTGAGCCACCATACAGAGATGTCCAGCTGCTCTGTACAGAGACTACAAAAGAAACTACATGAGAAGCCACATGGAAAGAAGAGGCTTAGACTTACATGAAGAGCAAGGGGGCTCCAGCCATGCCAGTGTCCCAGTCGAGCCTCCAGAAATCCCATTTCCAGCTATGATCTGAGTACATCTGCATGAGAGACTCCAAGTGAGACCAGCAGAAGAACCGCCTGGCTGAACTCAACCAAACCAGAGAAAACAAGAGAATAATGAAACAGTTGTTTTAAGACACTAAGTTTTGGAGGGCTGAGTGATGCAGCAATGGAAAACTGAAACAGTTATCATTCAATTCAGTTCAAAATTCAAGGGACCTTTGAAACTCTAACATGAATATTCTATGCATCTTGGTGTAATAAAGGACTAGGCAAAAGGAGAACATAGGTCACCTCCTAGAGGAGGTTGCAGCCTTGTTGGACACTCTCACTCATGCATCCTTTCAAAAGCATTGTTTCGAGCAACTACTATGTGTAAGATGCTAGGAAAATCTCTTACCTCCACTCCCTTTGGGTTCCTTCCCCTTCACCAGTTGTTTTCCATTCCCATTTAACCTCCAGGGCCAGAGTCAGCTGCTCCTTTCAGACTGAATGCACCCCAAACTCTCCCTGAAGGCCCAATGCTGGAAACTCTCAGGAAAGACAGTGAAACTCTAGGGAGCATCACCTCAATTAGGAGAAATGGCTTGATTCACAGTAGAATCACTATTGCTACTAATAGTGACAAATCCTCTCCCCCAAATCTTTTAGGTCAGAAGGAAATGCATTTCTGCTTGATATTTGGAGTTTCATTAAATTTTTTTCAGGTTACTGAAACGTGGAGTCCAGAAAGACAATCCCATTCCAAAGGCTAAGCAGTGATGATGTTTTCAACAGGATGCAGCCCCTGGATATAAGCTCCTGCTTTCCAGAAATCTCTGAGATATCTAAGAGACACAGGTAAATGGTTCCCTTATGTGTATAAAAAGAAAATGCCCTGTCCCAAGTTCTTCATTACTTTTAGGAAGAAACTGACTTCCCTAAGCAGTGATTATTGGCTACCCTGACAAAGACTAAGACCCCCACATCACCCCATGAGTATGACTCCCCAAAAAAAACCCACTTTACTCTCCTTGGTTTCAATGTGCTTAACTGTGAAACTAAAGAATTATATAATATTGTCTCTAAGACTCTCATGACTCTTACTAGTAGGTGCTATTCCAGGACAAGAATCACACTAGAGGTGGCACAGGTTTGTGACTGGAGTTACAACAATGTGTGTTCATTTCCAGACACATGTGAGTTCTTGTCCCAGCCCTGGTCCAACTAGCTGTGTGAAACAAGACAAGACCAGATGTCTCATAGGCCTCATCTGTAAAACAGGGTTAGTGATTGCAATCCTGTTCCACAGAGCACAGAGCTGGAGGATGAGAGAAAGAGGTCTTCCCAAGAAAGAAAACCTCTGGGTCCTTCCCCCTCACTCCAATCAGTGGGTACTCTATGGATTGAGCAAATGGTTCCAAGACTAGATTTTTTTATATATAAAACAGCAACCAATTTTCTCAGTAAATAAAAGACATCCAGGCTGGGCTCTGTGGCTCATGCCTGTAATCCCAGCACTTTGGGAGGCCAAGGTGGGTGGATCACTTGAGCTCAGGAGTTCGAAACCAGCCTGGCCAACATGCTGAAACCCTGCCTCTACAAAAAAAAAAAACAAAAAGTTAGCCAAGTGTGGGGGTGTACGCCTGTGGTCCCAGCTACTCAGGAGGCTGAGATGGGAGGATCACTTGAGCCTGGGAGACAGAGGTTGCAGTGAGCCATGATTGTGCCACTCCACTCCAGCCGGGGAGATTCAAATAAAAAAAAATGACATCCAGATTGGAAATAAAGAAGTAAAACTGTTCTCATTCACAGATAACATAATTTGTAGATAGAAAATCCTAAGAAATCCATGTAAAAAGCTACAAAAACTACAAAGCTAATACAAAAATCAATTGTATTTATGTATACCAATAGTAAAAAATAGAAAAATAAAATTAATAAGACAATTCTACTCACATTTAGAGAGACTCCTAAAGAAAAAATTAAAGCATCTAATCCAGTTTCAGTAGTAATTACTCAAGTATTTTTGCATTAGTTTATAAAAAACTTTAACATCAACTTTTTGCAAGCACAGGGCTAAGCACTGTAAGGGAGGCAGACATGGATGCAGCAATGACCCTGTTCTAAGGAGCTGGCAGGGGAAACAAGACACAAACAAAGCATCAAAGGGAGTAGACAAAAATGTGCAATAACTGAGCTACAAAGAGCCATGGAAAGTTAGGACACAGCACATCCGTTTGGGTGGGTTGGGAAGACTACTTGGAGAAGGTTTATCGGTAAAAGGGTTTTCTGTTGATCTTAACAGGAAGCCAAACTCAAAAAGCCTCCAGCAGTAAAAACATCTGCTGGCTCACACATGAAGATGTTGAGAAGTAGGGTGAGCCTCAGGGCTGACTTGATCCAGACTCTTCAACATTTTCCTCTCAGTCCTCTAGCTTCTGCCTTTCTCATCTTTTGGTGGTAAAATGGCTCATGTCCATCCACAAAAGCCAAAGAAATTGCATCCATTCAAGATAAAAAACAAACCCTCAACAAACTAATAATAGGAGGGAACTTCCTCAACCATATATAAGGCAATTATGAGAAACCTTCGCTTAATCACAAAAGACTGTATGCTTTCCCCCTCAAATTTGGAAAATGTCAAGAATATCTCCCTTCATTACCTCTATTCAACACTGTACTGGAATTTCAACCTGGCAATTAGGCAAGAAAAGTAAATAAAAGACATCTAGATTGGAAAAGAACTAAAACTGTCTTCATTCACGAATAGCCTAATTCAAAACTCAGTTGTATTTCTGTATATCAACAATAAAAAATTGAAAGATAATAAGACAATTCTATTCACAATAGCATCAAAAAGAATAAAAGAGAGATAAATTTAACAAAAGAAGTGTAAGACTTGTACATTGAAAACTACACAACAGTAGTGAAAGAAAGATAAAAGATATAAATAAATGGAGAGAAATTCTATGTTTATAGATTGGAAGACTCCATATTGTCAAGATGGAAACATTCCCCAACTTCATCTACAGATTTAATGCAAATCCTCATGGTGAGAACTTAGATATTTTTCCCCTAAGATCAGCAACAGAAAAGGATGTCTCCTCTCACCAATACTGGCTAGTGCAATGAGACAAAAAAGGAAGTTAAGAACTCACACTTCTCTATTTCAAAATATACTACAAGTTATAGTAACCAAGACAATTTGATACTGGCATGAAGATAGGCACTTATATAAGTGGAATAGAATTGCAAATCCTGGAATAAGCCTTAAATTTATAGTCAACTGATAATTTTAATAAAGGTTTTATGATAATTCACTGGGGGATAAAACAGTTTTTATAAGAAATGGTGCTGAAACTATTGTATAACCACATGCAAAATGATAACTTAGACCATCACACACCATATGCAAGAATTAGTTCGGAACAGATGAATCACAGACTTATAAAACTATAAAGCTCTTAGAAGAAAACAGAGGAGTAAATCTTTGTGATCTTGGGTCAGGCAAAGTTTTTTTTAGATATATCAAAAGCACATATAATAAAAGTTAAAAAAATGATAAATTGGACTTCATCAAAATCAAAAACTTCTGCACTTCAAAAGATACAATTAAGAAAGTGAAAAGACAAAATAGCAGGATTCAATCTCAGAGAAAACTTTTCAAACCATATATTCAATAAGGAACTTATATCTGTAATTTACAGAACTCTTACAACTAAATTACTGTATAAGACAAAATTTTTTTTTAATTGGCAAGAGATTTGAATAGACAGTTCACCAAAATACACGGGAATAAGTACATTAAAAGATGCTCCAAATCATTGGTCATTTAGGAAATGCAAATTAAAACCACAATGAGACACCACTTCACACTCACAGGGATGGCATCGTGTTCAACTTCCATGGAGAGTGGGGGGTAGGGATGGCTAGCTCCACTGGCTAGGGTGAGGCCTCAGGGACCACCCACTGGTGGTGCCAGCCAAAGAGCTGTAAAAGTGGCATTGAGCAGAGATGGACGAATAGGAACAGCTCCCATGTGCAGCTCCCAGCATGATCGATGCTGAAGACAGGTGATTTCCACATTTCCAACTGACATACCTGGTTCATGTCATTGGGACTGGTTGGACAGTGGGTGCAGCCCATGGAGAGCAAGCCAAAGCAGGGCAGGGTGTCGCCTCACCCAGGAAGCACAAGGGGTTAGGGGATTTCCCTTTCCTAGCCAAGGGATACCATGACAGACTGTACCTGGAAAAACAGGACACTCATGCCCAAATACTGTACTTTTTCAATGGTCTTAGCAACCGGCAGACCAGGAGATTCTCTCCCATGCCTGGCTCGGTGGGTACCACACCCACAGAGCCTTGCTCACTGCTAGCACAGCAGTCTGAGATGGACCTGCAAGGCTACAGCCGGGCGGCGGGAGGGGCATCTTTCATTGCTGAGGCTTGAGTAGGTAAACAAAGTGGCTGGGAAGCTCAAACTAGGCAGAGCCCACCACAGCTCAGCAAAGCCTGCTGCCTCTATAGACTCCACCTCTATGGGCAGGGCATAGCTGAATGAAAGGCAGCAGAAACTTCTGCAGACTTAAACGTCCCTATCTGACAGCTCTGAAAAGAGCAGTTTTTCTCCCAGAAAGGCATTTGAGCTCTGAGAACGGAGAGACTGCCTCCCCAAGTGGGTCCCTGACCCCTGTGTAGCCTAACTGGGAGACACCTCCCATTAAGGGCCAACAGACACCTCATACAGGTGGGTGCTCCTCTGGGATGAAGCTTCCAGAGGAAGGATCAGGCAGCAATATTTAGTGTTCTGCAGCCTCCGCTGGTGATACCCAGGCAAACAGGGCCTGGAGTGGAACTCCAGCAAACTCCAGCAGACCTGCAGCTGAGGGACCTGACTGTTAGAAGGAAAACTAACAAATAGAAAGGAATAGCATCAACATCAACAAAAAGGACATCCACACCACAACCCCAACTGTAGGTCACCAACATCAAACACCAAAGGTAGATAAAACCACAAAGATGGGGAGAAACCAGAGCAGAAAAGCTGAAAATTCTAAAAACCAGAGTGTCTCTTCTCCTCCAAAGGATCACAGCTCCTTGCTAGCAACAGAACAAAGTTGGACGGAGAATGACTTTGATGAGTTGACAGAAGTAGGCTTCAGAAGGTCAGTAATAACAAACTTCTCTGAGCTAAAGGAGCATGTTCTACCCATCACAAGGAAGCTAAAAACCTTGAAAAAAGGTTAGACGAATGGCTAACTATAATAAACAGTGTAGAGAAGACCTTAAATGACCTGACGGAGCTGAAAACCATGGCACGAGAACTTCGTGACACATGCACAATCTTCAATAGCCGATTTGATCAAGTGGAAGAAAGGATATCGGTGACTGAAGATCAAATTAATAAAATAAAGTGAGAAGACAATGTTAGAGAAAAAAGAGTAAAAAGAAATGAACAAAGTCTCCAAGAAATATGGGACTATGTGAAAAGACCAAATCTACGTTTGATTGGTGTACCTGAAAGTGACGGGGAGAATGGAACCAAGTTGGAAAACACTCTTCAGGATATTATCCAGGAAAACTTCCCCAACCTAGCAAGGCAGGCCAACATTCAACTTCAGGAAATACAGAGAACAGCACAAAGATACTCCTCGAGAAGAGCAACCCCAAGACACATAATTGTCAGATTCACCAAGGTTGAAATGAAGGAAAACATGTTAAGGGCAGCCAGAGAGAAAGGTCAGGTTACCCACTAAGGGAAGCCCATCAGACTAACAGTGGATCTCTTGGCAGAAACCCTACAAGCCAGAAGAGAGTGGGGGCCCATATTCAACGTTCTTAAAGAAAAGAATTTTCAACCCAGAATTTCATATCCAGCCACACTAAGCTTCATAAGTGAAGGAGAAATAAAATCCTTTACAGACAAGCAAACGCTGAGCGATTTTGTCACCAACAGGCCTGCCTTACAAGAGCTCCTGAAGGAAGCACTAAACATGAAAACGAACAACCTGTACCAGCCACTGCAAAAACAGGCCAAATGGTAAAGACCATCAATGCTTTGAAGAAACTGCATCAATTAATGGGCAAAATAAGCAGCTAACATCATAATGACAGGATCAAATTCACACATAACAATATTAACCTTAAATGTAAATGGGCTAAATGCCCCAATTAAAAGACACAGACTGGCAAATTGGATAAAGAGTCAAGACCCATCAACGTGCTCTATTCAGGAGACCCATCTCACATGCAGAGACACACATAGGCTCAAAATAAAGGGATAGAGGAAGATCTACCAAGCAAATGGGAAGCAAAAAAAAGCAGGGGTTGCAATCCAAATCTCTTATAAAACAGACTTTAAACCAACAAAGATCAAAAGAGACAAAGAAGCCCATTACATAATGGTAAAGGGATCAATTCAACAAGAAGAGCTAACTAACCTAAATATATATGTACCCAATACAGGAGCACCCAGATTCATAAAGCAAGTCCTTAGAGACCTACAAAAAGACTTAGACTCCCACACAATAATAATGGGAGACTTTAACACAACATTGTCAATATTAGACAGATCAATGCAACAGAAGGTTAAAGAGAGATCCAAGACTTCAACTCAGCTCTGCACCTAGTGGACCTAATAGACATCTACAAAAACTCTCCACCCCAAATCAACAGAATATACATTCTTCTCAGTACCACATCGCACTTATTCTAAAATTGACCACATAATTGGAAGTAAAGCTCTTCTCAGCAAATGTAAAAGAAGAGAAATCACAACAAACTGTCTCTCAGACCATAGTGCAATCAAATTAGAACTCAGGATTAAGATACTCAATCAAAACCATACAACTACATGGAAACTGAACAACCTGCTCCTGAATGACTACTGGGTACATAACGAAATGAAGGCAGAAATAAAGATGTTCTTTGAAACTGATAAGAACAAAGACACAACGTACCAGAATCTCTGGAACACATTTAAAGCAATGTGTAGAGGGAAATTTATAGCACTAAATGCCCACAACAGAAAGCAGGAAAGATCTAAAATCAACACCCTAACATCACAATTAAAAGAACTAGAGAAGCAAGAGCAAACACATTCAAAAGCTAGCAGGAGGCAAGAAATAACTAAGATCAGAGCAGAACTGAAGTAGATAGAGATACAAAAAACCCTTCAAAAAAATCAATGAATCCAGGAGCTGGTTTTTTGAAAAGATCAACAAAATTGATAGACCGCTTGCAAGACTAATAAAGAAGAAAAGAGAGAAGAATCAAATACACGCAATAAAAAATGATAAAGGGGATATCACCATTGATCCCACAGAAATACAAACTACCATCAGAGAATACTGTGAATACCCCTATGCAAGTAAATTAGAAAATCTAGAAGAAATGGATAAATTCCTGGACACATACACCCTCCCAAGACTAAACCAGGAAGAAGTTGAATCTTTGAATAGACCAATAACAGGCTCTGAAATTGAGGAAATTATTAATAGCCTACCAACCAAAAAAAAGTCCAGGACCAGATGGATTCACAGCCAAATTCTACCAGAGGTACAAAGAGGAGCTGGTACCATTCCTTCTGAAAATATTCCAATCAATAGAAAAAGAGGGAATCCTCCCTAACTCATTTAATGAGGCCAGCATCATCCTGATACCAAAGCCTGGCAGAGACACACACACACAAAAAGAGAATTTTAGACCAATATCCCTGATGAACATTGATGCAAAAACCCTCAATAAAATACTGGCAAACCGAATCCAGCAGCACAGCAAAAAGTTTATCCACCACGATCAAGTTGGCTTCACCCCTGGGAAGCAAGACTGGTTCAACATACACAAATCGATAAACGTAATCCATCACATAAACAGATCCAACGACAAAAAACACATGACTAACTCAATAGATGCAGAAAAGGCCTTTGACAAAATTCAGCAGCCCTTCATGCTAAAAACTCTCAATAAACTAGGTTTTGATAGAATGTATCTCAAAATAATAAGAGCTATTTATGACAAACCCACAGCCAATATCATACTGAATGGGCAAAAACTGGAAGCATTCACTTTGAAAATCGGCACAAGGATGCCCTCTCTCACCACTCCTATTCAATACAGTGTTGGAAGTTCTGGCCAGGGCCATCAGGCAAGAGAAAGAAATAAAGGGTATTCAATTAGGAAAACAGGAAGTCAAATTGTCCCTCTTTGCAGATGACATGACTGTATATTTAGAAAATCCCATCATCTCAGCCCAAAACCTCCTTAAGCTGATAAGCAACTTCAGCAAAGTCTCAGGTTACAAAATCAATGCACAAAAATCACAAGCATTCCTATACACCAAGAACAGACCAACAGAGAGCCAAATCATGAGTGAACACCCATTCACAATTGCTTCAAAGAGAATAAAATACCTAGGAATCAAACTTACAAGGAATTTGAAGGACCTCTTCAAGGAGAACTACAAACCACTGTTCAACGAAATAAAAGAGGACACAAACAAATGGAAGAACATCCCATGCTCATGGATAGGAAGAATCAATATCATGAAAATGGCCATACTGCCCAAGGTAACTTATAGATTCAATGCCATCCCCATCAAGCTACCAATGACTTTCTTCACAGAATTGGAAAAAACTACTTTAAAGTTCACATGGAACCAAAAAAGAGCCCACATTGCCAAGACAATCCTAAGCAAAAAGAACAAAGCTGGAGGCATCACACTACCTGACTTCAAACTATACTACAAGGCTACAGTAACCAAAACAGCATGGTACTGGTACCAAAACAGATATATAGACCAATGGAACAGAACAGAGGCCTCAGAAATAACACCACACATCTACAACCATCTGATCTTTGACAAACCTGACAAAAACAAGAAATGGGAAAGGATTCCCTATTTAATAAATGATGCTAGGAAAACTGGCTAGCCATATGTAGAAAGCTGAAACTGGCTCCCTTCCTTACACCTTATACAAAAATTAATTCAAGATGGATTAAAGACTTAAATGTTAGACCTAAAACCATAAAAACCCTAGAAGAAAACCTAGGCAATACCATTCAGGACATAGGCATGGGCAAGGACTTCATAACTAAAACACCAAAAGCAATGGCAACAAAAGCCAAAATAGACAAGTGGGATCTAATTAAACTGAAGAGCTTCAGCACGGCAAAACAAACTACCATAAGAGTGAACAGGCACCCTACAGAATTGGAGAAAATTTTCACAATCTACCCATCTGACAAAGGGCTAATATCCAGAATCTACAAAGAACTTAAACAAATTTACAATAAAAAAACAACCTCATCAAAAAGTGGGCAAAGGATATGAACAAACACTTCTCAAAAGAAGACATTTATGCAGCCAACAGACACATGAAAAAATGCTCATCATCACTGGCCATCAGAGAAATGCAAATCAAAACCACAATGAGATATCATCTCACGCCAGTTAGAATGGCGATCATTAAAAAGGCAGGAAACAGTTGCTGGAGAGGATGTAGAGAAATAGGAACACTTTTACATTGTTGGTGGGAGTGTAAATTAGTTCAACCATTGTGGAAGACAGTGTGGTGATTCCTCAAGGATCTAGAACTAGAATTACCATTTGACCCAGTGATCCCATTACTGGGTATATACCCAAAGGATTATAAATCATGCTACTATAAAGACACTTGCACACGTATGTTTATTGTGGCACTATTCACAATAGCAAAGACTTGGAACCAACCCAAATGCACATCAATGCTAGACTGGATTAAGAAAGTGTGGCACCTATACACCATGGAATACTATGCAGCCATAAGAAAGGATGAGTTCATGTCCTTTGCAGGGACATGGATGAAGCTGGAAACCATCATTCTCAGCAAACTGTCACAAGGACAGAAAACCAAACATGGCATGTTCTCACTCATAGGCAGAAACTGAACAATGAGAACACTTGGACACAGGGTGGGGAACATCACACAGTGGGGCCTGTCGCGGGGTGGGGGCCTGGGAGAGGGATAGCGTTAGGAAAAATACCTAACATAAATGATGAGTCGATGGATGCAGCAAACCAACATGGAACATGTATACCTATGTAACAAACCTGCACGTTGTGCACATATACCCTAGAACTTAAAAGTATAATAAAATAAAAGAAAATAAAATAAAAATAAACATAAAAGTTTTTTAAAAAGTGGCATTGAGCAGACAGAAGTCTCATCAGGCCCTTTTCCCTTTGAACATCTAGCACTTTGCTGATAAACTGATTCCTAATGTACTTACCTGTCCAATATCCCTGGGAACCCACAAGCTCCTATTCTCTGAGGCACTGCAAGGTGGCTCCCAACTCTCCTCTTCATACCAGTACCTTCTACCCTGGCAGACCATGTCTCTCTCATTCCCACACTTCTCCTCCTGTACACAGCATAGCCCACCCAGCCCCGCAGACTGCCCCCTGAGCCATGTCATTCTCGAGATGCACCTGGCCAGCCCAGTGCATACTTGCTCAAGCTTTTAGACGCCATATACAAGAATTAGTTCAGAATGGATGCCAACCTACACAGTGGAGTTACTTATTCCGACCCCCTTCTCTCCATGGAAGCTAGACACGAGGCCCTCCTACTGAGGGTGAAGTGGTGTCTCATTGTGGTTTTAGTTTGCATTTCCCAAATGACCAGTGTGCAACCTCTCTATGCTAACTGGATGGGTGTGCATGTATGGGGATGTGTGTGTGCACGTGCGCCTGTGTGTTTGCAATTATAGTTAGAGTTGCTTATTATAGACAAGGAGCTTGAGATTCAGAAAATGGATGAAATGAGCCCAAATGGAACTACTTGACATATTTAATCCTTAAGGCATCCTCTTGGTGGTTTTTCACTTCTACCAAGTAGCTGTGTTCTTATTACTAAACTGGGAACTGGCTCTCCTTTCTGTGTTCCTTGGATATAGGATTCTTGGCTTAGTAAACATCTGAGAACATGGTTGACATCTATTGCCTGTGAACTTATGAAATGTTCTTTTTATGCTCTTCTCCCTGAAGGAATCCTCCATCCCTCCCACACGCCCACTCCCACCGGGGCCCTCCCCGCCTGCCTCTGGTTGGCTGGGTGCTCCTGCTCACAGACTCAGCGCAGTGGAAAAAGGAGAACGCCTTCCCGGATGGTTCCTCCATCTTTCCCTGCATCACTGCTGTCACTGAGGCACTTCATTGCTGTCTTTAATAGCTCACAAGTGGCTCTTTCTGGAACCGATGGTGGAGCAGCCCATGGTTCAGCCGGTGGGGATGCTGAGGCAGCAGTGTTGGCATGAACAGCTGGAAAGCGGGAGGGACGCTTTGCTTCTGAGACACACTAAGTGCCCACTGGCCTGGGATCCGAGATCTGGGCTTGAGCTGCCTTTGATCTGGGCTGTCAGCTGCCAAGTCTCAATTAGACGGCCTATAATACAGTTGGTTCTGGCATAAGTGCTGAGGGGGGAAAAAAAAAAAGAAAAAAAAGATTCTCCCAAATAGAAGTGAGCTCCTGACCGTAATGTTTGCAGAGGTCAGGAGTAGCCCACTGCCCTTCACTTATGGTTCTTAGCACAAAAGCCCATTGCAATGTCATACCCTTGAAAGATGCCTCCAAAAATGTGTTTAGGAGCTGGATTCCACATGCTCAGACACTGTCTAACAAATGCAAATTGCCCAAACAAAAGGGACCTGTGGGGCTTTGCAAGGGCATGGCACAACACACGTAGTCATCGTTCCAGGGGAGGAAGGGGCGGCTTGGCCGCCCTGAAGGCAGCCAGGGCTCTTGCCGAAGTGCTCGCTCATGCCAGCGCCTGCTCTCAGCACTGTTCATTCAGAGTTTGTGGGATTACATTTATTAGGAATGTGATTCATTTTCAATTCCACGGTCAGAGGGAGGTTCAGGGCAGAGCACACCGCTTTCTTCCCTGAAGCTCTGGCAGTTGATGTCCGCGCCAGCTTCACCTCCGGGTACCATTTTCAAGCTTTCATTCAAGGGGCTCATCGGGAAGAGGAAGTGCTCTGATACGCTGCAGAGGAGAGGAAACTGCACAAAGCTCCCATGCTTTTGGTGTTTTTTTTTTAAAGGGTTTTAGTCTAACTGCATCTTCTCTGTTTCAGTGGCTGTGACACCTTTTTGACACGTGTCTCTGAGAAATTGCAAGGACATGGAGAAGATAGGAGAGCAGGAGCCAGAGGGAGGTCCAGACACCAAGGTGGGATTCTGAGGTCCACTGCCCACAACAAGGTCAGCCTTGGGGGACCTTTAACAGTGATGTCTCCGGGGAGCCCCTGAGGAGGTGTGCGGCTAGGAAGTGCACCATAAAAAAACAGCGGCTCTGTTTTCCTGTGTGGCAATGATCCGTGGTGTGTCACGGACACATCCTAGCCACACGGCGCAACAGGAAAACTGACGAGTCTGTTTGCAAAGGAAGTCACTCTGGAGGGAAGTATCTGCCCAGTGACTTAAGCTTTGCTGTGAAAATAAGTGCAGGATTCAGGGTCAGAAGATCAGACTCAAGTCGTATGTCAGCCTCTGTATCTGAGATGCTCACTAAGCTTTAATGCTGTTGGATAATGGAGATGAGGTTGCGTTTCCCTACAGCAACGTGAGGGAACTGGGTGAGAAAACACACAGGGAATGGCTTTCTAGACCATAAAGCACTCTACACGTCTCAGAGCGAATCGATTAACTCTAAGGTACTGTGATCAATACCATTAAAGTAACAGGCAGGAACAAGCAAAAAATACCAGGCAGAATTCCATAAGATCTCAGATCCCTATCTAATTAGCAACACCTTTGCTTTTTTCTTTTTTTTTTTTTAACAATTTGCCTGTTGTAGGCACAGGCCAGTGTTCTCATGCACCACCAGTGAAATTATAAATTGCTACAATCTTTCTGAAAATAAAATAATGACAGATGTTTGGAGCAGGACACTGTACAACTGCTAACATTATATTCAGAAATAAACTTGATTGACAAAGACAAACTCTCCCATTGTAATGTGAAATTAATCACACTTATATACTACTTATACATGTAAATATTTATATCCAAGTCAGCAAACTACAGCCTGTGGGCCAAGCCCACCCTCCTGCGTGTGTGTAGAGTTTCATTGGCACCAGCCACACACATTCACTCAGGTGGTGCCCATGGCTGCTTTCCCGCTGTAACAGCAGAGTTCAGTAGATGCCACAGAGACCTGCAAAGCCTGAAGTATTCACTCTCTGACCCACAAAAAAAAAAAGAAAAAAAAAAAACAGTTTTCCAACCCTTGATCTGTGTCAGAAAAAAAAAAAAAGACTGAAAAGTACTCTCAATTGTCAACAATGGTTTGAGTATGTTGAACCCTTATAACACACATTCATTTTAACAGTTGTGTAGAGGTGGGGCAGTGTGTCCAGTATAATAATACTCAGGAAACTCTATACAGCTTTTGTCCCTGAATAACAGAGACAACTTCTGAGAAATGCATTGTTAGGCGATGTCGTCGCTGTGCAAACATTACAGAGTATACTTACGCAAACCCAGATGGTATAACCTACTACACACCTAGGCCATATAGTATGGCTTATTGCTCCTAGTCTACAATCCCATGCAGCATGGTACTGGACTGAATGCTGTAGGCAGCTGGAACACGATGGTAAGTTTCTGTGTATCTAACCATAGCTAAACATAGAAAAGGTACAGCAAAAATATGGTATAGAAGATTTTTGTTAATGGGGTACCTCTATCGTGCACTTATTACAAACAGAACTTGTAGGCCTGAGGTTGGGCATGGTGGCTCACACCTGTAATCCCAGCATTTTGGGAGGCCAAGGCAGGCGGATCACTTGAGGTCAGGAGTTCGAGACCAGCCTGGTCAACATGGTGAAACTCCATCTCTACTAAAAATACAAAAACTTAGCCAGGCATTGTGGCAAGTGCCTGTAATCCCAGGTACTCAGGAGGCTGAGGCAGGAGAATCACTTGAACCCAGGAGGCAGAGGCTGCAGGAGCTGAGATCTCACCACTGCACTCCAGCCTGGGCGACAGAGTGAGACTCTGTCTCAGAAAAAAAAAATAAAACAATAAAAAATAACTTGGAGGCCTGAAAGTTCCTCTGGGTGAGTGAGTGAGTGAGTGGGTGAGTGAGTGTGTGAGTGGGTGAGTGGGTGAGTGAGTGACTGGGTGGGTGAGTGGGTGAGTGGGTGAGTGAGTGGGTGGGTGAGTGGGTCAGTGAGTGAGTGGGTGAGTGAGTGAGTGAGTGGGTGAGTGAGTGAGTGAGTGGGTGTGTGAGTGAGTGAGTGAGTGGGTGGGTGAGTGGGTGAGTGGGTGAGTGAGTGAGTGGGTGAGTGGGTGGGTGAGTGAATGAGTGAGTGGGTGAGTGGGTGAGTGGGTTGGTGGGTGGGTGGGTGCGTGGGTGAGTGAGTGAGTGGGTGAGTGGTGCATGCATGTGAAGACTTAGGATATGTCTGTACCTTACTGTATACTTTATAAACACTGTATACTTGGGCCACACTACATTTATAAAAACGAATTTTCTTTTTTCAACAATAAACTAACTTTAGCTTGTTGTAACTTTTTCACTTTATAAACTTTTTCATGTTTTCTTGTAATAACAGTTAGCTTAAAACACATATTGTATAGCTATACAAAAATACTTTCTTTATATCCTTATTATATAAGCATTTTTTTGTTTTCTAATTTTTTTTTTTTTTTTTTTTTTGCTTGTTATGCTCTTTTGCTAAAAACTAAGACACGGACACACACATTAGCCTAGGCCTACTCAGGGTCAGGATCATCAATATCCCTGTCTTCCACCTCCACATTTGGTCCCATTGGAAGGTCTTGAGGGAAAATAACAGGCATGGAGCTGTCACCCCATCACAGAAGACTTTGATAACAATGACTTCTTCTGGAACACCTCCTGAAGGACCTGCCTGAGGCTGTTTCACAGTTAACTTTTTTTTTTTTAATAAGTAGAAGGTGTACACTCTAAAATAATAATAAAAGCATAATATAGTAAATACATAAGCCAGTCACATGGTCGTTTATCATCATTAGCAAGTATTATGTACTGGACATAATTGGGTGCATTAGACTTTCAAATGACCAGCAACACAAGAGGTTTGTTTACACCAGCATCACCGCAAACACGAGTCAGGTGTTGCACAGGCGTCATGAGGGCCACACTGGTACCAGGCAATAGGACTTTTCAGCTCAGCTCCAGTATCATCTTATGGGAGCACGGTGGTGCAAGCATTGGGTTGTTGACTGAAACATTGTCATGCAGCTCATGGCTGCATTGGAAGGCCAGGGTCAGGAGAGGGAGACACATAAGGTCAACGGCTTGTAGAGATCCTGAATGTGACCTGGGGAAATGCCTTTGTTGGGGGTGGGTTGTGGGAAAGGTCCATGAGTGTGGTTGCTCTACAAGAGTCAGGATGAGGCAGTGGGGAGGAAATGGTAGCTGCAAGTGTGGGCTACTCAATACAAAAAGTTTGTGGGGAAAAAAAAATCTAAGCACAAGCAATAGATGTGTCAAACCGACGTTTGTCTCAGGAGGGAGGAGACCAGGCAGTGCCTGCAGGCGTAACCGTGGAAAAGTGGGGTGCAGGGCTCTGAGGTGGGGTTCTGCCACTGCAATCAGTCAAGAGCAGCAGGCCTGACTCTAGGGACACCTCCTCTGGAAAATTAGAAATCCATTTTCCAAGTAATTCTACTTGTGTTCTCTCACTTTTCAGATTTATTTCTGGCAATATCTTCTGTTTCTTTCCTTCCCTTAAAAACATGACTTTTTAAAATAAATCCTCTATTTCTTGGTCAACTGGCCAAATATCACATACTTTGCTTGTCAAAATTCAGTCCTTCTAAGATGTTAAGGACAAAACACCCCCAAACAACTGGTCTGTTCAGAAAGGGAAGCTATTATATAAGAGCAGGTTGTGAATTTTTTTCAGGATGTGAAAATATACACTTTAATTTCACAAGTTACTAATTAGTATAGTAGGACAAAGTCATAATCCAAAACAATAATCTTTATTACCAAAATAGAGATTAAACACAATTAAAATGAACAATATTACCAGCCATAATTGCTAATCAATTAGCCGAGAAGCTATATTACTGTAATCTTCCTAGTCTCCACTTTGCCCTTCCTATATCTTCTCAGTGTTTATAAGATGGAGATGAGTTAAAAGGACCCATCTGCAAAGCCCTTTTTTAATTATAGGCTTGGCATCCAGCCGCCTCATCCTCTGCTGTGAGCATTTCCACCCACCTGGTGCGTGGGAACCCGCCCCCTAATTTTGAAGGTCAAAGCCAGGTCCAGCAGGCATTTTCCAGCTGCATGGGGTCATCACAGCCATCAGCAAGCCCAACAGGCAGCATCTACTTCCCCAACTGTCCTCCCGTCTTCCTACTCCAAACACCCACATTCTGAATGTCCAGCCCACATAGCACACGCACAGCCTCACTTTCATAAAGGCCAGACCACAGGATGTGGTAGAGCATAGGAATGATTAGTCTTTCATCGCTCACGACAAACTACAGGGAAGGTTGACCCCCATGCCCAATGAACTAAGAATCCAAAATGACATGTTGAATTTGTGAACATAATCTTTCTCTGAATGTTAAAACGACATCAGCCACCCCCAGCAAGAAGGTTGTGAACATCAAATTTCATGGCTCACCTTATTTTTTTTAAGTGTGGCCGAAGCTAACTTCTGCAGTCTGAGCCCTGTCCCCGCGCACGGGTTGGATGGAGCTCTGAGGAGTCAGATGCAGACTCGGTGTCACTCACCTACGGCAGGCCTGATTGGCCATGGAGTCTGGGCGGGACAAAGGCCTCCTTGGGAAGGAAAAGCCCCCGCTGCAGAAAGAGTCACTGTAGAGGGCAGGGGCATGGGTGCAGATGGCTTCAGACAGCCCCTGCTCATTAAGAACTCTTGTAAATCTCTGAAAATCAGGCTGCATGGTGGGGAAATACCAGGCATGGAAGCACCCTGGTCCCCAGACACCGCATCCACCCCATTCCCTTCCAGCTCCAGTGGAAAACGCACTCACCAAGGGCTCTTTTGCCTCCTCCCTTCTGTCAGCCACTTTGGATACAACAGAGTGGATTCTCTACACCAGGCAGTGGAGAGCGGCCCTTCCCAGCTCCTAATGCCTGCAGACGGGGTCAGGCTTGAGGGCCAGCCCGGAGGAAGATGCCACAGATGCCACTGCCCGTGTCCAGCTGGGAGTCACCTCTCTTCCTGCCTCTGCTGGCTTATGCCACACTGTGCACAGCTGTGGACAAGGTTTGCAGACGAGGGAGCTGCCCCACAGGTTCAGTTGTGTGCTCTGAACCACCCCCCAGCCCCAAAAAGCATCAGGAGGGCAAACCAGTTGCCAAAGAAGGAAGCTCCCAGAAACCTCTAATTGCCCCAGCCAAATTTTAGGGCCAACCAGATGCACTTGCTATGAGAAACCCCAGGAGGTATAAAGGAGAAACTGAGGCTCAGGAAAGCAAAGGGGTTTACAGGAGGCCACACAGTCCATCTGTGGAAAGACAAGGTCCTCACTTCTCCCTTCTGGGCTGGCCACTCTCTGAGTCTCCGAGCCATTCTCTGCATTCGTAGCGGGGCCCTCTGCCCTCTGCCCTCCACCTGCCCTGGCCACCCCCCCCCTCCACTGTGTGTGCCAAGAACCCAGGACCCTGCTGTCCCTGGTCTGCCATGACAGGTCTCTCTGCAGGCCCACTGCCTCCTGTTCTGCATGTTCGGGCCCCACTGTCAGCCAACCCTTGCCTGGGAATCCTACCCCGATCCCACCTAACACAGCAGCTCAGAACCCCCAGTCAGTGCGTTCAGGGAATCCCTCCACCCACGGCCAGGAAAGGGCCTTGGTTTGTGTCCCTGGAATAAGACAAAGAGCTGAACAGGCTGAACAAAACTCCCGTGGATCAAATCTTAACTCTCTGTAATTCTCTTTGGTTAGTAGGGAAAGGCCCACACGGTATCTTCATCTA
Organism: Homo sapiens; assembly: GCF_000001405.40. Lineage (NCBI taxonomy): Eukaryota > Metazoa > Chordata > Mammalia > Primates > Hominidae > Homo > Homo sapiens. The sequence continues at coordinate 128,215,732 of NC_000010.11, read as the reverse complement.
AAATCAAACCAGAAGAGTCCCTCTCGGTGTCCCAGGGCGCAACTTCCTGTAAGGCTAGCGAATAGGATACACCCAACCCCCAGGACGCTGGTCAAGGATGCAGGGCAAAAGGTCTACAATTACTATCATGTTCTATTCACTCTGAGCACAGAAGGCTCTGGCAAAGCAGCTAATTAGAAGCACGGGGCTTTATCTGTAAGGGACATTCCATCGGTGTTTAAACGATGCTGGGCTGGAGTTGGAGACTGGACACTGGTTGCTTAGTATTTCCTGTAGGGAGAAGGAAGCAGAATAATTGTTTTGAGGAAAAATAATCACCTGGGGACTCTGCATGCCCAGGAAGTCTGACAAGACCAAGTAGGAGCGAACACACAAAAGCTGCCTGGACTGCTTCTTTCTCATGTGAGCTTCTGCCAGGTCTCTGGGGTCTCAGATCAGAGATCAAGGTCTCTTCTGGAGGACTTTGGAGAAGAAAGGAATGTGAGACTCTCGGAAGGAAGAGCACGACCTTGACCTCAGAAAGTCCTCACTCAACCCCCAGTGACCCCCGAGATGAAGGCCCTGCCTTTCCCAGGCACCTTTGGACTAGAGGCTCCGACAGCGTGCACTTACCCGAGCCCGGCAGAACCAGCCTCTTGCAGAACCAGGTGCAAGGTACAAGCAAGGAGAGAAGGAGACAGAAAGAGGATTTAAAACTTTGCTCATAGATATTCTTCCAGTGCTGTTGAATACGGCTCCTTTGTTTGTTTCGACAATGGATCTTATCTTTTGGTGAAGGCTGTGTTCAGGACTATTATTACCCTATATGAAAGGCTTGCCGGCTTTCTTCCCACTTGTTCAGCGGCACCGGAGTGGCAGAGCAAATTTAATCGAAGAACCAGCTCCTGGGAGAGTCTTCCGAGACTCTCCCCTTCCTCCTAATGCTGTTATCTCCCCTTCCTTGTGTTGGGGAAGCATAAAAATCACAAAAAAGTCATTCTGAGTATATTCTTCCCGATAATTATTGTCAGGCTCAGAGATAAGTGCCCTACGTGATGTAACGTGTGTTAGGCAGACCCCCGAATGCAAATCCTGCTTCGGTGGCCGCCAGACAATGCTCTCCCCCACATCGCTGGGGCCTCCGCATTTTGCCACAGACAAGAGAGCGCTTTGATTTTTTGTGTTTTGATAAGGCGCAATCTGGGGGCCTTTATCTCCACTGTTATATTTAAAGATGACATTCTGGCCCTGCCGTCTTACCTATTGTTTTGACCCTGATTATCTCCGAATGTTGTTGTTTAGTCAACCACCAGCCTCTATCTTCTCAGCATTCACCAGCTTAATGAAAGGCCTGCTCCCAATTTAAGGAAAATTATTTAAATGCAGAGTATCCTATACACCATGGTTTCCAAAAGAACTAGGTGGTTAATCAAAAGTTAATTGTATAATTCTCATGCAGATTAGGGCCTCTCGCAAATGAATCCCAGGTTGTGATTATTAAAAAAAAAAGGGAGAGTGTGGAGCAATGCACAGAGGCCCACAGTCTGGTAAACAATCAGCCCCGGTTTAATTTGTGGTAAACAAAGTGATGATACACTAGGGGTCTCCAAAGGAGAAAAAAAGGTGAAAATAAATTAAAGCACAACATACAGATATGATCTTTTTGTTTGAGGCCATCTTTCAAAAACATTAGCTAAATGAATAAAAGGCAACCCATTAATATTTACCGGAAGCCGGGAACTGTACAAAGACCCGCAAGTCCATAATTATACTGCAATTTTAGGTGGGGGCCTGGGCAGCAGGTGGCCACTCTCCTCCACCACAGTGGCTTCCACTGCTGCCCCCTCCGCGGAAAGTGAGATAATGTCCACGTCCCTCCTCGAGGTCTAGGGGCAGCACACCTGACTACCTTGCTTTGTCTTCCAAGTGAATGTCAAACCTGCCCTGCCTGGGGGATGGTTGGTGGTGAATAGTCTGCATCCGATCAGAAATTGGCAGCCAGTCCCCACTGCAGGCTCCTAGAAGAGGTGGGGGGTGTTTGCAGGGGGCGAAGATCTGCTGGAATGTGGAGAAAGAAGGGGCCTGAGAAGCTTCTTCCTTGGTCCTCATGGAGCATGGAGCCAAGGCTCTGCCTAGCAGGGGTGACCGCAGCCTCGCCCGCATTTCTAGCAGAATGAACACAGTTCCAACGGCCTCCACCCCTAGGGAAGACACGAGTCTGATCATCTCTCTGTTGAGTTACGTGGGGTGGGGACAAGTCTCTGGACAGGTAGAACCACCAGCCTCTGGGCAATGGGAAGCGTTCCGGGCCCTGCATCCTTCTCCTCAGGTGCTTTCATATAGCAGGGATTCCATGACAGAATCCTGGGACAGGTTGGAAGTATTTTTGCCAAGATAAGTTGTGGAAATCAGCTGTGGGGCTGCACATTCTGGCAGCTCTCCTGACATGCTGCATTAATGCGTAAGTTTCCTTGCTCCCAGATTCCAGGCTGAATTTTAAAAGAATGAAATAAGTCTTCCCACTCTCCAACCGAACAACTCTGTCCCTGCTTGGAGGAAACAACACTGAAGACCGTGAATAGAGAGAAGGGTCACTCTGGCTAGCTCATTCTGTGACCCTCCCAGGAAGGGCTCCTAGTCTGCCCCATCCACCCACCGCCCGGTGGGGCCAATCCCAGAGCCGTCACTCCCAAGGCAGCAGCCTTCCATTCCTCTTATTTCCACCACTGCACGGAAAGGAGGCCAAGATCTAACCAATTCCTGGGAAGCTGCGCTGGTGTCTCCACAGCCGACACACAGCCTCCTTCTCAGGCAGTGGCTGCGTTTTCTTTCCCCGTTTGTTGTGCCTGTCTCCTGGGGCACCATAACTAAGTCCCACAAACTGGGTGGCTTAAAACAGAAATTCATTGTCTCACAGCTTAGGAGATAGAAGTCCAAAACCAAGGCGTCAGCAGGGCCTTGCTTCCTCTGAGGCCTCTAGGAGAGGACGCTTCCTGCCTCTTCCAGCTCCTGGTGGCACCAGGAGCTCCCTGTCTTGTGGCCACACGACTCCAGTCTCTTCCTCCACCGTCACACAGCGTTCTCCCTGTGTGTCTCTGTGTCTTTGCAGGGCTGTCTTTTTATCAGGGCACCAGCCATTGGGTTAAGGACCCAGGGACCCACTCTACTCCCGTATGACCTCATCGTAACTAATTAAATTTGCAAACAACCTGCTCAAAACAAGGTCCCGTTCTGAGGTGCTGGCTTAGGACTCGGACATATCTTTAGAGGGGTGGGAGGGGAGATGCAATTCAACCCACAGCAAAGCAGTGGGGCTCTGGCTTGAATGCAGCCTCTGTCATGAGCGACCTGATTCCACCTCGCACCCTCCACTGATGTGAGCCATCTCTCCCTGGATGCTAGTTACAGCCTCAAAGAACGCCCCTTGGGGCTGCAGACAGAACTCCGCCCTCATGGAAGAAGCTGCCGGCAAGTGCTGGGCAGAGGGACTAGCTGGGAGGAAATGAAAGCAATTCCTCCAAGATGCTGTCCTCGGGGAGCAGCCTGGCCACCCTGCCTGAAATTGCTGCCGCTGACACCTGCAAGCAAGAAGCTCCTCCGGCCGGGGCTGGCTCCGCCCACTTCTCAGGCCCCGCTGGGCCTCCCGCGGCCGCAGACGCGCGCCCTCTGGCGGCCCCGTCTGGACGCACACGGCCTTGTCCATAGCCCGGGCTAGATGAACTCCCAGCCCCGCCGGCTGGTGACACAGGTGGCACCTCTGCCATCGTGGAAAACCTGCAAACTGACTTTTCAAACTAGCCACCCCGTCCCTCTCAGGCAATACCAAACAGCTGGTAATTCATGCAGAGCAAACTACCACGTCTTAATAACGGAGAAGAGCCCCGGCTCCTAAACGGGACTGTGGAAGGCCGACTCCCTGGGCCGCAGCAGCAGAATTTTATTTCTCAGGACTTTCATGGGCTCTCAATCAGGCCACCGCAGCCACCTCATACATCTTAATAAACCTTACATCAGAGAGAAAGCTTTGAAACGAAATTGTCCAGTAATACGCACTTTCCAATCGAAACACATGGGAGTCTTTAAATATTTACCGCACATAAATAAAGCATGCTATGTAGCTGGCGCTTCTTAGCACCTACGCATGCCACGTATCAATGGACGCTGGATGTCAATATTGATGTATAAATAATAATATTAAGCACAGAAATACACCGCGCCGGGAGAGGTCTAATCGCACTGTCCCCTGGAAATAAACGTTTCTCAGGGCTGTTTCTGAAGGTGGGATATTTGTCTCCCTCCTCACTTGACCCTGAGGGGATGGAGGGCAAGGTGGAGAATGCCCTGAGCAGACACCGGTGCACCGCAGTGCACAGCCAGGGGTGCCACTCCTCCACCTCCGGAGAGACCGGGCGAGGCATCCGCAACCGCGTCAGAGCCTGGCAGCGGCCTGGCAGCATCCCCTGCCCTGGGCCTCGCTAAGGTTCCATGAGGGGTGCGTGGAGCTGGAGAAGAAAGGTGCGAATTCTGCGCTTCCCCGAGGTAGCCCCGGGCGAGCAGGGGGCCAGCTCCAGAGCCTCGGGCCACTGCGCCATTCCTCCCCCTGCGGGAGCTGCTGCTCCAAGGCTGTCCCTGCTGCTCCCGGGGGAAAGGGCAGGGCCGCCGCGGTGGGCGCTGAGCAGGTGGGCTCCAGTCGCCCCTGACTCCCAGGCTGCGCTCCCTGCCAGGCCCGGAGGATGCGCCCGGGGGAGGCGCCCTGGAGGCCGCGCGGGCACCGGAAGCCTGGGGGTGGGCCCCACCCGCGGACAGGTCCTGCTCTTCAGGCTGAGAGTGTGGGCATCACCCGCGAAGACGCCCCGTGGGACAGCAGGGGCGCTGTTCACCCCACCTGTGGGATCGCAGCGGGGGTTGGAGGGAAGGGGGCGTCAGAGATCCCCGGGGCCCCAGGGGTGCCCGGGGCCCCGCGGGAACGCGCAACGCGGCGGGGCGGAGGTGGGGCGTGGCCGGGACAGGCAGGGGCCGCAGGAACTCGCCCCTTCCTCAGCAGTTTAGCCCGCGGAGAAGCGGCACCGCGCCCCCCACTGACGAGGAAACGGGGGCGCCTAAAGGCCCCGGGGTGCTCGCAGAGAAGCGCAGCGCTCCGCTCCCCGGGCCGCGCGGCCCAACCTCCGGAGGGACTGCCCGGGACGTGGACGTGGAGTCTCGCGGCCGCCCCTGGCCCGCGGCCACCCTCCCTGTGTGCTTGAGAAACGGAACCCAGAGGCCTGGCCCGCTCTAGTGGGAGCAGAGACGCCACCCGCGGGCGAGCGGAAGCCTCCCGTGTCCGTGTCCCCGTCCCCTCCCCGTCCCCGTCCCGTCCCCTCCCCGTCCCCGTCCCGTCCCCGCCCCGCCCGGGAAGGCGCGCTCGCCCTCTGGCGGCCGGCCCTGGAAGGGACGCCGTCCGCGGCCGGACTCCACTCCCGTCCATCAAACCAACAAGGTCAAATGCAATCTATTTGTAAAGGCCGCCTCTGATTACTGTGGCAACTGGAGACATCACTGAACCCAAAGTGTGATTAAGCTGCTCCTTGTTCCATATTAATTTGGGAAGGAAAACAGCTTCATTCTCGCTTTTCCACACTCCCTCCTCTGTGCAGGGCATGCCCTCGCTGGCGGGGCTTCCAAGCCCAGGCTCTCCTCCCACGCGGGCCCTGCGGGCTTCCGCAGGCAGCACGGGACAGGGCCGCAGACTCTCAGGCAGCCTGTGGTATGATGAACTGGTCTGCAAGCAAAGAGCCCACCTCCTCAATATTCGTGGGCACTTCCCTTTGAGGGAAGGTCCTGGGGCCGGGCTGCAGTTTCAGGCCCAGCGCAGCAGTCTGCTCCCCCAGGAGCTTGCGCAAAGCCCTTCAGCCCTGTGCCCTATTTCCTCAATGCAGAAGGACATAGAGCCCCACGGGACTATGTGAGAATTAAATGGGAGAATCCATGAAAGGCACTCTTTAAAAATAAACTTAAGGCCAGGCGCGGTGGCTCACACTTGTAATCCCAGCACTTTGGGAGGCCGAGGCGGGCAGATCAAGAGGTCAGGAGATCAAGACCATCCTGGCTAACACCGTAAAACCCCGTCTCTACTAAAAATACAAAAAATTAGCCGGGCGTGGTGGCGGGCGCCTGTAGTCCCAGCTACTCGGGAGGCTGAGGCAGGAGAATGGCGTGAACCCAGGAGGCGGAGCTTACAGTGAGCCGAGATCGCGCCACTGCATTCCAGCGACAGAGCGAGACTCTGTCTCAAAATAAATAAATTTAAAGTTTTTACTTAGAATGGTTTTATAGAAAAGTTGCAGGTAGTACAGAGGTTATCCTTCCCGTTGCCGACATCTTACATGAGTGTGGCACACCCCGCACCACCAGTGAGCCAATATTGATACACTATTATCAGCTGAAGCCCTTCGTTTATTCCCATTTTTTTTTTTTCATTTTTAACTAACGTCCTTTTCCTGCTCCAGGATCCCAGATCACATCTGGTCCTCCTGTTTCCCTAGGCTCTTCTTGGTGATGTCTTCTCTGACTTCCCTTGTTTTTAGTGACCTTGGCAGTTTTGAGGAGTACTAGTCAGCTGTTTTGTAGAATGTCTGTCAACTTGGGTTGGTTTTTCTGACGTTTTTCTGATGATTAGATTGGGGTTAAGGGGCTTGGGGTTCCGTTCACACGATATCATATCAACAGTGCATACTCTCAGCATGTCCACAGCATAGATCATTGTTGACCCTGATCGCCTGGTTGAGATAGTGTTTGTCAGGTTTCTCCGATGTAAAGTGACTCTTTTTCCCTCTTTCCAGGCTGTCCTCTCTGGAAGGAAGTCATTCTGCACAGCCCACACTTACTCAGCTGGGAGTTAGGCGGCACCTCCTGGAGGGTGGAGTGTCTACGTAGATTATTTAGAATTCTTCTGCAGGCAAGATGTGCCTTTCCTCCTCCATTTATTTAATCAGCCATCTATATCAGCATGGACTCATGGGTATTTGTTTTACACTTTAAGTCTTAATTCGGTGCTTTTTTTTATTGACTTGTTCTTAGCTTTGGCCATTGGGAGGTCTTTCAGTTCCTTCCTGTGTTCCTTTAACATAGCCTTAGCATTCTGCTTTTTGAGCACTGACTTCCTTCCTGGCACTACCAGATCCTCCAGGCTCGTCTTGTATATTTCCTGCCCCAGTCCCAGAATTGCCCATTGCTGTAAGCAACTCTGTTTCCCTTTATTGGAAAACGGTATTATAAACCAAGCTCTGGACACAGAGCATACTTGTTGCAATTGGGGGTCATTGCTTCAAGAGGGACTTTTAAAAATCTAGCACACACTAACTGCTCAATAATTGTTGGTTATCAATATTATTAGTACATAGTAGACATTGTACTAAGGGCAGGGGATGTAACTAGCATGTGGAATCAGTCCTCACTGTACTCACAGCCTGGGGGCAAATATGCACTTGTGAAAAACTCTGCTGCACTGTGAGAAGGGCTTTGATGGATACCCAAGGTGTTCAGGGGCACAATAAAGCGGCATTAGAAATGCCACAGAGGACCATGGATGTAAATTATCCTCCGCTGGACTGTTACATGAAAGAAGCAAGCTAAACAATAACATGAATTGTATGATCCCAACTTTGTCATATAAATGAGTGTGTGTGTGTGTGTGTGTGTGTGTGTGTGTGCATTCCAGGAGGTAATTTTTATTTCTAGTATTGTATAGTATGTGGAAGTAACTGGTATAGTTGCCGTGATATGCACTATCCTTACCTCTGAGTGGTGGTATTATAGGTAAGTTCTATGTATTCCTTTTTGTGCTTATCTAAATTTTCTGAAATAAATTCATGAGTATGTCCAACTTCTTTAAACGAATGTTTGGAAGCTAGAAGAAAGGAGCTGGTTTGCTTTCTAGCCAGAAGGTTCCACGGGTCCCTTCTGAGATGCCAGGCAGACCCACGGGAGGGGGCAGGGAGCTGTGGGTATTGGTGGCCGGTGTCTCTGGCACCTGCAGGCCATGCTGCCCGCCGCCCGCCTGGGTGAGTGACGGGGTTGGTGATCTTTGGGGACAGACAGCCACACTGGGGGGGATACTGAGACTCAGTGAGGACTGGGGGTTTTTGTATAAATGTATGGGGTTCGAGTGCAATTGTTACATGCATTAATTGCATTGTGATCAAGCCAGGGCTTTTAGGGTAGCCAGCACCCGAATAACATGCATTGCACCCATTAAGTAATTTTTCATCTTCCACCCTGTCCCACTTCTCACCCTTCCAAGTCTCTGTTGTCTATCTAATTGCTGTTTTGTTCACTGCTATCTGCAGGGCAGAGGGTAGGTGCTCAACAAATTTCTTTAAATGAATTTGTTTGAGAACCACTAAAATGCTGGTACTTGCAAAGTCATAATCAGAAATGTGAATTTTGCTTTTGAGCCAAGAGGACTGTTCTCATCATCTTTCATTTATCATCGTCTGAGTCAAGTTCTTTGTCGCCCTCCCACCAGGCCCATTCTTGGAATTCTGGGGGTTCTGGGGCCTTCTGCAAATCTGGAGCCAAGACCCTATGATGCCCAGGGGAAGGGTGCCTGCACTTGCTGCCCCTTCCATCCTTCCCTGCCCTTGGTGTTCAGCCCTTGGCCCCAACCACATACTCAGTGTGACTCTGGACTCCAGGTGGCCTGCCCTGGGGACAAACAAAGCCTTTCAAGTGGCCAGGCCTGGAACTAAGGGTCCACCCTGCTCAGGCCTGGCCAGCAGCCTCACCCACCTCACTGGAGAGGACTCAAGCCCCCACTGGAGCTGCTATCCATCTCTAGTGACAAACCTGGGGGCAGGGCTAAGGCCAGGAGCCGGCAGTGCTGAGAGTCTAATGGAGGGCATGGCGGAAGGTCCTATGCAGCAGGGGCCCCAAGGAGTGGGGACTGCAAGGTCGGACTGGGGTTCAGAAGAGAACTGGTCCCACCAGGGAAATATGACTCACCAGGGCACAACAATGGGTGACTCACCTGGGGACCCTTTGGGAGACAAGCTTGGGAATGTACCGATGGGGTGTTCTGCACAGCTTTGTGAGCACCAAACTTAGGTACAAAGGTAATTTCTGAGCCTAAGGAGGGATGGGGATGAGCCCCACTTGACTTGTGGGGTCCAAGCCTGTGAGATGGGGGTCTGCAGGACAACCAGCCAGGAGGAGGCCCTGAGCTGACCCACAGGGTGCCTCAGGACAGCTTTGGGGGACAGTCCTATGCACTCAGGATAAGTGCTCCCCGTGTGAGATGACACCACCCAGAGCTAGGTTATTTTGCAGGATCTTTTCACATGAGCAGCAAAAGCATTTCAGACTCATGCTTTTCACTAACCTCCTTATCCACTCACCTTGTTTCTTCAGATCCCATAGAGAATCCTTTAAAATCTCACTATGCCCCAGGGACAAAGTGCTCAGCACAGTGCACCACCACACACATTTGCGTTGCTCAGAATCCAAGGGACACAAAAGAGAGACTCATTGGCCAGGTTGGACACACAGCATTAGGCTTCCAGCCCCTGTCTTGGAGTCCCCCCGCCAGAAGGCCCAGACTATCTCCTGTTTGAGACCAACACCCTCCCCGCCCCTAGTCCCATCACTGGAGCTCAGTAAGGCATAATTTATTTCACTTTTATTAGTTTGCTTTTTCTGATTGCTAAAGACATTAACTCCCATGTTTGTGGCAGATTTTTTTTTCACTCTTATGATTGACACTCTTAATTTGGCTTGTTATTTCTGAGGTATACAAGTTTTAAAATTTTTATAGCCAAATTTATTGGCCTTTTTTGTTTTTTGAAACAGGTTCTCACTCTGTCGCCCAAGCTGGAGTGCAGTGGCATGATCACAACTCACTGCAGTCTCAACCTCCTGGGCTCAAGTGATCTTCCCACCTCACCCTCCTAAGTAGCTGGGACTAAAGGCATGAGCCGCCACACCTGGCTAATTTTTGTATTTTTTGTAGAGACCAGGTTTTGCCATGTTGCCCAGGCTGGTCTCCAATTCCTGAGCTCAAGCAACTTGCCATCCTTGGCCTCACAAAGTGCTGGGATTACAGGCGTGAGCCACTGCACCCAGCCTGACCTTTTCTTTATGATTTCTTTTACTACACAGAAAGTCAGCTTTCCTATGGGAAAATACAATAAAATTCATTTCACTCATTCACGTAATACACATATATTAATTCTAGGGGGATTAATCTAAATGTTTTTAAAATTAAAAATATGTACAAAACAGAAAGGAAAACATTTACATTGCTTGGTGTAGGGAAGTTCCTCTCAAAATAAATAATACTCAAAATAGATAAAACTTCATTAGAATAAAACAATGGATTTGGTCACATAAACTTCTAAATGGCAAAAGGCACTCTATCTACATATATTACCAACAATGAGCTAAAATCTATTCTACATAAGGCACCATTACAAGTAAATAAGAAAAAGACAGGCTGGGCACAGTGGTTCACATCTGTAATCCCTGCACTTCAGGAGGCTGAGGCAAGAGGATAGCTTGAGCCCAGGAGTTCAAGACCAGCTGGGCAATATAGTGAGACCTTGTCTCTGCAAAAACTAAAAAATATATTAGCCAGGCATGGTGGCACACACCTGCAGTCCCAGCTACTGGTGAGGTTGTGATGGGAGGACTGCTTGAGCCCCAGAGGTTGAGGCTACAGTGAGCCAAGATTGTGAGCCACTGCACCTCTGCCTGGGCAACAGAGTGAGACTAAGTCTCAAAAACATATTGAAAAGGCCAGGCATGGTGGCTCATGCCTGTAATCCCAGCATTTTGGGAAGCCAAGGTGGGTGGATCACGAGGTCAGGAGATGAAGACCATCCTGGCCAACATGGTGAAACCCCATCTCTACTAAAAATACAAAAAAGCTGGGCATGGTGGCATATGCCTGTAATCCCAGCTACTCAGGAGGCTGAGGCAGGAGAATCGCTTGAACCAGGGAATCAGAGGTTGCAGTGAGCCAAGATCACACCACTGCACTCCAACCTGGCTACAGAACGAGACTCCATCTCAAAAAATAAAAAATAAAAAAATTAAATTTAATTTAAAAAATAAGGGACAAAGGCATGTAAATGATATGGGCAAGGTATTCATAGAAGGAATTTAACTGGTTTAAAATGTTCAGCCATACAAGTTAATTAGGAAAAATGCAATAAAAACAAAAATATATTGGCACTTTACTATCTACCAGTTGGCAAAAAATTGAGACTATCTTTTGTTGGTGACAGTATAAAGGAACATGAACATTCATACAGTGATGAGAGGAATTTAAGTCAATATCACCTTTGTAGAGAAATTTACAATAGCTATTAATATTTTGAATGAATACATCATTAGACCCAGCAATTACAAAGCTAGAGATGTTTTCTATTTAAATACTTGCACGTTGCAAAAAAATATCTAACAGGATGCCCACTGAAGCACTACTTGTAATTGAAGAAACATGGAAATAACCTAAATGTACATTTTGAGGATGGTTTAAATAATTTATAGTACTATATTCTATAGAATGTTCTGCTTTTAATAAAAGAAATAAAAGATATCCATATGTCCTAAAAAGGAAAAGTATTTATAAAATGTTAAGTGGTGGGGAGGGGATGGGGGAAATAAGTTGTAGAATAATATATATTTTTGTGTTAGAGTTTTTTTTTTAATGTCTTCTATTTGTACCTCATTTCTTCTTTCTTGTTAGTTAATGAAAATTGCAAGGGTGTTAATTTACTTTTGCTTTCTGCTTGGGGATAAACTGACATTTTTATGCATAAAAGTCTTATTTTAATTATTTTCTTTATTTCCATGTTTAATTATATTTTATTTTCTCTTTGATAATTTTTATTTAAGAAAGTGACTTTTAATGTTCTGATTAGTATGTTGGAAGAGTTTTTTGTTTGTTCAAAGGTGTATCCATAATTTCCAGTTTATTGGGTCCTAATTAGAGAATGTGGCCTGGTCAGTTTCTACTTCTGGGAACTTTCTGAGATTTTCTTTGAGTGCTGGTGTATTAGTCCATTCTCACACTGCTATAAAGACATATCTGAGACTGGGTAAGTTATAAAGAAAATAGGTTTAATTGTCTCGTGGTTCTGTGGGCTGCAGAGGCTTCTGCTTCTGGAGAGGCCTCAAGAAACTTACAATCATGGTGGAAGGCAAAGGGAAAGCAGGCACATCTTCACATGGCTGGCAGAAGAGAGAAAGAGAAAGCAAGAAAGAGAGAAAGAGAGAGAAGTGCTACACACTTTCAAACAACCAGATCTCATGAGAATTCACTCACTATCACAGGTACAGCAAGAGGGAAATCTGCCCCCATGATCCAATCACCTCCCACCAGGTTTCTCCCCCAACACTGGGGATTACAATTCAGCATGAGATTTGGGTGGGGGTGCAGAGCCAAACCATATCATTCTGCCCCTAGACACTCCCAGATTTCATGTTCTTCTCACATTTCAAAACACAATCATGCCATCCCAACAGTCACCCAAAGTCTGAACTCATTCCAGCATTAACTCAAAAGTCCAAGTCCAAAGTCTCATTTGAGACAAGACAAGTCCCTTCTGCCTATAATTCTGTAAAATCAAAACAAGGTACTTCTAAGATACAATGGGGATACAGGCATTGGGTAAATGCTCCCATTCCAAAAGGGAGGAATTGGCCAAAACAAAGGGACTGCAGGCCCCATGCAAGTCCAAAACCCAACAAGGCAATCATTAAATCTTAAAGCTCCAAACTAATCTCCTTTGACTCCATGTTTCATATCAAAGCCACACTGACAGAAAAGGTGGGCTCCCAAGGCCTTACACACCTCTGCCCCTGTGGCTCTGGAGGGTACAGTCCCTGAGGCTGCTTTCATGATCTGGCATTGAGTGCCTGTGGTTTTTCCAGGTGCACAGTGAAAGCTGTCAGTGAATCTAACATTCTGGGGTCTGGAGGATGGTGGCCCTCTTTTCACACCTTCACCAGGCAGTTCCCCAGTGGTAACTCTGTGTGGGAGCTCCAACCCCATATTTCCCCTTTGCACTGCCCTAGTGGAAGTGCTCCATGAGGGCTCTGCCCCTGCAGCAGACTTCTGCCTGGACATTCAGGCATTTTTATACATCCTCTGAAATCTAGGCAGAGGTTCCTGATATGGTTTGGCTGTGTCCACACCCAAATCTCATGTTAATTGTAACTCCCACAATTCCCACATGTCATGGGAGGAACTAGGCAGGAGGTGATTGAATTATGGGAGCAGGTCTTTCTTGCACTGTTCTCACGATAATGAATAAGTCTCATGAGATCTGATGGCTTTAAAAACGGGAGTTTCTCTGCACAAACTCTCTCTTTGCCTGCTGCCATCCATGTAAGATATGACTTGCTCCTCCCTGCCTTCTGCCATGATCATGAGGCCTCACCAGCCACATGGAACTGTAAGTCCATTAAACCTCTTTCTTTTGTAAATTGCCCAGTCTCCAGTCTCATACTACTCTTTATCAGTAGTGTGAAAATGGACTAATACAGCTCCCACGCTTCAACTCAACCTCTGCACATTCTCAGGCTTAACACCACATAGAAGCCACCAAGGCTTCTGGTTTGCACCCTGTGGAGCAACAGCCTGAGCTGTACCTTGGCCCCTTTTAGCCAGGGCTGGAGCTGGAGCAGCTGGGAAGCAGGGCACAATGTCCCAAGGCTGCACAGAGCAGTGGGGTCCTGGGCCTGGCCTACAAAACCATTTTTCCCTCCTAGGCCTCCAGGAGGTCTAGGTGGGAGGGGCTGCCACAAAGGTCTCTGAAATGCCTTGGAGGCATTTTCCCCATTGTCTTTGCTATTAACATTTGGCTCCTCTTTACTTATGCAAATTTCTGCAGCTGGCTTGAATTCCTCCACAGAAAATGGGCTTTTCTTTTCTACCACATGGCCGCACTGCAAATTTTCCAACTTTTATGCTCTTCTTCCCTTTTAAATATAAGTTCCAATTTCAGATCATCTTTTTGCAAACATATATGAGCATACACTGTTACAAGCAGCCAGGCCATGTCTTGAATGCTTTGCTGCTTAGAAATTTTGTCTGCTCAATACCCTAAATCATCTCTCTCAAGTTCAAAGTTCAACAGATCCCTAGAGCAGGGGCACAATACCGTCAGTCTCTTTGCTAAACCATAGCAAGAGTGGCTTTTACTCCAGTTCCCAATAAGTTCATCATCTGTATCTGAGACCTCAGCCTGGACTTCACTGTCGATATCATTACCAGCATTTTGGCCACAACAGTTCTACAAGTCTCTAGGAAGTTCCAAGCTTTCCCTCACCTTCCTATCTTCTTCTGAGCCCTCCAAACTGTTCCAACCTCTGCCTGATCCCCAGTCCTAAAGTCATTTCCACATTTTCAGGTATCTTTATAGCAATGCCCCACTTCTCTGATACCAATTTTCTGTATTGGTCCATTTTCACACAGCTATAAAGAACTACTTGAGATTGGGTAATTTATTTAAAAAGAGATTTAATCAGCTCATGATTCTGAGGGCTATACAGGGTTCTGCTTCTGGGGAGGCCTCAGGAAACTTACAAACATGGCAGAAGGTGAAGGGGAAGCAGGCACATCTTCATATGACTGGAAGGAGAGAGAAAGAAAAGTGCCACACACTTTCAAACAACCAGATCTCATGAGAACTCACTCACTATAACAAGAACAGCAAGGGGAAAATCCACCTCCATGATCCAATCACCTCCCACCAGACTCCTCCCCCAACATTGGAGATTACAATTCAACATGAGATTTGGGTGGGGACACAGAGCCAATCCGTATCAGCTGGTATACATATTGTGTATGTTTGATGAGTTCTTGAAGACATGATGTACACTCTATAAGTTGCATCAGCACCCAAATCATTACATCCTCATCGATTACATTACAGAATCTTCTACATCTTCATTCATTTCTTACCTCCTTGTTCTACCACAGACCATAGACCCAGCAAAGGCATGCTAAGTTTTCCCATAAATGTCATGTTCTGTTCATCTCTCACATTCTCCTATTCTCATGGAAATGTCTTGAGTCCATTTCATAAAGGTCATAGTCTTTCACAAGTTTTTGAGCATGATAAGCATTAGATTTCTAAATTTTTACCTGTTTCTTATGGGAAATACTTGTAAGAGGAAGGCTTTTACTTTAAAACTTCCTGATACCCTATCCTGCAAAGATGTTCAAATAGCCTAAATTGTTTTGCTTTTGTTTCCTGTTTTCTGGGTAAGGGAACTTCTGACCACTGCTGGCACACATGAGCGTCACCCATTCTGTCCCCTCTTGTCATTTTTCCCTCTGGCTGCATCAGGTGGGCATCTGGGCTCCCGTAAATGGGAAAGGCAAGTGGTTGAGCATGAACCAGCTCAGTGGCCAGAGCCCCACCAGTGACATTTGGGCTACTCTGCTGAATTCTTCCTGGGAGAGCTGCCCAGAGTGTCTGTTGGGATCTCCCAGCAGGCTTGAGATGGATGCAGTTTGCCTTCCTCTTCAGTGTGAGGAGGAAGAATGATCCATTTATACCTGTATCCACTCATTTGTGCAAAAAGAAACAGGAAAGATCAACCAGAAATGAATGAGATTCATACCTGCAGGGCAGTAGGAAGGAAAGAGGTAGAAATGATACGAACAGGGGTAAGGGAAAGAAATAAAGGACACTTCTCTGAGGATGATATTTGCATAGTTCTGGCTTTTAGAACCATGTTAGTTCACATACTCAAAAAAAAATTTAACGAACAAGAGAAGGGGGGCACTCAAAATGGAATTCAAACAGAAACAAGTGAACCTAAATGTACTTCAAATAAAAAACATAAGCACACTGAAGAAAGCAAAAAAGAACTTAAAATGACTTCTGAGCACAGCATTGTATTCACACTTTAGCACTTCAGGCTAAAATCAAAACAAAAAAAGCTGTAGAAAATAAAGATTGAACTCCAATTAGTCAATTTGTCTTTCATAGTGGTATAGGTTGGCAATTCCAAAAATACTTTATGTATATTTTAGAATTGAGCAGAGAGGTAAATATATAGTGAATATTGAGAGCCAAGTTCTTCACTATTGAGAAACAAAGTTATAAAAGTGGAAAAGAGGAAAGTTAGAATGAACCCCATGATGTTGGATTAAAATTGGAGGTATCAGCATGGATGGAAAGACAGACAGATACACACACACACACACACACACACACACACACACACACACACACATACATTTCCTAGCCCTGTCTGCTGATGAGGAAATAGCTGTAATGGGCACACCTAGGGCCCAGATCTTGATTTCTAATTACCATTCTCCAATAAAAGGAACCAGGGCTCCTTGGAGAAACGAGTGATTTCCAGGAGAATACAGGAAAAGGCAAAATAAACCTAGAATATCATGTTGTGCCAGAAATTATGGAACGTTCAAAGAAAGATGGGAGCATGTCAAAAGGACACAGGAGCTGGCATGAAGGAGGTTCCAACAACCTAATCTGGGACACTTTGAACACCAAAATAAATCATGGCAGCAACAGGTTATAGTCCACAGAATGCAGTAAGAATCCATGAGTCCATACAGAGATAGGTACATTTAAAATAATAAAGAGAAAGGAGGAAAAGCTCTTTCTTACAGTCAAATCCTAAGTCAATGTAAAAGGAATGATGGTGTTTTTTAAAAAAATCTCCATTGGGCAACGTCATCATAATTGTTTCAGGCAAGAAATATCAATGGGCAATAAAGCTAGCAGGTAAGAATATCATAAGAAAAAGGTAATTATGGAGTTTCCAAGAACCACCCCCAAGACACTTAATACTTACAAATAACTAAATAGAAATAACTTTACAGTAGAGAACCCTGGCATATCCTACCCTAACCAGGTGGAAGTTCACATCACCAGTAAAGAGACAAATAGGGGCCAGGCATGGTGGCTCATGCCTGTAATCCCAGTATGTATATATATATATATATATATATATATATATATATATATATATATATACTGTAATCCCAGTATATATATATATATATATATACTGTAATCCCAGTATATATATATATATATATATATACTGTAATCCCAGTATATATATATATATGTGTGTGTGTGTGTGTGTGTGTGTGTATATATATATATACACATATATATATACACACACATACACAAAAATTGGGAGGCTGAGGTGGGAGGATTACTTGAGTCCGGGAGGTGGAGGTTGCAGTGAGCCAAGATCATGTCACTGCACTCCAGCCCAGGCAACAGATTGAGAACCATTAAGTAAAATAACTAGCCTGCCTCCCCCTCCTCAAAACCATCAAGGTCATGAAACACAAAGCGAGCCAAGAAGCCATTCTAGGTTAAAAAGAGTCTGGGGAGTCCAGGCGTGGTGGCTTATGTCTGTAATCCCAGCAGTTTGGGAGGCTGAGGTGGGTGGATCACAAGGTCAGGAGTTCAAGACCAGCCTGGCCAACGTGGTGAAACCCCGTCTCTACTAAAAATACAAATATTAATTGGGCATGGTGGCAGGCACCTGTAATCTCAGCTACTCAGGAGGCTGAGGCAGGAGAATTGCTTGAACTCAGGAGGCAGAGGTTGCAGTGAGCTGAGATTGTGCCACTGCATTCCAACCTGGGCGATAGAGCAAGACTCCATCTCAAAAAAAAAAAAAAAAAATGAGTCTGGGGAAGCAGGACAAGTAAATACAGTGTGTGACTCTTGACTGGCTCATGGGGGAAGGGGCAAAAAGAGATTGTTGTAAAGGACACTGGCAGGACAACCGGTGGAATCTGAGCGAGGTCTATAGATTAGATACATTATGGTAGCAGCACTGACTTCCTTATTTTGTTCATTGTACCATGATTATATATGAAAATTCTTGTTTTTATAAAATATACACTGAAATATGTAGGGAAAGAGACATTCTGTCTGCAATTTACTCTAAATGGTAATGAGTAAGATGTCTATACAGAACAATAAAGCAAATGTAAATATTAACATTTGGGGATTTTTGAGTGAAGGTATCTGTGTTATCTCTGCAACTTTCCCGTGAATCTAAAATTATTCCAAAAAGAAAGTTGTTGAAACTGCAAGTATCCCCACATGTGGTATATAACAAGAGAACTAACATCATTCAGGCTTGCAAGCTAACCCCCTAAAAATGAACTGGTTCTTCTCATAGGGTCTCTTTAGGAGAGAGGAGTCCTAGGAGCTTCAGTTTACTGGAAAGGCCCTGTGAAAATGTCTCAGTAGAATCTCCTAGAGCTTGCCAAGAATACCCAGCTGTCCTGTTCAGCAGCACCCACAGCCCCGTGCCTCAAGAGGCTCATTGGAAATTCAGTGAACTCCCTGTAAGAGTCTAAAGGGAATGAAAGCACAATACAAGGGAAGCTGTCTACATATTTAAGATCAGTCATATCATCCTCCTATTTTTTCTTTCAGAATGTTTCCTTCCATCTCCTTGAGCAGCTTCTCACCCTCAGCACTGCTGACATCTTGGGCCAGGTGATGTTTGCTGTGGGGACTGTCCTATACATTGTAAGATGTGGCAGCTCCCGGGGCCTTACCCACCAGATGCAAATAGGGGCAAAATCTGCCCTGGTGGAGACCCACTGCTGTAGAGCCACCATTTCGGCAATGTTGTGATACGGATCCAAACTCATTTCACACTTGGAAATGTTTCCTAAGTACATGACTTTCCTGTTGATGTTCTAACATTGTGAAAATCTGAGACAGTGCCTGCCATTATTTTGAGATGCAATTTTTGGGTTGTTTTTTGTTTGTTTGTTGTTTATTTGTTTTTCTTTTGAGATGGAGTCTCGCTGCAATGCCCAGGCTGGAGTGCAATGGCGCGATCTCGGCTCACTGCAACCTCCACCTCCTAGGTTCAAGCAATTCTTCTGCCCCAGCCTTCCAAGTAGCTGGGACTGTAGGTGCGTGCCACCACACCCAACTGATTTTTGTATTTTTAGTAGAGATGGAGCTTCACCATATTGGCCAGACAGGTCTCAAACTCCTGATCTCAAGTGATCCACATGCCTCCCAAAGTGCTGGGATTACAGGCATGAGCCACAGCACCCAGGCTTGTTTTGGTATTTTTTTTGGACATTTATTGATAACTTAGTAAGTACCAATCAATGTACTAAGCACTTTACATGCATTTTTCTCTTTTGATTCTCAAATCACATCTAGGAGACTTAGCGTGTGTTCTAAGCCTTGCCAGAAAACAACCAAACGTTAGTTAAAAGCAATTTCTATACATGCCTACACCTACCCCCAAGCAGGCCCTTGCAAAGTTCCTGGAGGCATGGCTGGCTCTGAGACACATATATAACCCTGAAGCCTGAAGTAGCAAAGCCCACAGTACCACCAAAAATGTAACCAAAATGCAATGTGTCCCTACAGATAAAGAAATGCCTCTTCACTAGTAGTGAACACAATTGATTATCTACTATGTTCCTGTACCATCTTTTGACTTTTTTTAGAAGACAGACAGAAAGCTAGCTAGCGATTGTCATTTGCAAAGATGAAAATAAATTTGCAAGGAATTGTTGTTAGTGTAAAGCAGAGGTCAGCAAACTTTCTCTGTCAAGGGCCAAATAGTAAATATTTTCAGCTTTGCAGGCCATAGAACCTCCATTCCAAAAACTTACCTCTGCCACTGCAGTATGAAAGCAGCTACAAGCAATATGTAGATGCATAAAAATTACACCAAGAAGTAGCACATGTCACCAAATATTGTTCTTTTGATTTTTTTTCCCAATAATTTAAATATTAGTCTTAGCTTGCAGGCAGTACAACAACAGGCAGCAGGCTAGATTTGGCCCAAGAATCATAGTTTGCTGAACCCTGGTTTCATAATAGCAAAGACATGGACTCAGCCTAGGTGCTCATCAACAGTGGACTGGATAAAGAAAATGTGCTACGTATACACCATGGAATACTACACAATCATTAAAAAGAATGAAATCATGTCATTTGCAGCAACATGGATGCAGCTGGAGGCCATTATCTTAAGTGAATTAACGCAGGAATAGAAAACCAAAAACCGCATATTCTTACTTAGGGAGCTAAACATTGAGTACACATGGACACAAAGATGGGCACAATAAACACTGGAGACTACTAGAGAGGGAGGAAGCACTTTGGGAGGCCGAGGTGGGTAGATCACCTGAGGTCAGGGGTTCGAGACCAGCCTGGCCAACATGGCAAAACCCCCATCTCTCTTAAAAATACAAAAATTAGCTGGGCGTGGTAGCACATGCCTGTAATCCCAGCTACTTGGGAGGCCGAGGCAGGAGAATCGCTTGAACCTAGGAGGCAGAGGTTGCAGTGAGCCCAAACCATGCCACTACACTCTAGCCTGGGTGACTGAGTGAGACTCCAGCTCAAAAAAAAAAAAAAAAAAAAAAAAAAAAGAGGGGTAGGAGGAAGAGGAGTGTGGGCTGAAAAACTACCTATGAGGTCCTATGCCCACTACCTGGGTGATGGGACCCGTAAGCCAAACCTCAGCATCATGCAATACACCCTGTAACAAACCTGCATCAACCTCCTGGATCCAAAATTTAAAAAATAAAATAAAGTAAGAAACGTCTTAATCCCAACCAAGCTGGGAGGGACCCTGGACACCAGCTCAAATTAAGAATAAAGAAGTAGAAGTCGGACTCAGAAAGAAATGAACAAATGCACCTATTCCCATCACACGAGAGGCTTGCAAAGAAAACACTTCACATATTTGGAATGTGAAAATCAGAAAACACTCAGGGTCAGCATGCCCTGCCCCATTAACTGCTGTCCACACAAATGAGTTTACCTCGGGCTGATCTGAACAAGCCAAACGCCCTCTTTCCAAGTGCATTAATCACTAAGGCTGCTCTCTGAGCAGGTGAATTGGTTTTACCAGCAAAACGCACGTGTAAGCCCCTTTCTGACTGAGCACCGAGCTGGATTCTGGGGAGAAAATCTCACCTCCAATTCCTGCTCTCCAGAGGGGGAGGTAGGTGTTCCAGCTCACAGTAGACAAGGCTCAGGTAGACAACCACTGCAGTAACAATACGCAGACGCCAACCCGCTGCCAGGAAGTCATATTGGATGTGATTCGGAACACGGGCAGATGCACAGTGAGCATTGTGCACGCAGTGCTGTTCCCACTTAAGTGAACAGCAGTCAGAATCTTCTAAAGGTGCCAAGAAGTAAAGGAGGGGCCAGGCGCGGTGGCTCACGCCTGTAATCCCAGCACTTTGGGAGGCCGAGGCGGGCGGATCACGAGGTCAGGAGATGGAGACCATCCTGGCTAACACAGTGAAACCCCGTCTCTACTAAAAATACAAACAATTAGCCGGGCGAGGTGGCGGGCGCCTGTAGTCCCAGCTACTCCGGAAGCTGAGGCAGGAGAATGGCGTGAACCCGGGAGGCGGAGCCTGCAGTGAGCCGAGATCGCGGCACTGCACTCCCGCCTGGGAGACAGCGAAACTCCGTCTCAAAAAAAAAAAAAAAAGTAAAGGAGGGAAATGCAGTATTCAAACTTGCTATGACAATGGAAGCTGCCTTTAAAAACAAGGGGAAATTCCTGCAATGTAGAATCCCTAGATACAATGCAGCCTGCTTTTTGTCCAGAAAGGAAACAACTGGAAAACGGAAATAATCATGTTTTCCTTCTGTAGGTGCTGCTGCTGTATGAGATGCTTCTCCAACACCAAGAAGCACTCTAATAATCCTAGTAGACTCTAATAATAACTTATTCACAAACTCCAACCAGTATGGGCCTTGCCAGGCCCCATGAGAAGTACTTGGCTACATTATCTCACCCAGTCCTCATAGCTCTGTGAGACCAATGCTTCATAAGCCGCATTTTTACAGATAGGGGCCCCCAAGTTAGAAGTCAACTCACTCACTTGAGATCCCACAGCCAGAAGTTAAGCCAGAATTCACACAAGGGCTGCCAGGCTCAGAGCCTCTGTCCTCAATCCCTGTTCTACCCAGCCTATGGCAGCAGACACCTGTAACTTACGCTTCATCGGGGATTGGATTTGATTTAGGGGATTGTTGGTGTTAAATACATTTCATTTTCCTTTAATAAATGCAAAATAGTAATAAGTATTTATGATGACTCTCAGCTACCAGGGTATTCCATCAGCTGCAACTGGCCATGAACCAACCCTCTGTCCCTTCACACAGCAACATTCATTCAACCCCATGTCTCAGTACTAGGGAAATGGAAAGACGGTCATTGATCCTCAAGGACATCCCATTTAGAAGAAGAAAAGACAGGAAATCACTTCCAACATGGTGTGTTACTGTCAGGCCAATAATGTCCAGAACGGTAAAAGTATAAAGAAAAACTAACCCAACCCAGAGAAGTGTCAAGGAAAGCAAGATAGAAGAGGCGAGGCTTGAGTGCTTACTGAGGAACAAGTAACAGTTTGCCAGAATGAGAAGGTGAGAAGGACGCCCCAGTCAGAGGGGCCATCTGGAAAAAGCATGGCTGCTTCTGAAATCCCCCAGGGTGTGGCTGCAACATGGATGTCTATGGGGGCATCATCCAGATGCAGAGGAAGAGGGAGCCACATGGAAACACCCAACTTGTCATTTTGGAACTTGAACTTTATCCAGAAGCTTCCCAGGAGCCACTGGAAGATTTAAGAAAGGTCCTAGCCAGGTTTGCATTTTGGGTAGGTAGCTCTCTCTGCTGACAAGGCAGGGAGAATAGGATGGGAAGGGCTGTAACCACACCAGATGCGGTGGCTCATGCCTGTAATCCCAGCACTTTGGGAGGCCAAGGCAGGAAGATCACCTGAGGTCAGGAGTTAGAGACCAGCTTGGCCAACATGGCAAAACCCCATCTCTATTAAAAATACAAAAATTAGGCCGGGAGTGGTGGCACATGCCTATAATCCCAGCTACTCCAGAGGCTGAGGCAGGAGAATCGCTTGAACCCGGGAGGCAGAGGTTGCAGTGAGCCACTGCTCTCCAGCCTGGGTGACAGAGCGAGACTCCATCTAGGAAAAAAAGAAAAAAAAAAAAGGCTGTAACCAGGGGCATGGAAAGCTGTAAGAAGCTGTAATCCAAGTGAAAAGTAATGAGGAACTGATTTAAGGCTATTTCATCAGGGATGAAGAGAGATGGACACATTCAAGAAATAATGGTGAGAAATTAACTGCCAGCAATATATTTAATACATGTATCCCAGGTGGAAAATACGTGTAACCTATCTGACCAAAAAAATAAAATTGACTCATGGAGCTAAGGACAGATGTGTGACCTCAAGAGAGTCAACCCATTGGCTTGCCAGTGATTTTTATGAGCATGGCTCAAAGAAGAGCTGGGCTGGTCAGATTCTGTCTTTAGAGACACAGAGACTTGCGGGGGCTAGAGCCGAAAGACCATAGAGTAAGGTTGGTGGCCAGGTTGGATCATCCACAAGATAAGACGGCAGAGAAAACCATGGGGCAGGTGGGTGGAACAGTATCAAGGGAATCACAGGAGGTAAGGCCATGTGGCCTTCAAGAGCTGGAAGAAGACGGTAACCGATGGCTGGGTTCCAGGCAGCTCCCAGCACCAGTTCACAGGAAGCCTGGGTTGCTTCTCTTCCTGCTCATCTTCACATCACTGCCTCCTCACAGCATATATACACCCACACACCACATATACCATATACACACTATATATATATAGTCACGACCCACTTAACAGCAGGGCTGTGTTCTGAGAAATGCATTGTTAGGTGATTTCATCATTGTGCAAACATTGTAGAGTGCACTTACACAAACCTAGATTTTATAGCCTATGACACACTGAGGCTAAATGGTATAAGCCATTGTTCCTCAGCTACAAACCTATACAGCATAACTGTACTGAATACCCTAGGCAGTTGTAACACGATGGTAAGTACTTGTGTATCTAAACATAGAAAGCGTACAGAAAAAAAATATGCTATTATAGGCTGGGTGTGGTAGCTCAAGCCTGTAATCCCAACACTTTGGGAGACCGAGGCAGGCAGATCACTTGAGTTCAGGAGTTAGAGACCAGCCTGGCCAACATAATGAAACCCCGTCTCTACTGAAAATACAAAAATTACCCAGGCATGGTGATGCATGCCTCTAATCCCAGCTACTCGGGAGGTTGAGGCAGGAGAATCACTTGAACCTAGGAGGCAGAGGTTGCAGTGAGCCGAGATCCCGCCAGTGCACTCCAGCCTGGGTGACAGAGCGAGACTCCATCTCAAAAAAACAAAAAAACAAACAAACAAACAAAATGCTATTATAATCTTATGGGACCACTGTCATATATGTGGTCTGTTGTTGACCAAAACATCATTAAGCAGTATATGACTATCTGTATATCACTATGTATATTACTATATATATGTAATGTATACACACCATATATACCATATACAAATTTAATATAATACATATATAGAGAGACAGAGTCATGCATTGTATAACAGTGTTTCAGCCAACAATAGACTGCATATTTTACAGGGGTTCCATACAATTATAATGGAGCTGAAAAATCTCTATGCTTGGGGATATCATAGTCATCATAATGTAGCAGAACACCGTGCTCACATGTTTGCGATGATCCTAGCCCTGTGTAGGCATAGGCTAATGTGCACGTCTGTGTCTTAGTTTTTAACAAAAAAGTATAAAAGTAAAAAAAAAAAAATAGAAAATAGAAAAAAGCTTATAGAATAAGGATATAAAGAAAAGAAACATTGTACAGCCAGATAATGTGTTTGTGTTTTAAGCGAAGTGTTATTAAAAGAATCAAAACGTTTAAAAAATTTTAAAGTTTATAAAATAAAAAAGTTACCACAAGAGAATTTTTTTTTTTTTTTTTTGAGACAGGGTCTCACTCTGTCGCCCAGGCTGGAGTGTAGTGGCACGATCTCAGCTCATTGCAACCTCTGCCTCCTGGGTTCAAGTGATTCTCCTGCCTCAGCCTCCCAAGTAGCTGGGACTACAGGCATGCACCACCATGCCCCACTAATTTTTGTATTTTTAGTACAAATGGGGTTTCACCATGTTGGTGAGGCTTGTCTCAAACTTCTGGCCTCAAGTGATCCGCCCACCTTGGCCTCCCAAAGTGTTGGGATTATTATACAGGTGTCAGCCACCGCACCCGGCCTGAGTAATTCTCTTTATAAACTTCGTGTGGCCTAAGTGTAGTGTTTATAAAGTCTACAGTTGTGTATAGTAATGTCCTAGACCTTCACATTCACTCACCACTCACTCACTGACTCACCCAGAGCAACTTCCAGTTCTGCAAGCTCTACTCATGGTAAGTGCTCTATACAGGTGCACTATTTTTTCTCTTTTATACCATATTAATGTTATCTTTTATTACCATTTATACCATATTTTTATTATAATTTTTCTCTGTTTACATATGGTTAGATACACATATACTTATTCTGTTACAACTGCCTACAGTAGTCAGTACAGTCGCATGTTGTACAAGTTTGCAGCCTAGAGCCATGGCTAGATTACACGGCCTAGGTGTGCAGTAGGCAATGCCATCTAGGTTTGTGAAAGTGCACTCTATAGGGACAGGGAGAGCATCCGGAAGAAGAACTAATGGATGCCAGGCTTAATACCTAGGTGATGCGTTGATCTGTGCAGCAAATCACCATGACACACGTTAACCCATGTAACAAACCTGTACATACTGCACATATACTCCAGAACTTAAAATAAAAGTTGAAAGGGGCCGGATACGGTGGCTCATGCCTGTAATCCTAGCACTTTGGGAGGCCGAGGTGGGCAGAACACCTGAGGCCAGGAGCTCGAGACCATCCTGGCCAACATGGTGAAAACCCATCTCTACTAAAAATACAAAAATTAGCTGGGCGTGGTGGTGCACGCCTGTAGTCCCAGCTACTGGGGAGGCTGAGGCATGAGAATCACTTGAACCCAGGAAGTGGAGGTTGCAGTGAGCTGAGATCGTGCCACTGCACTCCAGCCTGGAGGCAGAGTGAGACTCTATCTCCAAAAGAAAAAAAAAAAAAAGTTGAAGGGAAAAAAAGTGCACTCTTGTGATGTTTGCACAGTAATGAAATCACCTACTGATACATTCTCAGAATGTGTCCCTGTTGTTAAGCAACACATGACTATATATATATAATATCAATATAGATATAGATATCACTCTATGTGTGAATACCAAATATTAATAGTAGTTATCAGTGCATAATGGACCTAGACATGTTGTTCTTGTTTTTCTTTCTACATTTTGTATTCTACAATAAAGATGTAGGACTTTTATAATAAGGCATTGTTTTCCTAAGCAGTTGAATTGGATGCAAGAGCAGGTGACAATCCTGTCACTCCCTGTTCCTGGCAGCCACCTCCACCGCACTTCACCAGATTCTTGACAGTGTCTCCTCAACATCTCCTGATCTCATCTCTTTCTCTCCACCCTCGCCTCCCTGCTCCACTCCAAGCCGGCATTGTCTCTTGCCAATACTATTACAACATGACATCGTCCCCTCTTTCCCACCATCTGACACCCACCCTGAAGCTAGAGTGATCCTCTAAGTAAAAACCACATGATGTGCCCCTCTCTTTCTTACCCCACTTGAGATCCTTTCATGGTCTCACTTTGCTAAGAAATAAAGTACAAAGTCTTTAGTGTGAGCTGAGGAGTCCTCCAGGATCTGACCCCAGGGCACCTCTAAGACCTCATCTCATGGGGGTGGTTAAAGGTGCATCCTCCAGAGTCTGAGGGCATAGGTTCAAGTCCTAGTTTTGCTGCTCACTCCACTTCCCCCTGCCCAGGTATTTCCATGTGTCCCCACCTGCCTTCTGCAGAGCTCTGGGGGCGCTGCCTAACACCCAGGAGCACTCAGCAAATGTTCGCTGTCACTGTCAATGTGTGAGCACCTTGCATATTGATTATTGCTGGGAAAGGAAAAGGGACAACTGAAATGATTCTTGGCTTTCTGATTGCATCATTAGCTGGAAAGCAGAGCTGTTACCAACAAAATTCCCCAAAGGAAACAGGTTTGATGAGTTCAGCTTTAGACTTCCTAAAGCACCTGGGGGGACAGAACTGGGGCTCAGGAAGGACATTCAGCTCAGAGATGGTCTCAAGTTGCCAGCTGACCAGTGGTTGTAAAAGCTGTGGTGTGGGCAAGATGATCCAAGGGAAATAGATGGGTGGGGTGAACAGAACCTCGGAGAACCAACATTCAAAGAAACTGGTGAAAAAAAAGAAACCCAAGAAAGAGGCCAGAGAAACTGGCCTGAAAGGGTTAAAAAAAAAAAAAAAGGCAAGGCTAGCACTTCAGAAGCAAGACAAAGAAGGGTGCCAAGGGGAGGGGGTGGCTGAAGAGCCAGGCACTTAGGTCTCACCAGTCCAGGAGCATCCATGTGTTGGGTGTAACAGGCTGGCAGTCACCAGAGCTCTCTCTTCTCAACGTTGGAATCCTCATGAGGTGGAAATGAGCACACACATCTAAGTATTTTTCTTGTCACATAGCTGGGATGCTTTGTTTTTTGGGTTTTTTTGTTGGGGGCAGTGGTTCTTGCTTAAATCTCACCTCTCTTATAAGACTCCTCCCAGCCATCCTTCTAAATAGACTACCTGTGGCCCCTCCATCCCTGGCATCCTTGATCCCTTGCTCAGTTCTGCTGTCCCTTCTTTCTACACCACGTTCACCTTCTAACCTGCTGCATGATTGACTGATTCCAGTCCTCATTTGTCTTCTGAGTCTGAGCTAGCTACAGGAGAGGAGGATGCTTTATTCGTTTGTTCGCTGACATAGTTTAAGCACTTAGAACAAGGTTGGTACCTCGTGGATGTACAATAAATATTTGTGGTCAAAACAGTTTTGATATACTACAGACCCACAACCAGGTCTCTTAGGAGTTGGCTGGGAAGACAGCCTATTACCCAAAACTTTTCCTGTTTGGAAAAACTCTCTGAAAACACCTCCAGGACCAGTCCTCTTCTCTTCTAAGCAATACTGATGAGAACAAATGCCTCTTTCATTTTCATTTGAGGCAGCTGCAGCTGCCTCGCCCCTGCTCCCGGATACACTTGGGCTTGAGGCGTGAATCTCTACAAAGCCCTGGTGGGGAGGAACCCGAGACTGTCCCCAGACAGCGACCTCCTGTGCAGCTGCCGTAATGAAGGAACAGACCTGAAAGGCAGAACCCACTGGGCTCGCTGCCCCCGAAACAGGGCGCAGAGGAGAGGGCTCCTCCCCATCTCCCTCAGCTGCACCTCGTCTTCTCTCAACATCAAAAACAGCTCTCCAACGATTTTTTTTAATGGAACAGAAAAACTGTTCTTTATCAAGATAGAGCAGGGCAGCCATGTGCTTTTCATAAAACTGATTACAGAGACCAGATGAAAGAAGTTGACGGGGTCAAGCTGCATTTTGCCTTCCCCCGTGTTCTAGGATGGGGAAATGTTTTTCATTATATTCGTTAAAAGTTCACCACCATCTGATAAGAATCTTGAGAAAGGGCATGCGTGTTGCTAAATTAGCCCTAAAAGGGGACAACTTAAAGTAAAATAAATCTGACTTAAACATGAGCTCAAGTTACCCACCTCGGACTTCCAGAAGGGATGGTTGCTAGGAAGCATTTGAAAGGGGCTCATCCAGCCAGCCACAGTGGCACCCAAGGACTAGGAAGCATGGCAGTCTCACCATAATTATAATAACTGGAACACATTGGCCGGGCATGGTGGCTCATGCCTGGAATCCCAGCACTTTGGGAGGCCAAAGCTGGAGGATCACTTGAGGCCAGGAGTTTAAAACCAGCTTGGGCAACATAGCCAGACTCCCATTTCTACAAAAAAAAAAAAAAATTAACTTTGCCAGCTGTGGTGGCATGCACTTATAGACCCAGCTACTGAGGAGGCTCAGATGGGAAGATCACTTGAGCCTTGTAGTTTGTGGCTGCGGTAAACTCTGATTACAGCATTGCACTCCAGCCTGGGTCACAGAGCAAGACCCTGTCATATAAAATAAAATAAAATAAAATAAAATAAAATAAAATAAAATACACACTCACATTTGCTTTTGTACATTTACAAGCTGTAAAGGCCTTTCACATTGACTTATGAATTATAAACCCTCTCATAGATTTTAAACCCTAGCTAGTTGTTTTTGCCATTACTCTATTAGTCAGTCATATATTCATTCAACACATACAAACTGAGGGCCAGGCCTCTGCTCATAAAAAGACACAGTGCCTGCTTTATGAAACAAGGTCCATCTGTGGCATAAAAACAAAACAAAACAGATAGTTTAGAAACAAATTTTTCTAATTGTTTAAAAAATCATCCAGAACTTCCCTCAGAGATAACAACTATTAACATTTTGGTAAAATTCTTTCCAACACTTTCTGTACATAAATATAGAAATAAATGGGTGATTACAAAAATAAAATATTCTACATCATATGGTAGAGCCTGTTTCTCCAGAAAATACTATTTATTTCACTAAATATTCATCTGCAGAAGCAATTTTAATGGCTTCATCTCTCAAATTCTTTTCCAGTGTTTTCATTCATTGGTAGTTAAGAAGTGTACCTTTTCAAACTGCTATGGTACTGGACCCTTCTTTAGCCTCTAAAGAAGCCAGGAAGAAAGGACCTGGGGACCATACAGACTTTTCAGGAAAGGCAGGACTACCCCATCTCAGTTCAAAAGAAGGGGAAAGATTAACTCCCCTGTAAAGTGGTAGAGAACATCCCAGAGGTACGATAAAGTGTTGGATAAATTTTGCTTGGGGCAGTTAGGGAGGACTTCTCCCTATAGCTGAGTTTAAGTTGATGGGAATGGACATTTAAGCCAGAAAATAATAAATTCTGGAAGATAGAATTTTTTTCTTTCCTCCTTTACCTCATCCTCTTTTCAGCAACCCCAAAGAGTTGTATACTCCCAACCCCCTATCCCTATACATGTGCTAATTCTGTTCCCTGGAGTCTAAATGCCTGCCACCCTCATACGTAGCTGTCAAGATCCTCCTGGTTTTCCTGCCCCTGCACTGAGTTGAGAGATTTCTGACCCTTTTCCTGTAATGCCCAACAATGATTCAAAGTAACACACAGAGATCCAAACAGAGATCCAAACAGAACCACATGAGAAGTGTATAGAATGCACTAAAAATAAAGTATTGCAAAAGTTAATGAACCTCCAGAGAGTGGATATGGAATCATGAAGAATAAGTAAGCTTGGATGTTTCCAGCCAAGACAAATACTCTTTTACCATAACTCCCAGTGTTCATGAAAGGAACCGATTGCAGAAATGTCCCTGAGTCTACAGCAGCTGTTTTCATAAAACATTTCACCCAACACAAGTAAGACTTCTGACCCACTCCCAATAGAAAAGCAACTTGGAAGAATGAGGAGGAAGTAACATTTGAAGGAGTTCCCCAGGAGGTTCCAGTATGGCCCCTGCCCTCTCCCATACAGATTACAGCTCTGTACCATAGATATAATGAGGTGTGCAAATGTGCTTAGTGTTCTAATAAGTCAGATCCATGATCTTCTAATAGCTTAAAGGCTGCAGGAGCACTTTCTGGTACATGCCTATATGCCGAAAGGAAACTCAGAATGTTTTGCTATCAAATGATCTAGAAGGGAAACAACCCAAGTGTTCATGATGGAGAACAGATAAACCAAATGTGGTATATACATCTGATGGAATCTTCTTCAGTCATAAAAAGGTGGAGATTCTGATACATGATAAAACATGGACTAACCTTGAAAACATTATGCTAAGTGAAATAAGCCAACGCATCTAGAGGTGCCTAGAATATTAAGATTGACAGAAACAGAAAGGAGAATGGTGGTTTCCAGGGTCTGGGGAGAGATAAATGGGTAGGTAGTGTTTAATAGGTGCAGAGTTTCTGCTTAGGAAAGGGAAAATGGTGGTGATGGTTGCACAATAATGTGAATGTACTTAATGACACGGAACTGTACACCTAAAATGGTTAAAATGATAAATTTTTATATTATGTATATTTTGCCATGATAAAAAAAATTCACCAATCCCAAAACAATTAGGAGAGGGGGAAAGGTGTTGTTCAGCATCCCCAAATCTCCAGAGAATGAATGAATCCAGTGCCTGGAGTACTGAGGGTGAACGCAGCTCACAAGGATCTGTGTGATGCTCCAGAGAAGTCTCTCCTAGTCCAAGGAGGCCCCCATAATGCAAATCATTTGGAAGACTGTAAGGGAAGAGCCCTAACGACTAATTGCTGCTCCAGCTCTTCTTAAAAGCACTGTAGAAATAGAATTTTATGTATAGTTTTTATTTGTTTCAGAGAAATTCTCATAAGCATTGAGTTCCCCTGGGAGCTCTAATGGGTCTGAAATGTTTTCCAACTGAAACACAGTAACACATGATCACCTAGCAATGAGGGGTTCTGAAAAAATAAAGGCAGTTAGTAAAGTTGGTGATGCTTTATGGTATGGAAATCTTTCAAAACTGTATTATGTATTTATCCCATGACGTAACAAACAGTCTATAAAATTTAACTTTTTCTTCAAGACTCAAGGTCGCAATTGTGCCATAGAAATAGAAATAGCTGGTACAGAACATCTGACAAACTTAGCCCTCCTTCATCCCCTAAGCACACAAGCATGCAACAGGAGGTTTTAAATTTTAATTGGTGAAGAAAATTGCCTGGAATGTGGTTTGTTGAAAATGGCTGGACTTCTTACCACTCACCCTCTTTTCATAAAACTGAAGTAGTGGCTCAGAGGGAAATTCATAGCATTAAATGCGTATGTATTAGTCTGTTCTCTGCTATAAAGATACTACCTGAGACTAGGTAATTTATGAAAGAAAGAGGTTTAATTGACTCACAGTTCTGCATGGCTGGGGAGGCCTTGGGAAACTTACAATCATGGTGGAAGGCAAGGGGGAAGCAAGGCACATCTTACATGGCAGCAGGTGAGAGAGAGATAGTGAAGGAGAAATGAGGAACTGCCAAACACTTATAAAACCATCAGATCTCGTGAGAACTCATTCATTATCAAGGTAACAGCATGAGGGAAAGTGCCCCCATGATCCAGTCACCTCCCACTAGGTCCCTCCCTTGACACAAGGGGATTACAATTTGAGAAGAGATTTGGGTGAGGACACAAAGCCAGATCATTTCAGCTTATATTAGAAAATTTGAAACGTCTCAGAGCAATAGTCTCAGTTTCCACTTTAGGAAATGAGAAAAAAAAAGAAGAGCTAAATAAAACTAAAGAAAGCATAAGGATGGAAATAATATATGTAAGAATAGAAACGAGTGAAACTGAAAACAGAAAAATAATAGGGAAAAGTCAATGAAGCAAAAAGTTGTTTCTTTTAAAATATCAATACAATTTATAATCTTCAAGCAAGACTGACAAGAGAAAAGACTCAAATTATCAATATGAGGAATGAAAAAGAACATATAGTGATAGGCAGCCCTGCCAGACATTAAAAGGTTAATAAAGGAATACCAAGAATGATTCTACTCACATAAATTCAACAACTTAGATGAAATAAATGAATTCTTGAAAACCAATTGCCAAAATTCACCCAAGATGAACTAGATAGCCTGAATAGTCCTATAACATTAAAAAAAATTAAATTTATAGTTTAAAACTTTACACAAAAGAAACCTCCATTCCCAGATAATTTCACTGATGGCTTCTACCAAACATTTTAAAAAAGAAATAACACCAATTCCACATGATCTCTTTCAGAAAATAGAAGAGGGAACACATCTCAATATATTTTGATGAGGCCATTATTATCCTGATAACTAAACCAGACAAAGACAATACAAGCAAAAAAAAACCCTACAAACTCATATTCCTCATGACTAGCAATGTAAAAATCCTCAACAAAATATTATCAAATCAAATCCAGCAATATGTCCTTGATCTTGAACTTCCCAGCCCTTAGAACCATGAGAAAATTAATTTCTGTTGTTTAAGCCACCCATTCTGTGGTATTTTGTATAGTAGACCAAGAAGACTAACGCAATAGGGATACATATTAGGATGGAAGAAATAAAAATGTACCTATTCACAGGCAACATGAATGTCTACTAGAAAATCCTAAGGATTACACACATACACACACCAGTTGTATTTCCACATAGTAGCCATGTGCAATTTAAAATCAAAATTTAAAAATAAACATTTAGAATAGCTTCCCACAAAATGAAATATTTAGGAATATATCTAACAAAACACATACAGAATCTGTACATGAACCTGTACAGAATCTGAAAAATAGAAAATGCTCATGAAAGAAATGAAAGACATAGATAAGTGGAGAGACTTAATATGTTCACGAATTGGGAGAGTCAGCATAGTAAAGATGTCAGTTCTCCCCAAAATCATCTCTAAATTTAATACAATTTCAATCAATATTTTAGCAGAATTTTTAAAGATATATAAAAACAAATTCTAAAATATCTGTGGAAAGACAAAGAAATTAGAGTAGAAAAACCGTGTTGAAAATGGATAAAATCAAAGGAAACACACTACTCAACTTTAAGATGTATTATACAATGATAGTAATCAATATAGTATGGTATTGGTAAAGAGATCCACAGAACAATATCAAGTCCAAAAACAGACCCACATAAATATGACTAATTGATTTTTGACAAAAGTGCAACAGCAATTCAATGGCAGAAGGATGGGTTTTTCAACAAATGGTGTAGAAACAAATTATATTGGACAGCCAAAGCCCAAAAAAATAAAATGAACATTTTCTGAAACATCACATCTTATCCAAACAATAACTCAAAATAGAACATAGAGCTAAATGTAAAACATATAGCTATGAGACGTTTAGGATAAAACATAGGAGAAAATCTTGATAACCCAGGGTTAGGCAAAGAGCTCTTAGACATAGTACCCAGAGCTCAATCCATAAATTTTTTAAAACATTGAAAGATTGGACTTCATCAAAATTTAAAACTATTGATCTGTGAAAGACACTTTTAAGAGAATGGAAACACAAATTACAGACTGGGAGAAAGTATTTACAAGTCACATATCCAACAAGGACTTGGATCGAGAATGTATAAAGAAGCCACAACAGTCAGAAAATAGCTTGATTAAAAAATGGGCAGGAGCTTTAATGGATACTTTACTAAAGAGCAAATGTGAATGGTCAATAAGCATGTGAAAAGACGTTCCACACCGTTAGCCATCAGGGAAAGGCAAATGAAAACCTGAAGAGATAGCATTACACGTCTATTAGAATGGCTGAGATAAAAAGCTACTGATAGAACTGAGTACTGACCAGCATGCAGAGCAACTGGAACTCTTGTTTCTTGTTGCTGGGAATGCAAAATAGTACAGCCACAATGGAAACCAGTTTGGAAGTCTCTTACAGACTTACACATACACTTAAGCTACACATACAATCCAGCCATTCCACCCCTAGGTACTTGCCTTAGAGAAATATAAATGTGTGTTCACACAAAAATCAGTATATGAATGTTTATAACAGCTATATTTATAAACACCAAAAACTGCAAACAACCCAAAAGTCCTTCAACTAATGAATGGATGACAAACTGAACATACCTTGACAACGAATGACTAGCCAGAAATAAAAAGGAAGAACTGACTGGTGTACGTACGCAGCATCTAAGATGAATCTCAGAGACACTGTGCTGAGTGAAGCCGGTCTTAAAGATGTTACACACTGCTTCGTTCAATTTACTTGTCATTCTCCAAAACATAAAGCTGTAGTGACAAGGAGCATCACGGGGTAAAGAGGCGAGGAGGGTTTGACCACAAAGGAAGGGCAGATGGCAGGAAACAGGTTTTTGAGTAATGAGTTTACTTTGAATCCTGATTGTGGGGGTGGTTACATGAACCTATACATGTTTTCAAACTCGTAGAACTAAACACACACACACAAAGTCAATTTTATTGTATGTTCATTTGGAAAGCATTTTAATTGAAGTATAACGAGAACTGCTTTCTACAAAATGAATGATAGACTCAACTGTTGGAACCGTCTCCAGCTCAATTGCTTCCCTCCTCAACAAACTTCCTTTTCACTATTATTTTCTGTGCTCTTTGATGTGTATCAGAATTCAAAATATTTTCTTATGTTAGCATCCATAACAATCCAAGACCAATAGTATTTAAAAACCTGGATACAACATCAGGCTGGATGCAGTGACTCATGCCTGTAATCCTAGCATTTTGGGAGGCCAAGCCAGGTGGATCATTTGAGGTCATGAATTTGAGACCAGCCTGGCCAACATGGTGAAACCCCCATCTCTAGTAAAAATACAAAAAAAAAAAAAAATAGCTGGGTGTGGTGGCACACACCACTCATCCCAGCTACTCGGGAGGCTGAAGCAGGAGAATCGCTTGAACCTGGGAAGTGGAGGTTGCAGTGGGCTGAGATTGCACCATTGCTCTCCAGCCTGGGCAACAGAGTGAGACTCTGTCTTAAAAAAAAAACAAAGGCCTGGATACAACATCAATCTCATTAACCCGTTTAACATCATACCGTCATATATAAAAATCCTCATAACAATCAGCCTTCTAAGTTAACTCTGTCTTTTTGTAGTTTGCCCAAATGTAAATTTTGCCATTCGCTCATCCCTAGAGATACTGCCAGGAAAAACAAGATATCTATTAAGCAACTATGGGTATAAACGGAACCCCACATATCTGGCTGTTCAAATTCCTGATTTTCGTTGTTCTGAATACTTGATGGTTTCAAAAGCCCTATAATTGAAGTCTTGATGTAGGTACTGACATTTATTTAATCCCAGGTAAAATTATCAGAGCCTTATAAAATACACATAATGAATATACTTTATTATGGCCAGGCACCGTGGCTCACGCCTGTAATCCCAGCACCTTGAGGGGCCGAGGCAGGTGGATCCCTTGAGGTCAGGAGTTCAAGGCCAGTCTGGCCAACATAGTGAAACCCCCGTCTCTACTAAAAATACAAAAAATTAGCCAGTCATGGTGGCACATGCCTGTAATCCCAGCTACTTGGGAGGCTGAGGCAGGAGAATTGCTTGAACCCAGGAGGCAGAGGTTGCAGTGAGCCGAGATCGCACCACTGCACTCCAGCCTGGGCAACAAGAGTGAGACTCTGTCTCAAAAAAAAAAAAAAGAAAAGAAAAAGAAAAAAAAACTTTATTATGAAGCCATTACTATCAAATGCGTATTTTAAAGATCTTTCTTACATCTATAATCCAAAAGGTCAGTGAACTAATAGATGTTTGGATGATACTCATTACCTGTTTATTCATACATTAGACATCAACTGGCCTTTAACCCATAGCAAAAATCCTAGTCGGTGCCTAAAATGGAGTGGCAGACACTTATTAAACTCTGCTAAAACTTCCATTTATAGCCACATCTTCTTTTACTCCTTCTTTAAAACTTCGATACGGTCGTAACCCAAGAGGCCATTTTTTCTAATTTCACTGTCTGTTGGCAGTCGTCTTCACGAATCGTCTGCACAAGTGTGCATTGTATATTCAAGGGCAATTAAGTTGCTAATAGTCAGCTATTTCCAAAGTCACTTGCTGCAGATGATGATGTATGACGGAGCATCTGATGCCAGAAATGTAACTGGAGAAAGGAGGCTGTGTTTTTGCCTCACTCTCATTAATAAAAGAATCTAGCAGAACTGAAAGGAAGAGCCCAAGTTTTGTACTAAGTGCTTTATGTCGAACTTACCGTACAGTGAGGTGTTGCCGTGTGAACTGGTATATGGCACATATGGGAAAAGAGAAGACACCAACATATTTTTTTCCATTTAGTCGTACCAAATATTCTGCCTCTTTCCCTACAAATTCCTTCTGAAACACTTAAGCAAGATAAGATGCTCTCCCTACCCCAGATAGAAATGTTTTAGCTCATTAAGCCCTTTCTTCCAGAATACTAATTCTGTGCTTGATTGGTGCTTTATTACAGATAAGAGAATAATTCAAAATTAAAAGACGTGAAATGAAGCTCTTCTAAGCTATCACTTAGGCCATTTGAGGGAAAAAATACTCTCATCTGATGCAATTTTTCAGTAATAAAACGGACACAAACATTTGTTCAAAGTTCTGATGGCCTGATTTTACCTTATTTTCTGAATAGCATTTAATGTGTGATGTGAATAGCCATTCAGGTTCCAAAAGCTGCCTTTTCAGGAGATAAGGTTTCTTGAGCACCCTTTTCGCTGTAAGACAAGGCTGCTTGTCTAGCTCTCCAGGACTCTGGGGCTCTCCCTGCTGGCCAGAAAGCACATCGCCCGACTGTGCTGACCTAAAACCAGTGGGCTCTGGTGGGGTAGGTCCCCTGCTGCAACTTAGCTTAGGTACTTTCAGTGTCAATCATGTTCAAGTAGGAGTTTTCAGCCCTTTCAGTTTTGCTAATTGGTCCTTAGGACACATTTGACGTGAACTTTTGTCCTTAGACTTTTACAAGGTGCCCCCAGTGAGGGTAGCTAAACGGACTAAACATGACAATCAAATGTCAACCAAGGCTGGCAAAAGAGTTAGAAGGCGTTTGCTTCCAGTGACCACCCCCCTTGGCTCCTGAGTGCCTTCTCCTCTACAAAGGTTGTCCCTAAAGCATCTAACACCGAATTCCCTTGGTGCCACAGACACAACAGAGGCAAAAGGAGTCCACTTTCAGAGAATCGGGCATTTTAAGCCAGCAGTTGAAATGTGGAACAAAGGTTTTTTCTATAAAGCCATTTCCAGAATCTTCCCACACATGGAACATCCACTCCACCACCCGCCCCGCCCCTCCCCCCACAAAGCAGCGGAACTGCATTGAGAGGAGTGAACCGGCGGTCTCTCCCCCAAGGCCAGCCTGGTTATGGGGGCGGGTCACAGGGGGCCGTCCCTTGGCCTGCAGCAGAAACGCAGGCTGTGGGGCAGGTTTCTTTTGTCTTCCAATATTATGCAAATAAGCAAATCAAATTAAGTACCTGAGATTTTTTTTTTTAATTAAGGGTTTTGATTAGATGCGGATCTGTTGTAGGCAGAAGAAATTTTATTCCAAAACCCTAGACGCCTCGGCTTTTCTGCAGGTCTTCAATCAGGGCAGATCTCCCAGAATGGTGGGGAGCTCATCTTTTGATTTCCAGGTGGGTGGGCACACGGGGCAAGGGTAAGAATTGAGCCTGAGAATAACAGAAGGAGAGAGACAGTCCTATAACTTCTTTAGAAGTCAAACTCAGCTGCTCAGCTCCTCTGACATTTTTTGTGTGTGCATCATAAAAGAAAACAACAAGCTATAGTCCATATTTATCCAAAAGAAGCTCACTGAGTCCCATAAACCAGAACTTGAATGTTAGAAGCCCCTATAGCACCAATCAAGACCAGAAACTAGAGATCGTAAAATGGAAGAACGATAGAGTTGGAGAGCACCGGATGTGACCCTCTTCATTAGGAGGCATTTTTACCTTCTATTCCACTCAAAGGGGTTTAGTTTCTGCAGAAGGCAGGCAAAGGCCATAGCCTGTAAGGGAAAATTGCAGGGTAATCATGATCTTCCACACAGAAGCCAAAATAATTCTTTTCAAATAACAAAAGCCAGCTTTCATCTCACATGTGCCGGCACTGTACCGAGCACTTCACCTGTATCATTCCACTGGACTTTCACAAAACTTCATGAGGTACAGATGGTCCTCTCAAATTTATTCCCGTGCCACAGACGGAGAAACTGGGGTCCAAAGAGGAAATATCTTGAAAAGGATCAGAAAGTAAGAAGTCTGGATCAAGTTCAGTGCTTGAATGCTGCCTGGCACATAATAGGTATGCAATAAATATCTGTGGAATGAGTGAGTGCATAGATGAGTGAAATGTAGGATGCAGCTCAGAACACAGGCTCTGAGCCATCATCTCAGCAATACGGATTAGGCAATGCAAGTGAATAATCCCAAGGTATGGTACTGTAACACAGAAGAAAGAAGATGAAACCTGGATCCTAGCTGTGGGTTTGCTGAGCGAGTCACATGATCTCAGACAAGGCTTTGCTGCCCAATCTTCTCTTCTTTCAGTAATTGGAACTTTTCTCTGGGCAGTCCTTGCTAGAATATGGGGTCCTATGGATTTTGGCCAAGTAAGTCACATGGAGCCATTTGCAGGCATCTGGGTGGAGCTAAGCAAATGTTACCAAAAACAGCATCTGTAGGAAGTGCCAAGTTAGAACCAAGAAGACCATCTAGGGTCAAGTCACCATCTGGAAGAAGGCTCAAGCAATCAGTTAGAGAGCTCAGTGAACCCCCAAGGAGCTGAGGAACCAGCTCATCACCTAGTCCCACCCTTCACACCAGCCACAGTAGGATATTGAATGTAAAAGTGCAGTGTTATCCTCATCCCAGTCAGAAGGGAGATTAACTGACTTCATTTCATTGTTTATCTGATTGAAAAATACAGATTCAAATGTAAAAGAAATACAAGTGCTGATGTGAACCAAAATATGTTCAACCTTCCTAATAATCAATTAAAGATAAATTAAAATAATAGGACACCATTTACCTACAAAATTGACAAAGATTAAAAAGACTGACAAAGCCCAGTATGGATTAGGGTATAGGAAAAGGGAGGAGATGCTTCTATATTGCTGGTGGCAATACAAAATGGCACAGCCTCTTGAGATGGTAATTTGGCAACATAAGACACAAGCCTTACCCATGCCAACGCCTTTGAACAAACAACTGGAAACACACAGTAAAGACACACTTGAATCAGGATGTTCATTGCAGTATTGTTTATAAAAGTAAACAGTAAAAAAGCTAAATATTTAGCAATAGCATAGTAAATAAATATGGTAGACAATTCTGTTGTCATTAAGGATGAAAATATAGTTTATTTATTTATGTGGAAAGGACAATTCACTAACCAGACAAAAAAATACAACCCAACAGCATAAAAGAGTTATCTAAGAGGCATTCAGCCACACTGTAAATTACACCATGAGCTATTACCAGTGGGTATTTCTGGGTGATAATATGATGGGTAATTTTCCCTTCTTCTTCACATTTTCAGATATTATCAGATAATTTTGATAATCTTGTTAATTTCCTAATCATCAAATAATCAAACCAATGAATTTATTTTAATTTTTTAAAAATACAGTGAGTGACAGCAGCCACGAGCTGCCTAGAAAATGAATCTGTGCAGCCTCTAAATTACCAAAAGAATTATTTTTAAAATTAACAAAGGAAATTTTGTCATTATGGCAAAAATGGAAACAGGAAGAGAAAAATTAGGAAAAAATATATATATAATAAAATGAAACAAGAAAGCACAATACAAAGAGACATGAATGTAAGCTATTTAGAAACAGAAAGTATAAAATTAGAAATAATAGGAATAGCCTATGAAGTCACCCCAACCTTAGCTCCAGCCATACTGTATATTAGAGGATGCCATCAAGTGACAGTGACCCAGGCCACATGTGCTGGCATAGTGCAGAGAAGGCAGACATGGATCCAAGAACTTATGCAAATTCAGAAAAGAAAAAGGGAAAACATTTAGACCTGTTGGGAGAAAAGCTGAGTGTTGGGAGAGAAGCTGAGGCAGGCCTTGCATGTCTGACATAATGTAAAAGAGTCTTGGAACATGTCCAGGGTCCAGGGTCTAAAACCCCTCATGGCCTTTGGAACACCAGGCTCTGTGCCAAAGGGTGGAAGGCTACCCTGACACACCATAATCTAAGCCTAGGGCATAAAACCCCTCATGGCTTGGATAGAATCCAGGGCTCGTGGCTCTGTATATGTCTAGACTTGCTGGCTTCTTGCTCCTTGCTCTCCCAGGATCGATTGTATCTTGAGTTAAAAGAACCTGCTCCCCATTATCTCAAGTAGCAGAGCATATGCTAAACTGTCACAGCTGTAAAACATGTGCCTAATGCAATGTGCCCTTTTGACCCCCACATTCTCACCACCTGTTTCTTTGTTTGATCACCAATAAATAATCTGGGCTTCCAGAGCTCAGGGCCTTCCCAGCCTCCACACTCGCAATGGCCCCCTGGACCCACTTTCTCTCTCAAATTGTCTTTTCTCATTCCTTTGACTCTGCCGGACTTTGTCACCCCCACAACCTGGTGTTGGGTTTGATCACCCCAACATATACCCCTAGCTATTACTCTACACTCAAGTAAATTCCACAGGAGCTAAAGATATTTTTTAAATCATTACTGGTTTTTTTGTTTTTTGTGTATGTGTGTGTGTTTTTTTTTTTTGGAGATAGCGTCTCACTCTGTCTATACAAATATGTTTGTCTACACAAAGTTTTTTTTAA
Source organism: Homo sapiens (assembly GCF_000001405.40). NCBI lineage: Eukaryota > Metazoa > Chordata > Mammalia > Primates > Hominidae > Homo > Homo sapiens. The sequence continues at coordinate 128,174,511 of NC_000010.11, read as the reverse complement.
AGGTCTTAATATTTCACAGAAAAAAATGTATCCATCTCTTCCTTTATGATTTCTGTCTTGGCATTATGATTAAAAAGACAGTCTCCACTCCAAGATTAGAGAAATACTTACTTATGTTTTCTTTTAATAACACAAGGATTTTAGGCTAGGCTTGGGGGCTCACGCCTGTAATCTCAGCTCTTTGGGAGGCCAGGGCAGGCAGATCGCTTGAGCTCAGGAGTTTGAGACCAGCCTGGGCCACATGGCAAACCCTGTCTCTACAAAAAATACAAAAATTAGACAGGCATGGTGGTATGTACCTGTAGTCCAAGCTACTTAGGAGGCTGAGGCTGGAGGATCACTTGAGCCCAGGAGGTGGAGTTTGCAGGAAGCTGAGATCACAACACTGCACTGCAGCCTGTGTGATAGAATAAAATACTGTCTCAAAAGAAAAAAAAGAAGAAGAAGAAGAAGAAAAAGTCCAAAGTCAGTCTTACTGGGTTGAAATCATGGTGCCAGAGGCTGTGTTCTTCCTGGAAGCTCAAAGGGAGATTCTGTCTCCTTGTCTCTTCCACCATCCATCAGTGTCTGCTTTCTCCAGACTTTCCTCTGTCTTAAAGCCAGCATCACAGGCATCTTTCAATCTCTCTCCCTCCTTTGTCCATCTTTCAGGAATCCTTGTGATAACATTGGGCCTGAACAAATGATCCAGGAGAATCTTCCTTTCTCAAGATTCCTAATCACAAATGCAAAGTACCTTTTCCTATGTAAGGTAGCATATTCATAGTTTGGGGGCATTAGGATGTGGACACATTTTGGAGGGCATTTTTCTACCTACCACAGGGAACTAAATGAGTTAATGCACCAAAATAAGAAGCACCAAACTCAGAGCTTGGCAAACAACAGCACTCAGAAAGCATTGGCTAATATTATAAGTTATTCATGATCAAAGAATGTGTGGAATTTGGCTGGGTGTGGCAGCTCATGCCTGTAATCCTAGCACTTTGGGAGGCCAAGGCAGGAAAATCACTTGAGCTCAGGAGTTTGAGACCAGGCTGGGCAACATAGTGAGATCTCATCTCTATTTAATTTTTTTTTTAAAAAAGAGGCCAGACGTAGTGGCTGGCTCATGCCTGTAATCCCAGCACTTTGGGAGGCAGAGGTGGGTGGATTGCCAAAGGTCAGGAGATGATCCCATGGGAAGAGAAGAGGCGAGAGAGAGAGGTGGGAAGAGAGAGAAAGTGAAGGTGCCAAACTCTTTTTATTAATCAGCTCCAAGGAAGCTCTCAAAGGAACTAATAGAGAAGTAACTCACTTTCCTCCCTCCAGGGCATCAATCTATTCATGAGGAATCCAAACACCTCCTATTAAGCCCTACCTTCAACAATGGGGATCAAACTTCAACATGAGATTTACCTGGGTCAAATATCCAAACCATAGTACTGTATGTGTGCAAGTCTGTGTCTATGTATAACAAGTAAAGAAGGATGCACACCAAGCCTTAGTAATGAGTGTTGCTAGGTGGTAGGATTCCAGGTGATCTTGACTCTTGCATAGTTCTGAGTGCTTCGAATGTTTTGCACAGACAACAGGTTTCCCTGGTTTGGTGGATGACAGGTTTTCTCTTCTTGGGAACCATCAGCAATATCACAGAGGAAGAAACACCAGGGAGCCAAGGGGCCAGTAGCTTCCTGAACCTTCAACCTCTCTGCCACACACTCTATGTAGACTATTCCCCCTCCCAACCCCACAGTGTAGTTGTTAGGGCAAGATGAGAAAATCAGAAGATAATATGAAAATAAAAAGATCAAGACACATTCCAGAAATTATTCCTTTTGGAGGCTGACCACAATTAACCCCCAGCTTCCTGAAAGCAAAGGAGGCTTCAGTACCCCTCACCAGGCACAGTGTCTGTGTGTTGTCAGTGGGCCAGACTTCCCAGCTACCTTGTTGGTGCTCATACCTAGGATCCCCCATACACACATACCCCCTGCTCCCTCCTTGCCAGGCTAGACCCCACTTCATCTACCAGCTCTCAGTTTAGATATTGCTTCCCTGATCCAACTGACCCATCATGGACCGTCATAGCACCTGCATGTCTTTCTGTGTTTTCAAACCAGTGCCCAACATAGGTAATGAGAGGTGTAAAATAATAAATCTTCTTTGCTGCAAGCTACTGTTTGTAGTAACCTGTAACTTGTTACAGCAGCAATGGGAAACTAATACATCCACGTATGACTCTCTAGTGCAAATTCTACTTTGATCCCCATTTCATAGAGGAAAACTGAGGTTTGTTTAGAGTAATTAAGTAATGGGGAAACACTTTGATATTTTCCTGCTCATAGGGCAAGGGAGCTGGGGTATTTATACTTCAGCTCCTACAGTCCTGGATCTAGATGGGCATGAGTGTTCATTCCCAGGTACTTCAGGTCTACCATACCTGCTGTGGCCTGTAGGACTTCCCACAGGTAGAGGAGGGAGGGAAGGGGAGGGGAGGGGAGGGGAGGAGAGGGGAGGGGAGAAGAGGACAGGGGAGGGGAGGAGAGGAGGGGAGGGAAGGAAGGAAGGAAGGAAAGGAGGGCCTCAGTTACAGACAGGCAGGTATTGGTAGCTGAATGTTGAGCATCCTAAAAGGTCCAAGGGATATGAGTGAGGCATTGCTAAATAACAGTTTAAAAATTCATAATGACACAGGCCAGGCGTGGTGGCTCACACCTCTAATCCCAGCACTTTGGGAGGCTGAAGTGGGCAGATCATCTGAGGTCAGGTGTTCAAAACCAACCATGGCCAATATGGTGAAACCCTGTCTCTTCTAAAAATACAAGATTAGCCAGGCATGGTGGTACATGCCTGTAATCCTAGTTACTCAGGAGGCTGAAGTAGGAGAATCACTTGAACCCGGGAGGCAGAGGTTGCAGTGAGCTGAGATCACACTGCTGCACTCCAGCCTGGGCGACAAGAGCAAAACCCACTCTCAAAAAAAAAAAATAAAAATGAAAGAATTCATAATGACATAGGCATTTGAGTTTGTATTTGTTTGATGTTAGCCTGCCTCATTAGACTATAAACTCCATGAAGGCAAGAACTTTACCTAATCTTACAGCTGCATCTCCAGTGCCTAGCACAGGGTCTGATGCAGGGTGAGACATTCAACTAATATTTGTTTAATAAATGAAGACATGAATCAATGAATGAATGAATATCCCAGGTGAGCTCTTATCTAAACAATGCATAACACTTATCAGATAATAAGTCAGAATTTCAGAAAAGACTTGAATTATTATTCAACTTGATTTCAGCTTGGATTATTACCTCAGATTATTTAACCTGCAGCTCGCTAAGACCTCTCAATTCTTGCTTCTCATTAATGGTGTATTTTTGTCCAAAAATACAGCAACTTCAAGTTCCATGATTTGAAATAGATGAAATTGATCAAGTAGGATATTTGTCAATGAAGATTCTAAGCAGAGGCTGGCAGACTAGCATGATCTGCAAGCCAAATCTGACCCATGAGCAAAGAATGAATTTTACACTTTTAAACAGTTGAAGAAAATAAAAAGATGATTTCCTCATACATAAAAATTATATTAAATTCAAGGCCAGGCCAAGGCTGTAATCCCAGCACTTTGGGAGGCTGAAGCAGGTGGATCACTTGAGGTCAGGAGTTCGAGACCAGCCTGGCCAACATGATGAAACCCCATCTCTACAAAAAATACAAAAATTAGCCAGGCGTCGTGGCATGTGCCTGTAATCCCAGCTGCTCTGGAGGCTGAGGCAGGAGAATCA